>NC_000002.12:85971460-86276843 GCF_000001405.40 Homo sapiens
CAGGCATGAGCTACCATGCCTGGCTGCTGCTTTTTAATTTTTAATTTTATTGTGCAGTGGCCAGACAAGAAGGTTTGTATAACTTATGCTTTTTGAAATGTATTGGAATTCTCCTTGTGGTCAAATACATGACTCATTTTGTAAAAGGACTGTAGATGCTTGAAAGAATGGGTACTTTCTATTTATCCAGTATAATATTCTATTGATATATATATACATTCAATAGATTTCAGAATTCTATTCTGAGGTACACTGAAGCATATGATTAGTATATCTTTTTGGTGGACTACAACTTTTATCAATATGAACTCTCCCTGTTGGCCTTGATGCTTTTTATTTCAAATTGTTGTTTTTGGTGTTAATATTGATACGTCTGTTTTTCTAGCAATTTACCTAGTGTTCGCTGTTTATTATGTAATAAACAACAATTTACCTGTCCTTGAAGCAATTACATAATATTTGATACGCATTTAGGTAGCATATATAGTTCTATACCTTTGTTTTCAAATATCCTGTATAATTTCATTTTAGATATAACTTTTGGCAACAGCAGTGGCTCATTTTTTAAATTTTCTTTACCTAAACTGAAACTCTGTGTCTTGTAATAGGCTAATTTAACCTATTCATGAGTACTGTTATTACATATGCGATTAGATTTATTCCTGTCATGTTATTTTCTGTCTTCTATTTATCATACTTTCTTATTTTCTTTTACTTTTTAATCTTTTCTTCAGGTGATCGTTGTTATTCCATTGTTTTTCCTTTTACGGATTGGCAGTTATATATCCTATTTCTATTCCTCTTGTGGTTATAATTAAATTTTGATGACATGTACTTGAACATAGTTTTCTAAAATGTTTTGAAGTAATCTAGACTATTAACAAACTACAGCCTATGGGCCAAGTTGAAACCAACCAAATAGTCCCATAGACTGTTCTTTTGGATAAACATAGAAATTGACTTTTCTGATCTTAAAGCTTGAAGTTTACATTTGCTTTATCTGAGTTCCTTCCTCAGGAAAAGACCTTCAGGCCTCTCAAGAAAGTAGCAAAGAACTGAAACTCCCCAGATCACCACATTCAGACAATGACATGCCTGACCCCTCATTCATCATGATTGCTTCCTTGCCCCTCCCTGGTTCCTGTTTCTTTACACATCATTACATTTCTTCCCTGCTCTATAAACCCCAGGTTTTAGTTTGTCAGAGAGACGGATTTGAGACTGAGCTCCCACCTCCTTGGCACCCAATTAAAGCCTTCTTCCTTGGCAGTGCTTGTTGTCTCAGTGACTGGCTTTCTGTGCTGTGAGCAGCAGGACCTAGACTGAACCCCTGGTATTTTGGTAACAAAATCCCACCTATTCCACATTTTTGCACAGCCTAGAAGCTAAGAATTTTTTTTTGTATTTGTATTTATTTATTATTGAGACAGGGTCTCACTCTGTCACCCAGGCTAGAGTGCAATGGCACAATCAAGGCTTACGGTAGCCTTGACCTCTGATGCTCAAGAGATCCTCCCACCTCAGCCCCCTGAGTAGCTGGGACTATAGGTACACACCACCATGCCCAG
This sequence comes from Homo sapiens, assembly GCF_000001405.40. Taxonomy (NCBI): domain Eukaryota; kingdom Metazoa; phylum Chordata; class Mammalia; order Primates; family Hominidae; genus Homo; species Homo sapiens. The sequence goes on from NC_000002.12 coordinate 85,973,029, forward strand.
TTAATTTTTGTTTTTGGTTTTTGTTTATTTTTAGGGGGTAGAGACAGTGTTTTGCTATGTTACCCAGGCTGGTCTTGAACTCCTGAGCTCAAGTGATCCTCCCACTTTGTTCTTCCAAAGTGCTGGAATTCCAGGCATGAACCATTGCACTCGGCCTTTATATTTTTAAGTGGTTAAAAAAAATCAAAAGACAAATAACATTTTATGACACATGAAACGTATATAGCATTCAGATTTCAGTGTCCATAAGCAAGGTTTCATTGGAACACAGCCACACTTACTTGTTTCTATATTGTCTTTAGATATATATATAGTTGTTTATATATGTAGCTGCTTTTGTGCTATCATGGGAGAGTTGAGTGGTTGAGACAAAGACTGTATGGCCCACGAAGGCTAAGATATTTGTAATCTGGCCCTTTACTGAATAAGTTTGCTGATCCTTGGTCTAGATGTCTATCCCCACTCCCCATACAAGAGTTACTACAGAGATTAATTCTTTCCAGCCAAGACTCACTCCATATCATTTCTATATTGTATTCGTTTGGGATTTGAGTTCCAGAAACAGAAAATAATCCAAATGTTCATCAACAGGTGAATGGATAAGCAAATTATGTACATCAAGCACAATGGAATGCTACTTTTCAGTAAGAAAAGAATGAACTATTGATACATACAACAACATGAGTAAGTCTGAAAAGCATATGGCTGACTGAAAGAAGCTAAATGTGGAAGGTTACATACTATATTGTAACATTAATGTGACATTCTAGAGAAGGCGAAATTACAGTGACAGAGAGCAGATCAGCGGTTTCCAGGGGCGAGGTGTGAGGGAGAGGTGATTGGCTGCAGAAGAGCATGAGGGAAAGTTTTGGGGTGATGGAAATATGTTATGTCATGGCTCTGGTGGTGGTTGCACAACTGTATCACAACTTTGTTAAAACTCATCCAGAAAAACAAAATTGGTGAATTTCATTGTATGTAAACTATAACTCGATAAAACTAAATTTAAAAACCTGTCCTGGGTAAAACAAATCTTTAATGAAGAACGGGAAGAATCTATGACAGGAAGGGGCTTGAGAGAACACTCTGAGGTGATGGCAATTCTTTGTGTCTTCATGGGGGTTTGCATTGTGCAGGTTTGATGCATTTGACAAAATTCAGCTAACACATATGCAAGATTGGTGCATTTCATTGTATATAAATTTTACATCAAAGAGAATATATCAAATATTGAATTCTAGTTAGTGATCTGTATACTTGAATATTTAGGGGGAAATGTACTGAAGTCACAATTTACTTTGAAATCCATCAAAAATAAGATGGATTAGTGAATGGCTAGATCAATAGATATGTGATAAAGCAAGTAAAGTGTTAGTGGTAAATGTCATGCTAATGGTGGGTGTTCTCTATTAAATTAAAATAAAATCTTTGTTCTGCCTTGTAAGAAGGTTGTGTTGACATTGAATGGTTGTATGCACTCAGCCTGGCAGCTGGATCCAGTCTCTTTAACTATGTCATCTATGAAGAAATAGTGTTGAAACATTTTTGTACAGAGTACATACCTTACTGTGCTCATATTCCCTTCTTTAAATGTCAAGGAAAAGACATGACAGGACCCACCCCACGTACTTGCCTAGTTTGAGCCAGCAGCTCACCTGGACCTTCCTGCTTTCTGACTTGCAGCTGTCTTTGTTGATGATCTATAGAGGCCCCTCCTCTTTAAGCCTGAGGGGTACAAGAGTCTAAGTGGTTCCCTGGGACCTGGTTTACTGACTGCTGGAACCCTGGAGATGGCATGCTGGCAATGAGAGAATCTTACGGAACTCAACTTGGTACCAATGCCCTAGTGAAAAAGTAGTGGAGTCCTTATATATCAGCATTGGAAGGGCACTTAGACACCATTTTACAGATGAGGAAACTGAGGTCCAGATAGGGAAAATGGCTTGCCCTAGTCCACATAGCTTCATGACAGCAGGTTCTACACCCCAGCTCTCCCCACTCTCAGCCCTATTTGGGCTGCAGCCAACCTGACGGTTTTTTGAGGGCACTGGTGGGAGGATCCCTGGGGTTTGTGAGGTGGTAACAGCCACAGTGTGAGTGAGATCTGGATCCCACCTCTGGCCCTGTGACCTTGGACAAGTTATTTAATCTCTAATACTGGGTTTCTTCAGGAGTAATATGAGAAGAACAATATCTTTTTTGTCAGGGTATTGTGAGGTTTCACTGGAACATCATCTGTGGAGCCATTTATGCAATGCCTAGACCTGGTGGGTGCTCACTCTGTGGGCACCACTGTCATTGGTGTGCTCATGAGCGCACTGACCTGAGATTCTGAGAAACCAGATGTTGGCTCTGGTGCTACCCTCACCAGCTGTGACTCTACTCCTCACAAGAATCTTCAAGGTCGTAGTTTTATCCGGGTTTTACAAATAAGGAAACTGATATGCGTGTCCAACCTCAAATCTTCAAATCTGGATCAAACGCAAATATTGTTTCTAGTCATTCTCTTGGCAGGAATGGTCTCAGCACAATCACCAGTAGGCAAAGTTTATTTTAGTGCTTCCTTCTTCTCTTTCCAATCTTCTGTCCTTCTCTCCCCACCAAGTGAGTGGGAGGAAGAGAAAGTTGGGGACCGTTTGATGTTCCTGGGTGTTAGTAACACTCGAGGGAGCCACACTTCCCAGGGGCCCTCAGGGCAATCTAGAAAGTTCACCACTCTTCCAGCACTGGCAGACAAATCCAGCCAGTGCCTAGAAAAGGTTCATTTGTGACATCCACAAGGCAGGGGCACTCCACACACACTTCGCTGACCATTCGCATCTGCATCATTTGGGAGCTTGTCAAAACTGACAATTCTGCCTCTGCCCCACCCAGACCCACTGAATCAGAGTCTCTGGGGATGGGGCCCAAGAATATGAGTTTTAGGAAGCTCTGTAGGGGATGCTTAGGCACAGTAAAGTTTGAAAAGTACTATTCCAAGGGACCAGTAAGAGGACATAGGAGTGGACCAGTCTCTGTAATTTTGCCATTTTCCAAAAAGAGACCTCTAATCTGTGCTGAAGTTCATTTCCAAGGACTGAGTAGGGCTGAACAGGGTAAATCTCATTTTAAAATAAGTGTTCCCTCATTCCTCTCACAGCCCTCTTCCAACATGTTGTTTTCACCTTCAACAGAATGCCTAAGTGAAAAGGAGGGATGCAGTGTGTTTGGCAGCGTGGAAAAGATCAGAGGGGTGTGAAACGAATTCATATCTGGCATGACCGAGCTCTGTTGGGAGGACCTTGGCAGGGCTTGAAGCAGCCTCAGAAGAGAGGTGGACCCCAGCCAGTGCTTAAAACAAGAAGCCTGTCAGCTGCTGCCATTTTCCTGTGTTATAGGAAGACCACAGACCCAAGTCAGACAGGCCCGGTGTCTAATCCCTGGGACCTTGGATGGTGACTGGGCTCTCTCTGCCAAGGGGATTATGTGTGTTCGAGCACCTGGCACCTAGGAAGCATTCAGCATAGGCTGAAGTAGCCCCTCCTTTGACCCTTGTTGGGAAGGGAAGGCAGTGCCAGACCCATGCCAAGCAGCCTTTCTGGTAGCTGGTCTTTTGGTCACACAGGGAACCCCCAGAAGCCTCGCTTCAAGCCCTCTCCATAGAAAACCCACACAGCCAGGGTTTGCTGTGGCTCTTCTGCCCTGTTGAATGTGTCTCCGTGACCATGTACCCATCTGGAAGACTAAGTGTGTGGCCACCTTCACTAGCAAAGATCACCCTCGCTCCGCCAGGTTCTCTCCTTCCCACTCTCTCTGCACCTCTGCCCTTTGGTCCTTTTCAAGCACTAGCCTCTGTGCCCAGTCTTTGGTGTGGATGTTGGGGCCTTTTTAGCCATTTCTGTCTGCATGACTGGTTAGTGGGCAGGGGGAGTGACGAGTGGGCTGGCAGAAAGTTCCTTTGGATTTCATTAGCCCTCGTGGTGATCAGCATTGAGGTAATGCATCTGCAACATCACGTGTTCAACCTATGAAGAGTAAACTTCCCGCTGGCGTTTCTACTATACCTTGTTATTCAAAAATGGTATATGTCTAGGCCAGGTGCAGTGGCTCACACCTGTAATCCCAGCACTTTGGGAGGCCGAGGTTGGTGGATCACCAGAGGTCAGGAGTTTGAGACAAGCCTCACCAACATGGTGAAATCCTATCTCTACAAAAAAAATTCTGTAAAACTACAAAAATTAGCCGGGCATGGTGGCCAGGCACCAGTAGTCCCAGCTACTTGGGAGGCTGAGGCAGGAGAATTGCCTGAACCTGGGAGGCGGAGGTTGCCGTGAGCCGAGATCATGCCACTGCTCTCTAGCCTGAGCGACAGAGTGAGACTCCGTCTCAAAACCAAAACAAAAACAAAATGGTATCTATCTCCTCCCTAGCCTTGAGTTGCATTGTGAGAGCCTCAGTAGTTCCCACACTCCAGGAAAGGGGGTACAGAAGAGGGAACACCTGCCTCTCCATCATGTTGTTATTGATTGATTAATGTTTCACCTTGGGCATCCTCAAAGCTACCTGAAGAATCTCACTCTGGGTGTTTCTTCTTTTCCTTTTACTTGTACTGATAGGGACCCAGGTTCTCAAATAAGGATTCTATTACGAACACAAGAGCTAAGGGAATGGTGCATGAGGATCCATCCACAACCATCGCCATGTGTCCCATGGCTGAGGCACAGGGCTTGGGGGTAACCTGACCCCACAGGAGGCTATAGAATTAGCCATGCATGTATTCAACAACAACTACCCTAGTGTGCTTTGATCTAAAAACTCATCATGTGTTATCAAAATGCATAGTGGTACAACCCTCAAAGCCAATTCCAGGCCAGATGAGGGCTTTCAGGAGGGAGATAGAGTTAGAGGTGTAAAAGATTAGAGAAGTTTCTACCAACATCGAAGACCCACTCCTCACCCGCTGCTGTCCTCACCTCTGTTTTATTTGCATCTTTCTTTTTTCTTTCTTTCTTTTTCTTTTCTTTTTTTTCCGAGATGGAGTCTCACTCTGTCACCCAGGCTGGAGTGCAGTGGCATGATCTTGGCTCACCGCAACCTCCGCCTCCTAGGTTCAAGTGATTCTCCTGCCTCAGCCTCCCGAGTAGCTGGGATTACATGCGCACACCACCATGGCTGGCTAATTTTTGTATTTGTAGTAGAGACGGGGTTTCACCATGTTGGTCAGGCTGGTCTCAACCTCCTGACCTCGTGATCCGCCTATCTCGGCCTCCCAAAGTGCTGGGATTACAGGCGTGAGCCACCGTGCCCGGCCGCATCTTTCTATTTCAGCTCCTACCTCTCATCACTCCCCATTCAGATGACCCCCAAACTCCATCACCAGAGGCAGAAACTACAGAGTTCTACATGCAGCTGGAAATGCCTCCTGGAGTTTTTGCATCTGGCAGTGACTATCTCACCTCTTAACCAAACTTAATCACTGGCAGGGAGAACCTCACTTCAAATCTGGCCCCCTGCCCAGCTGGGTTCAGTGCCAGGGTGTGGCTGGCACAAGATTAAATTCTGTAATGTATTAGCAGCAGAGTTGCATTTAATAAAAGCCAAGAGCTTCTGAATACACATGTTGGAAGAAAAAAGAAGCAAGATGGAGCTTAGTAGCCAAGCAAAAGCCAGGCATGGGGGCATGAGGTGGGTGATGTTTCTCTTAGGACCAGGGGTCCAAGGATCTAAGGGTCATGGAGAAATCTTTGTTAGGGCTAGAAGACAATAGCAATCAGTTAATTCATTCCAGAAACATTCATTGGCACTGTTCTAGACACTATGACTGAAAAGATGGCACCAGAGATGACTGAATATGAGCCAAGGGTTTTTTGTTTGTTTATTTTTCTGAAAATTATCCCTCAGAAAAGACTAATTCCATGTAGTCTTATATTAGAAACCTTAGTCTCCTCTCTCCCTCCCTCACTTCCTCCCTCTATTCTTCCCTTCCTTTCTTCTTTCCTCCCTTCCTTCCTTCCCCTATTTCCTCTTCCTTCCTTTTTTCCTTCCTTCCCCTCTTTCCTCTTCCTTCTTTCCTTCCTTCTCTTTCTCATTCTTTCCTCTTTCTCTTTTCCTCTCTTTTATTTTCTTTTTTCTCTTTCTGCATTTCTCTTTCACCTTTCCTCCCTCCACTTTTTTTAATTCATCTTTTTAAGTAATGACAGCTGTCTGAGATGCCGTCACCTGAAATGACCTCAGTCAATGCTAGTTTGTATGTTTATAAAGGTCACCTGATGACAGTGGTGAAAAAATCGGCAAAGAAATTTGAACACAGATTTAGTAAGTCTCCCTAGGGATATGACCTCACAATGAAAAGAGTTGCATGTTTTTGTAAATAAGGCTTTTTAAAATCATTTTAAAATGCAACTTGAAGATTATAAATATATATCTCCTGGGTAAATGGGAGGAAAACTGTCCAAATGTTATTTGAATGGGTAATTGTGGTTTGGGTTATAATTCCCAATGTCAGCATCAGATGCAGGTTCAGAAAGTGGTGCCTCTCAAACAAGTTAGGAGGAAGTGAAATTATGTAATCTGAGAAACTGAGTTCAAGACTCAAAAAGTGTCCTAGTGAAGCTGTTAACATCCCCTTTCCAGACTGTGGTCCCAGCTACCTGGGAGGCTAAGGTGGGTGGATCACCTGAGCTCGGGTGTTCAAGTGGTAGCTGTTCTCCCTCCTGCCCTCATACCTCAGCCCTAGGGTGGGGTCAATAACCTCTTCAGTACTGATTGCTGATTCCAAACCATTTGCTCTTTCCTTCCTAAACAACCACTGGGTTGAATCTCCCTTCGAATCTCATCAAACTATACCACTGACCCTGTCCTTCTTTTTTTTTTTTCTGAGACCAAGTCTCACTCTTGTCCCCCAGGCTGGAGTGCAGTGGCGCAATCTTGGCTCACTGCAACCTCTGCCTCCTGGGTTCAAGCAATTCTCCTGCCTCAGCCTCCTGAGTAGCTGGGATTACAGGCACCCGCCACCACGCCTGGCTAATTTTTGTATTTTTAGTAGAGATGGGGTTTCACCATGTTGGCCAGGCTGGTCTCGAACTCCTACTTCAGGTGATCTGCCCGCCTCGGCCTCCAAAGTGCTGGGATTACAGGCGTGAGCCACCGTGCCCAGCCGACCGCCTCCTTCTTGAAGGTACCTGCTGACCCCAGGTCACTTCTCATCTCGATCCTTGAGGACTTTGAGTTCATTCTCAGTCTCTCCAGCACTGTATTTATCTCACACTGATTTCAATATCCACACAGAAGATCCTTGTGTACCTCTCAGTTCTGTGTCCTACTGTCCACCTGGTCACCTCCACCCTAACCTCTCACTCCCACGGTCGCACCCTAGAACTGTCATTTTCTCTGGCTGCAGTTGTCTGTCATCTTGGTTTCTTATTTTTTTTTTTTTTTTTGAGAAGGAGTCTTGCTCTGTCGTCCAGGCTGGAGTGCAGTGGCGCGATCTTGGCCCACTGCAAGCTCCGCCTCCCGGGTTCACACCATTCTCCTGCCTCAGCCTCCTGAGTAGCTGGGACTACAGGCGTGAGCCACCACGCCCAGCCTAGTCATCTCAGTTTCTATGTCCCACTCTCCAACCACTGTGCCCTGGGTTTCCAGCTCACTCTTTCTCTTATCCAGACTTCAATAATCCTTCTACCAGCTGAGACTTAGAATCTATGACCCAACCACCTCTTCATGAATCATTAGCCCCTTAATTGCCTCATTTCACTCCTTAGCCAATGTAGATTCACAGTTGATCATGACAGAACTTCCTTGCCCACATTCCAACTCCCACTATTGGATTTGCCTTGGTGAACCTCACCATGTCTGACCTGGAATAACAAGATGGGAAGCAGAACAACAACCTAGTTCTCTTCCTTTATCTCTCATCCTGCTTTAGCCATTGCTCCCTGCTCTGCTCACCTGTAGACAAAACTGTTTTTTTTTTTTTTGAGACAAGATTTCACTCTCACTCAGGCTATAGTGCAGTGGCATAATCACAGCTCATCGCAGCCTCGACCTCACAGGCTCAAGTGATCCTTCCACCTCAGCTTCCCAAGTAGCTGGATCCACAGGTGTCCATCACCACACCTAGTTAATTTTTTTATTTTTATTTTTTTGTAGAGACAGGGTCTCACTTTGTTGCCCAGGCTGGATAATTCTTTTTTTTTTTTTTCCCCTGAGACAGGGCCTCACTCTGGTTTCCTAGGCTGGAGTATAGTGATGCAATCAGGACTCACTGCAGCCTCCACCTCCCAGGCTCAGGTGATCCGTCCACCTCCGACTCCCCAGTAGGTGGGACCACAGGCACAGGCCACCACACCTGGCTAATTTTTTGTATTTTCAGTAGAAATTGAGTTTTGCCATATTGTCCAGAGTGGTCTCAAACTCCTGGACTCAAGCAATCCACCCACCTCGGCCTCCCAAAGTGTTGGGATCACAGACGTGAGCCACTGTCCCCAGCCTAAAGAACTTTAAGAGTGTTCCAGTTACTGTCTCCAATTCCCTTCCTCAGAGGTTTGACGTGAGCTGTTTCAGTGGAGCCAGGTGACAAAAGTCAAAGAAATTTCTTGCTTTAACTCCTACCCACTAACTTTTATTACCTGGCTCCACCGAAACAGCTCACGTCAAGACCTTGAAGGACCTCCAGCTGCCAAATGCAATGGGCTGTTCTCAGACCTCATTTTACTTGGCCCATGAGCAGCAGTCTTTGACAGAGTAGCTCCCTCCATCCTCTTGACACTCACTCCAGGGGGTCTCCCCTGCCTCACTGGCCGCTCCCCACTTCTCTCTGCCCGTGAACATTGGAGGGTCCCAAGGTCCAGGCCTGGGTGCTTCCTCTGTCATTCCTTCCTGACTTCACCCTCTCTCTAGGACTGAAGGACTCCTAAAGCTAGATCTCCAGCCCAGACCTTTACCCCAAACTCCAGACTTCTATACCCAACTTAAAACTCGACCTTTCTACTTGGATGTCTAATGGGCAATTCAAACTTTCGTTGTTTTTTTTTTAAGACAAGGTCTTGCTCTAATGCCCAGGCTGGAGTGCAGCGGTGTGATCACAGCTCACTGCAGCCAAAACCTCCTGAACTCAGCCCCCCACCCAAGTCGCTGGGACTACAGGCACATGCCGCCATGCCCGGCTAATTTTTTAATTTTTCTGTAGGGATGGAGTCTCGCTATGTTAGCCGGGCTGGTCTCCAACTCCTGGGCTCAAACAGTCCTCCCACCTGGGCCTCCCAAAGTGCTGGGATTACAAGTGTGAGCCACCCAGCCTGGCTGCACCCAAACGACATCTCCTATCCACCTAATGTGTTCCTCTTGTTTTTTGTTTTGTTTTGTTTTGAGACGGAGTCTTGCTCTGCCACCCAGGCTGGAGTGCAGTGGCACGATCTTGGCTTGCTGCAACCTCCGCCTGCCGGGTTCAAGCGATTCTCCTGCCTCAGCCTCCTGAGTAGCTGGGACTACAGATGCCCACCACCATGCCTGGCTATTTTTTGTATTTTTAGTAGAGACGGGGTTTCACCACGTTGGCCAGGCTGGTCTCCAACTCTTGACCTCAAGTGATCCACCTGCCTCGGCCTCCCAAAGTGCCGGGATTACAGACGTGAGCCACTACACCCGGCCCTCTTGGTCTTCTAACTCTCAAATAAGGGCAACTCCAGATGCTCAGACAAAAACCCTGGGGGTCATTTTTGATTGCTCTCTTCCTCTCATGCCCTTCATGGATCGGTTAGTAAATCACGTTGGCATACCTTCAGAACACATCCAGAGCTCAGTGTTTCTTACCACTGCTTCTAATATGGCCCAAACCACCCACAGTCCTCTCCCACGTCGCTGCAGCAGCCTCCTAACTGGTTTCCCTGCCTCTGCCCTCACCTGCACCATCCACTCTCCACCAAGCAGCTGGAGTAAACCTTTTAAAAACTCAAGTCAAATCATTCTACTCCTCTATTCAAAACCCTCCTGTGGCTTTTCATCTCATGCAAAGTAAAACCCCAAATCCTTAGCGATGGCCATGACGCGTGACGTTGTCTGGTCCCCAGCACCCCTCTGACCGGGTCCGCTCTTTCCCCACGCTCACTCCACTTGAGCTCTGCTGGTCCCGGCTCTTCCTTGGACGCACTGAGCATATTCATTCCTGCTTTGGGGTCCATGCACTTTGCTGCTCCCTTTTCCTAGGAGAGTTGTGCCCACATAGTCACAGGGCTTGTGTCCTCACTTTACATATCACCTTGTCAAAGTGGCCTTCTCAGATCACCCTGTACAAAAGCCCAGACCTACCCCTACCCCTGTCTTCCTGTCCGCTCTGAGTCCAGCTTCACTCCTTCTTTACAGCACACATCACCATTTGACATACTCAACAACGACGTTTCCACAGTTCTCGCCTTCTCCATGGCCCCTGCATGTCATGTCAACTCTGTAGACTCGTCTGTTTTGTTCACTGCTGCATCCTAGAGCCTAGAACAGAGACGGGGCACATAGTAAGAGCTCAATAAATGTCACCGAGTGAATGAATGGATGACAGAGGGCAATTGTCAGCAATGGAAAACTAATTGCCTCCATTTATTGGGCAGATTCTTCTGCGTAGAGTTTTTTATTTGCATTTTTTTTTTTGAGATGGAGTTTCACTCTTGTTGCCCAGGTTGGAGTACAATGGTGCAATCTCAGCTCACCACAACCTCCACCTCCCAGGTTCAAGTGATTCTCCTGCCTCAGCCTCCCGAGTAGCTGAGATTACAGGCAAGCGCCACCACACCCAGCTAATTTTGTATTTTTAGTAAAGATGGGGTTTCTCCACCTTGGTCAGGCTGGTTTTATCTGCATTTTACGAGAATACCTTGTGAAGGAGATACAACCGTTCCCATTCACAGTTAACACTGAGGCAGTTAACACATGCCATCAGCCTCTGCCCCCTCTCCTGGGGCAGCCCGTTCCCCCCACCCCGAGGGCAGGCCTCACTGGGAGAGCTCTCCCAGGTTCTCTCCCATTTCATTAAATCTTATATCATCTCTAAGAAGGAGGGGCCTGAATCCCCACTTTACAGTTGAGGTCAACCAAGACTTCTCTAATGGCAAACCAGAACTTCAAATATGGCCATCTCGGGCTAGCAGTGGGATGGAAGACCAGAGAGGTGTGAAGTGACACCCGAGGGAGAATAGTATCTAGTGGAGCCAGCACAGCCAAACACAAGGAAAAAAATTAAAAAATTAGCCGGGCATGGCAGCATGTGCCTATAGTCCCAGCTACTTGGGTAGGGGGCTGAGTCCGGGAGATTGTGGCTGCAGTGAGCTGTGAGTGTGCCAAACACAAGGAACTGTGTTCCAGGAGCCTCTGGCTGTCATCTCTCTTAGTCCTGGGGGGCATCCAGCTTGATCTTTTAGTCATCATTCCAGGGGGCGTTGAAGGGTGTGCCTTTAATCTGGAATGCTGGAAAGATTCCCTGTCCTTACAAACGCAAAAGTCGGCCGGGCGCCGTGGCTCACGCCTGTAACCCCAGCGCTTTGGGAGGCCGAGGCGGGTGGATCACGAGGTCAGGAGATCGAGACCATCCTGGCTAACACGGTGAAACCCAGTCTCTACTAAAGTACAAAAAATAAGCCGGGCGTGGTGGTGCGTGCCTGTAGTCCCAGCTACTCGGGAGGCTGAGGTAGGAGAATCGCTTGAACCTGGGAGGTGGAGGTTGCAGTGAGCCAAGATCGATCCACTGCACTCCAGCCTGGGCTACAGAGCAAGACTCCATTTCAAAAACAAACAAAGGCAAAAGCCATGTCTACATAGAGCTGGGTTTTTGGGAACTGCCACGTGGGAGAGTGGAGGGGAGATTGGGCAAGGCTTCCGCAGTGAGCCTTGGTTTCTGGTGGGTGCCTGCAGCTTCTCCCAGGAGCCTCTCTTGCCTAGGATGCAGCATCCCCAAGCAGAGGAAACAGAGCTGCTTACAAGCTGGGCTGAGTGCTAATAAATTCAAATTGTATGGAAATGCAGAAACACTTAAATATTAAAAAAAAAAGCACTTACCAGAAATGCTTTAGATGCAGAGAGAACACATGCAAATGTGTTGAGCTTGTATATCTCACCTTCCAGATAGGAAGCAATTCTATTCTCCCAAGGCCTAGCTATCTCAACCCTACAAGAAGAAGACCCCACCAGAAAGGCCTACAGAAGCCCAGACTTAAGGATGATCACAGTCTCTAAGTTTAAAAACCAGGACATGCCATCAATGAATGAATTAAAAAAAGGTGATTTTTTTTTTTTTTTTGAGATGGAGTCTCGTCTGTTGCCCGGGCTGGAGTGCAGTGGTGCGATCTCAGCTTACTGCAAGCTCCACCTCCTGGGTTCACGCCATTCTCCTGTCTCAGCCTCCCGAGTGGCTGGGACTACAGGTGCCCACCACCATGTCCGGCTAATTTTTTTGTATTTTTAGTAGAAACGGGGTTTCACCATGTTAGTGAGGATGGTCTTGATCTCCTGACTTCGTGATCTGCCTGCCTCAGCCTCCCAAAGTGCTGGGATTACAGGCATGAGCCACCGCGCCTGGCGAGTGATATGTGTTTATAATACAATACTATGCAGCCTTTAAAAAGAAGGAAATCCTGTCATTTGTGACAACAGGGGTGAACCTGGAGGACATGACGTTAAGTGAAATAAGCCAGTAACAGAGAAACAGATACTGCATGTTCTCACTTCTTTGTGGAATCTAAAAAAATAATTTAATAGAAATTAGGAGTAGAATAGTGGCATGGGGTAGGATGGTATTGGGGAGACATTAGTCAAAGGACACAAAAGTTCAGTTAGGAGGAACAAGTTCAAGAGATCTGTTGTATAGTGTGGTGACCGTAGTTAATAGTAATGTATAGTATGTCCGAAAATTGCCAAGACAGTAGATGCTAAATGTTCTTATCATAACAATAAGTAGGTGAGGTGGTAAATATATTAATTAGCTTCATTTAACCATTCCACAATATACACTTATATCAAAACTTCATGTTGGAAAGCATAAATATCATTTGTCATTTGTCAATTAAAAAAAGAATCAGACACATAGTCTCACAAATGCTGTTTCTCTGGTTTGCAATTGTATTCATGTTGAAAATCCAGCAAATGCTGCTGGCTGTATACGCTTCTTGCCCTAATGCTGGACTGAAAAGCAGGAAATTCTGTGAGAGTTAGACCACCATGGATAGACTGGGATGTATGGTCACCGAAGGTGTGATGCTGAATAAGAAGAAGTTTGGTCAATCTGGGGGCTGAATTTCAAGGCCCAGCGCGGTGCGGTGGGGAGAACAGAGGCTTCACGTCAGATAGCCCTCCGTTGGCATCTGATACTGTCCCCTCCTACTGAGGACCCAGGAGAATCGTTGGCAAGAGGATTGGTGATAATGACATAAGGGGCCTCAGCCCAAGGCCTAGCTCATCAGGCACTTAATGAATGGTATTAATGTCACCTCTAACTGCCGTTCTCCATTCCTGTGGCCTGCTGGGACTTGTCACCAAAGCTGTCTGGGTAGGGGTGCTCTGTGCATGAGGAGAAGCCTCCTCTTTCCTGTTCACCTGACCCTGTTCTGCTATCCTGGGCATCAGTTAACTTCACACTAAGTGCTGGAATCAAGGGGCATATTCCTCTGCAGGCATTCCAGTTAGACTCTGTCCCTGGCAAATAGGTTTCAACTCACTTTTCACCTCCAAACAATTGTTTAATACTGGTTTGGACCGGGCGTGGTGGCTCACGCCTTTAATCCCAGCACTTTGGGAGGCCGAGGTGGATGGATCACCTGAGTTCAGGAGTTCGCGACCGGCCTGACTAACATGGTGAAACCGGTCTCTGTCTCTACTAAATACAAAAAAAATTAGCCAGGCGTGGTGGTGCATGCCTGTAATCTGAGCTACTTGGGAGGCTGAGACAGGGGAATAGCTTGTACCTGGGAGGCAGAGGTTGCAGTGAGCTGAGATAGTGCCATCGCACTCCAGACTGGGCAACAAGAGCGAAACTCCATCTCAAAAAAAAAATATATATATATATGTATATATATATGTATTTGAAGTGCCCTGTTGAGAACTCTGGGCTTCTAGAAAACAATGCTGCAATTGATTGGTAATGTCGGCCATGGCCTAGGAGAAGAGAGCAGGGCACGCAAGCTCCATGGTCGAATTCCAGACCCAGGGCTCCCTCCCAGGCAGGCTGCTCACATTGGGCTCCCCAGAAGGTGACGCCAGGACAAGGATTTGTGTGCAAGTAGTTTTTAAAGAAGGGATACCAGGAGTGGGGAGTGGGACAAGGAAGGGATAGAAGGGAAGAGACAGAAGCCTATACGGGGGTGCTAATAAGTGGGTTCCCACTAAGTTACAGAGGCCCACCTGGGGGCACCTCTGGGAGAGGACAGGGAATGTTCCTCAGAGTTTTCCACCTGAGGGGAGAGGGAGGGACAATTTATCCTGCCATGCTCCCCAGCCTGCCAGCCCACCCCACAGTGAGCCCTGAGTTGGAGGTCCTGGTGGCTGTGGGAGACACCCTTGTGCACTCCTGGACAAGGTGCCAATTCCAGAAGTCCCAGTGCCCTGCCTTATCCAGGAATGGCCAGCTCTGCACTGACAGTGGCACTGAACCCAAAGTTCACAAGGGGAGATTCTGGAGTTGGCCAAACCTGGGTTCAAATCCTGGCTCCAGCTGTGTGACTTTGGCAAGTTACTGGATTTCTCAGCATCCCCTAACAACCTAGAGGCAACAATTTGGGTTGTTGCGAGGGTCCCCTGATACTCCCCTCTGAGATCTTCCCTGACACTCAGCTAACTCAGCATCTGCCTCCCCCACCCCTGTCTTGCATCTGCCTGGCTCTGCACACACATATAAAACATAAATTTCCCAGAGACCCAGCCTCAATCTACTTGAGAAGATCTGGGAAGAGAGTCTCGAGCTGCCACAGGGGACATAAAAACAGGCAAATTGCCTCCAGACACAACGCCAGCCTGGAGATCCCCAACAGGCAGGAGCTGACGGTCCACTGCCGGGCAGAGGGAGGATGGTTGACAGGCCTTTTATGCTCATTTTTAATGACCTTTTTAAAAGTTCTGTTTTTGCTTTTGTTTTATAACATCCATCAGAAATAATAATGTTGTGCAAGTATACAATTGATGCAGAAGCAGATACACATATTAGGGAGTGTGCTCAAAAATATTTTATGAGTGCATAACCAAAAAACTTTGGAGACAACTGCAATCGATCCTCCTTTCTTGGCCTGGATAACGCATCTGGCCTTGCTTGCTCTTAACTCTCCCCACACCCTGCTCTGCTTGTCTCACTCTCTTCTCATAAATTATGTCTTGCGAAAATTCAGTCCCTGGCCTCTAAAAGTTTAGAAAGGAATCTGTTACATGTTACTTGTATGAACACCATGAGAAGCCAAATCCTGCCCCGTCCCAGCCTTGGATTATTTTTCCTGGGCCTCTCTCCCATCCCCACCTCCTGACCCATCTCCCACCTGTGCTCCAGCCAGACCACACCTTGGCAATCCTCCAGGCAGAGCCTCAGTGTCCCACCCCAGGCATTTCCACAAGGTGTGTCTTCTCCCAGCCCTGCAGGTCTTAATCGCCTCTGGCTCCAAAGCCCAACACAGACGCCGCATCTACCACAAAGCTTCTCTGGATCCTGAAACCACCAGGAGACACATCCTCTAGTGCTTCCTGGAAACTGTACCTGACATGTGCCCAGTGAGACCTGACACATGCTGCTTTGGGTCAGGACATGCTACATAACTTGTGGGGCTCAGTGCAGAATGAAACCGTGGGCACCCTGTTTAAAAAGGGAGAAAAAGGTGTTGCTGAAAGTGCTAAAATGTAAAGCTTTCTCCTTTCCTCCACGGTCTCTCTCTTTCGGCATGTCATCCTGTTTTTTGTTCTCTATTGACGTCCGTGCTCCATCAGGCACGAGGATACCAATATCAGTGCAGACCCTCACAGGCACCTGGGCCCCCACCCTCTACCCCGGAGCCCATAGACCACTGGCTGCCCTGATCCCCTCCCACTATAGCTGCTGGGTCAGCATGTTGAGTTATAGCTGCTGAGTCAGTGTGCTGGGCCGGGCATCTCCCTATTCCATGGGCCTGCTGCCCCAACCCATGGGGGACGGTAGACCCCCAGGGATATCACCATTTCTGCGCTGGGATGCTGGATCAGGGGTGAGCAAGAGGTCTACCCCTGCTGATTGACCCACCAAGCATAGTGTTAAGCTGCCCCCATGCCTTCCACACCTTAAAGAACTCACAGTCTTGGGTAGTATTTCTCAAACTCTGAGTACCATCTTCCCATATTTCGCTACAGGTACTATCATTTACTTAATACTTTTATTTTTTAGAAGGGGTCTCACTCTGTCGCCCAGGCTAGCGTGCAATAGTGCCATCATAGCTCACTGCAGCCTCAACCTCCAGGGCTCAGGCGATCCTCCCACCTCAGCCTCCAGAGTAGCTGGGACTACAGGCATGTGCCACCAGGTCTGGCTAATTATTAAACATTTTTTAGAGACAAGAACTTGCTTTGTTGCGCAGGCTGGCCTCAAACTCCTGGCTTCAAACAATCCTCCTGACTCAGCCTCCCAAAGTGCTGAGATGACAGGCATGAGCCACTGTGCCCAGCAAATACTTAATATTTTTCTTTAGAGTAACTAATTTTTTTACCTGCAGTAAGTTTGCTCCTAAGGGAGTCTATGTACCCCTGTGCAATTATCTTAATAGATGGAATGTGATAATCACATATTTTTCTAATGCACATCAAAATCAATACTAAACTATTAAAATGTTTAAAATGCCTGTTCACATATCACCAAACGGCATCTCGTGGGCCAGCCCTGGAATGAGCTGCCTTCAGGGAAACACTGATTATATTGAGGAGGTTTGACTTACACAATGTGCAAGGATAATTATAACATAAAGCAGGGCTGGTCATGTTTGAGACCAGTGTGAGGCCCTCACTTAAAAGGCCTCACGTTTGGGGTTTAATGCTCTGAGTTGATTATCTTGAATGTTTTTTACCCTGAGATGGAGTTTCGCTCTTGTTGCCCAGGCTAGAGGGGAATGGCAAAGTCTCGGCTCACTGCAACCTCCGCCTCCCAGGTACAAGCAATTCTCCTGTCTCAGACTCCCAAGTAGCTCAGATTACAAGCACCTGCCACCATGCCCGGCTATTTTTGTATTTTTAGTAGAGACAGTGTTTCACCATGTTGGCTAGGCTGGTCTCAAATTCCTGACCTCAGGTTATCTACCCGCCTTGGCCCCCCACAGTGCTGGGATTACAGGCGTGAGCCACTGTGCCTGGCTTATCTTGAAATTTTTAATGATTTTCTCTTTGAGTTTGTGTTTTGTGAGTCGATGAGAGGATGAGGCGTGTGCTGGTGGTTTGGGCCTTGGCTTACGTGCCATCATGCCTTCTGCACCCTTCCAGGATGGGGTCTAGAGCATCACAGTCAGTAATGAGCCAAAGCTGGGTGACTAAATGAACAAATCAACTAATGAAAACATGGACACCCAGGAGCCTGAGCTTCTCCTTTTAAAATTTTGTTAAGTAGGACTGTTACTGATTAACCAGTTCACTCAAGATTAATGTATACACATTTTAGAAAAAATGATTAAAGAAATTAATTCCTTTAAAATATGTAGGCGGTGGCTCACACCTATAATCCCAGTACTTTGTGAGGCCGAGGTGAGTGGATCACTTGAGGTCAGGGGTTCTAGGCCAGCCTGGCCAACATGGTGTTTGTGTCTACTACAAATACAAAAATTAGCTGGGCGTGGTGGCGCATGCCTGTAATCCCAGCTACTCGGGAGGCTAAGGCAGGAGAATCTCTTGAACCTGGGAGGTGAAGGTTGCAGTGAGCTGAGATCGCGCCACTGCACTCCAGCCTGGGCGACAGAGCGAGGCTTTTTCTGAAAATAAATAAATAAATAATAAAATAAAAGATATAGAAGCTTGTTTTGGAATAACCTGCCTGCCCACTTTTTTGGGGCCTTTTTCTGACCAGGAAGTTCAGGCATGTGACCTGGAGACAAGCAAATGTACCACGTGATGTGAAGTGAACTCTCAGCCAGCCTTGGGCTTCCTTAGCCTGGGGACTGCATCCTCCAGGTGGTCTGAGATGACACTCTGTGACATGCATTTCTCAGGGTTTACCTTGTAGGGCTATGTGACTAGCAACTAGCAAGTCATACCCTTGGGAGGCCCTGGGTGAATACATGGCCAAATATTTATCATCAAAAGTTGCCAGCCCTTAGAGAAATGGCCTCCGTCTTCATCTTTCAATCAAATGTCACTTTATCAAACAACAGAGCCACAACATTTTTAAAAGGACAAAGACTGAAACGTCACCCATGACAAACATTTTGGAAACAAGATTTTCTAAAATGGAGAAAATAGAGGAACACATAGTTCGTGGTCATAGGCTGGCCACACCACCTGCCACTTCATTAGTCTTTGCCTGGGGACTTTTTGTTTCCTGATAATCATTAATATATATTTTTATGGGTTGTTTACTGGCTACATTTAATAGATGACAAAAAGGACAGTCTGAATATGTTGTTTTCCATCAACTGGAACATACCACTCACGTTTTCCGTATTTTGTATGAGAATCTTCATTCTGAAGTTTTGCAGTAAGCATTTTGAGTGAATGGACACATTTTAGGACTGACCACATAAATCAAGAGATGGATGTACATTCTTATTTCATTTTATTTTTTAGTTTTTAATTTTTTTTAGACAGAGTCTTACTCTGCCATTCAGGCTGGAGTGCGGTGGCAAGATCTCAGCTCACTGCAACCTCTGCCTCCCAGGTTCAAGCAATTCTCCTGCTTCAGCCTCCCGAGTAGCTGGAATTACAGGTGCGCACCACCACACCTGGCTAACTTTTTTGTATTTTTAGTAGAGACAGGGTTTCACCATGTTGGCCAGGCTGGTCTCAAACTCCTGACCTCAAATGATCCACCTGCCTCGGCCTCCCAAAGTGCTGGGATTACAGGTGTGAGCCACCATGCCCGGCCAGCATTCTTATTTTAGAAGTCAAAAATTCACACATCATTTTGCTTTCCAGATACACTCGGTGTTTCCAGTTCTTAGTACATTCTTCCAGATTTCGTCTGTGTTTCTGTGCAAGTGTGTGGCCAAGTGTGCGCATACCCACACTGTGCTGTCTGTTACTCACTGTGCCTCTTTCACTTGACTCTACCTGGGACATCTTTTCTCGTCAGTTCATAAAAATCTGTCTGATGAGAGGACTTTTTAAGATGACTCATCAGGCCAGGCGCAGTGGCTCATGCCTGTAATCCCAGCACTTTGGGAGTCTGAGGCAGGTGGATCACCTGAGGTCAGGAGTTCGAGACCAACCTGGCCAACATGGCGAAACCCCGTCTCTACTAAAAATACAAAAATTAGCTGCGTATGGTGTCAGGCACCTGTAATCCCAGCTACTTGGGAGGGTGAGGTAGGAGAATTGCTTGAACCTGGGAGGCGCAGGTTGCAGTGAGCTGAGATCGTGCCATTGCACTCCAGCCTAGGCAACAAAAGTGAGACTCCATCTCAAAAAAAAAAAAAAAAGACGACTCATCAGACACATTTTTGGGTCAGGCTCAAATGAAGTTCATGATTGCAAGGGTATTCTAGACTGACCCAAAGATTTTCTCCCCAACACCAAAAACTGGAAAACAGCCTGACAGTCATTAATTCCTGAGGGAACAGCTGACTCTTCTGAGACCATCTACTCTCTGCCCACAACCTCTCCTGCATACCCCAGCTGTGGCTCTGCTATTCATCCCAAATGTCCTGGCCAGGCCCACCCACTTGGCCAAAAAGTTGACTTCCCAGCCAGACCTGGTTGATCAATTGGCCACTATCCTTACAGGAAAAGTCTGAGTTATGAGAAAAAAAAAACTAATTTCTTCCAAAATATAAAAAGAAAACTGCATGATCAAAGTGAATAAATGTTTAATTAAATGCCTGCAAAGTGGAACACTATGTCAGCTTCCTTAATTGATACATTCAGTATTTTTAAAAATTTCATTACATTTGCAAAACAAATTGAAAGTAGCATTTCCTCCTTTGCAAGAATTCTTGAGGAGTGTGTGGTGATTGCCAAGAAATAACAAGTTGCTCATGTACTATTATTTTAAAAAGAAAAATTATCAAAACCATTTAAAAATATTTTGCAATATTAAAAATACACATGATCCTGATCTGATCACTATACATTAAATGTATCAAATCATCACTATGTATTCCATAAATATGTGCAATTATTATGTGTCAATTAAAAATAAACAAATAAATAATACACATATGTGTGCATATATGTGTATATACATACATATACTCAGTGTGGGCTGTTTGATGTGTTATTGGAACAAGGTCTTTAAAAGTAAGCTGAGGGGCACTTTGGGAGGCTGAGGCAGGCGGATCACAAGGTCAGGCAATCGAGACCATCCTGGCTAACATGGTGAAACCCCCTCTCTACTAAAAATACAAAAAATTAGCCGGGCGTGGTGGTACGCGCCTGTAGTCCCAGCTACTCGTGAGGCTGAGCTAGGAGAATCACTTGAACCCAGGAGGCGCAGGTTGCAGTGAGCCGAGATCATGCCACTGCACTCTAGCCTGGGTGACAGAGCAAGACTCCATCTCAAAAAAAATAAAAAAAAATTAAAAAATTAAAAAAGAAGCTGAGGGGCTGGGCGTGGTGGCTCACGCCTGTAATTACAGCACTTTGGGAGGCCATGGTAGATTAATCAGTTGATGTCAGTAGTTCCAGACCAGCCTGACAAACATGGTGAAACCCTATCTCTACTAAAAATACAAAAATTAGCTGGGCATGGTGGAGGGCACCTGTAATCCCAGATATTGGGAAGCTAAGGCAGGAAAATCACTTGAACCCAGGAGGCAGAGGTTGCAGTGAGCCCAGATCGCGCCACTGCACTCCATCCTGCGTGACAGAGCAAGACTCCATCTCAAAAAAAAAAAGTAAGCTGAGGGCTCAAGGGCCACACAGGTCTTCAAGAGGCCCAGCCCGGGATCCGCACACCCGAGAACCCTGTGCTGAGTCAGGATCCCCTTCTGTGGACACAAGATAGGAGTGGTGCTGTCAAGAGGAAGTTCTAAAAATAGACCCTAACATGTAGGGCAGAATATTAGTGGTTCTGAGAACTAGCAGAATCAGAGGCAGAAATGAGACATGTGACCAAAATGAAACCCCACAGCCCAAAGGGTATCTCCCTGGCTCCCCTGGGCCCTCTAGAAAAACTAGCAAAAAACTAGAAAAGCTAGTAAAACTCTTATCATTGGAGCCAGTGGCATTATTGGCCTCTATCCCCACTAAAATGTGAGTAACTTCAAAAGAAAATGCTCTTTTTTTCTTCCTCCAAAAACTTAAAGTGTAACATGTATAAAGAGAATGCATCTTTTTTTTTTTTTTTTTAAGACAGAGTCTTGCTCTGTTGCCCAGACTAGCATGCAGTGGCACAATCACAGCTCACTGCAGCCTCGACCTCCTGGGCTCAATCGATCCTCCCACCTCAGCCTCCTGAGTAGCTGGGACTACTTCCCTAGGGGTCCTAAGGAACCCACCCAGGGGTGTGCTGGGCAGTGTGTAACCACAGCTCTCTGAAAACAAAAGCCCTTAAATCCCTGATGGGTAGAATTGCCAGTTCTCATGGTGTC
Organism: Homo sapiens; assembly: GCF_000001405.40. Taxonomy (NCBI): domain Eukaryota; kingdom Metazoa; phylum Chordata; class Mammalia; order Primates; family Hominidae; genus Homo; species Homo sapiens. The sequence continues at coordinate 85,994,712 of NC_000002.12, forward strand.
CCTACTCCCACCATGGTGACCAACATGAAGGTGTGGACGTGGAACTGTGAGGAGAGGAGCATGGTCAGCTTTTTTGAGCTGGTATGAGCTAGCTTCAGCACATCACTGCATCCCCCAGATGTGAAATCTGAGGAGTAAATATCCAGGAATTCAGAGAAATCCTGGGAAATTGGGCACGTCTTTCCTTTCTCAATAGTTCCCCAAAAGATGAGAGGAGCATCCCTGGCTGCAAATCAGGTAAGTTCCTCTCAGGGTGCAGCTGACCCTGATTCCCACCTTGAGTCCCTTTTGCAATGGGGAGGAAGTGAGAGCAGTGGCTCTACCCAAACCAAAGCTTGGGGGTGTCGCACCTTGGGTGGGACTGGCTCCACAGTGTACCAGCTGTGTGACCCCGGCTGAGTCTCCCTGACCTCCGGTTGTTTCTCTGCAGAATGAGTGGGCACAAGGAGGATGAAGAGGGCTCGGGGCACCGCCTGGCATGGATGATGCCATCTGTCAAGGAGAGTCACTGGTAGTGTTTGAGTCCTTAAGCGCACTCACTCCAGGGGAAATGGTGAAGTGGATGGCCATTGTCCTGGGAATCTTTGGGACTGTACATGACGATCATTGGGGCTCTTTTGTTTTTCTAGCCCATCAATGACTGACTTCAGACCCAGCAGAATAAGAAAGCCTTAAACTAGTAGCTTTATGTTCTTTTTCTGGATCTTCCTCTAAATTCTGCAAAGTAAGTGGCAGTGATCCATTTTATAGATGAAGAAACTAAGGCCCAGAGAGGCAATATCATGTCTGGCCTTGCTTCTCTGTGACTTATTTGACTTCTTCCTTTGGAGACCCTGAGAGCCAGGCAAACGTTCTCTAGGACAGACAGGCAGGAAGGTCAGAGGTGGGGGTGGAGGCACTGCTTCCACCCCACCCCCTGCAGAAGAGGCAGGAGTCAGCTGGGACAGAAGGGGCAGACCTGTGAGAGGCCTAATTACGCATCCTCTTTCCTGCCCTCCCTGTGGCATCTTTCCTGTTCCTTGGGAAACACTCTAAGATGGACATAGGTGGGCAGACAGTTTATTGTGTGCCCTGGAGTCAGGACACACAAGGAGAAGGAGGGAGTGGCGGTGGGAGAAACTGGGCTGTGATACAGTCCCAACAAAGACCTTGGCCAAGCCCTGGAGGAGCGCTGGAGCTGGGCTGGACGCTGACAGCTGCCCTGAGTTGGGACAAGAGTACCTGGCCTTTATGCCTTTATATTGACCAGTCATTGGATTTGGGCTGAATTGCTCCCAAAGAGGGCTTAGCTGAGGGACAACCACTGGGGTGCAGGCCCTTCAGTCCTGGAGGAGTCTGGGTAGCACCATGCCTAGTCCAAGTGGAACCGGTGTCTCCACGAGAGGCAATTTCCCTCTGAGTCTTGGAGGCCACATTCCTGAGAGAGAGAGTGTCATGACCCCACTCACTTGTCTGACCCAAGCTACCCAGGTCAAGGGGCACTGGCCAACCCATGGATTGACCAGTGTTTAGGTGAGGCATGCAAGAGTCTCCAAGCTAAATTAATTAATAAATTTAGAGACAAGGTCTCACTCTGTCACCCCGGCTGAGTCTTGTCATTCCTACAGGTGAATTGGTAGAGGAGGGACACAACCTGTTGGCTTCAGTGTGGGAAAAAGGTACAAAGAGGGCATGTGTCACCTGTCTGCCTCCCTCTCCCAGGTGAGCAGCTCCTGAGGAACGCATGCCTGGATTCGGGATCTCATATAGTGTCTGCCCTGGGAAGGCCCCCAACAGCTCCACCCTTTCCTGAAGAAGAGGAAGGAGGTGGGTATCTTTGGAGGCCCCAGTCCCATCTCATAGCACAGTACACAGGGGCATCTGCAGGACTAGAGGGACGGCTCCCCTGCCTCGCACCCCCTCCTCCCCACCCCATGAGAGAGGTGGGGCTCAAGAACCCCCACACAATGTCTTCATTGACACTTGTGGCCAAGTCAGCTTCTGGGTGCCATGGAAACCTCTCTTGGGAGCCCTGAGGGAAAGCAACAGCCCAGCCCTCCCACACTAAGCTCATTGTCCCCTGAGCAGTGAGAGCAGCCCCTTATCAGCCCCTTCCCAGGCCTGCAGATCCTGGCTTCCACCCCATCAGCAACATGAGCTTTCCTCTTGCCGGCCAGGCCTGGGGAGCTGGAGGGGTCTCATCAGTCACAGAATCCACCACCTGGGATCCTGTACTCCTTGGCCCCTTCCTTATTCCCCATGAAATCAAAGGCAGCCCCAGTAGTGAGGCAAGAGAGCTCATTTTTTAGTTGCACTAAAAATTTTTTTAGTGCTCATTTTTTAGCCCATTTTTTAGTTGTGCTGAGCCTTGAGAGTGGAGGGGGCACCAGGCAGAGAGAGGCCCCTCCCTCTGTTTGGGGCATACTTATGCCCTGAGCCAGCCACAGTGTCCCTCAGGCCTGCAGGAAGAAGGCCAGGCTCTGGAATAAATCCATCTGGGCCACCCCATGCCTGGTTCTGGCTTCAGGCTCCACTCATTCTTTTCTCCTCCCCCAAGTCCTGGAAACTTCCCCAGAAGTCCCTCCCCTGCCAGTCCCTCCCTTCCTTCTACCTCCCATGTCTCCTTGGGCCAAGGCCCATCTGCACAGATCCTGGCAGAATAAAGTCAGAGAATGTCAGGGCCAGAAGAGGCCTGAGAAATCAGAGCCCCGCATCTCTCTGCCATTCCATCCCCACTTACCATTTTATAGAGGAGAAGCTGAAGCTGGGTATGAGGAGGGACTTGCCCAAGATCACAAGCCAGGGCCTTCCCCTCCATTGGGCACCATTTCACCGGCCTCATGGGCTGCTTCTCCCTGCTCTGACCCAGAACTTGATCATCACAAACCAGGAGTATGCCAGGTCTTTGGAAGCAGTAAAACCTATAGAGATTGGAAGGCCCCGACCCAACCCTACCCAAAGTAGGGGTGTCAGCAACTAGAAAGAAGAAGGGCTCAGGATTACAGCACCTCCTCCCTTCAGCTGTCTGTCACCCAGGTGTCCCCATAACGACTCCCTCCACAGATACCCAGATGGCCAACAAGGGCAGCTCCCTTGAAACAAATGTCCCCCGAACTCCTCAGCCCCAGGAGGGAGGGGCCGTTGGGATGGGCAGCCCAGAGAGCCTGGGCTTTGCACCCAGAGCTAAGCGAGCTCAAATCCCAACTGGGCCACCTGGGACAGGTTATGCAGCCTCCCTATCACCCTCTGTAGAAGGAGAATCACAAAAAATTCTACCCACCTTATAGGGTTGCTGTAAGGATTTTGCAAGATATTGGATAGAAAGTTTCACACAACACTGGGCACAGAGAACACAGAGTGAACAGATGGTGTTGCTGTTCTCATCTATGACGACCTTTTACCCTTAGAACTCTGGGCACCAAGTTAGGGGTGGGGTGCCGGGTGGGGAGGAGTGCCAGGGAGCCAAGGGGAGGCCCTTAAGTGACGCTCAGAGAGGTCCTGACCTTCCCCAAAGCAGGAGTCCTTGGCCCAAGGGAGAATGAGTTTCGGACAGCCATGTGGCCCCCAGTAAGGGGCCCCCTAACATTCCATTTGGGCTTTAACAGGGGGTGGCCTGGAATGTCCAAGAAAAACAATCTGGTTATTCTGAGTGAAATTACAGCCTGGCTAAGGCAGGCTGGGTCTGCTTTAAATTAAACATAGCATTTCTGAGATTCTTTTCATCTCCTTGCCACTGCGGGTTAGCGGAGACATTACCTCACCTCACCTTCCACTCTGAGGTGGGAGGCCGACAGGGTGTGGGCCTGGGGGTGGGGACGAGAGAGGGAGGCCGGAGAGCCCACCAAGGGGGGCCAGGGGTCCCTCCTCACTCCAAGAGCTCAGGCTCTCACTGGGGCTGGGAGCAGTGGCTGTGTGGGGAAGAGGCGCACCCATGCACAGCCCACTCCATCCTTGGCATTTAGCAAAGGAATGACAGCACTTTCAAATACACTGCTTTCCTAGGAGCCCTTGGGGAAACTGGGTTGCGGTTTCACAGGTCCAAGGTCAGTCCCTTTCTTGCTCCCTGTCCCACACTTAGGTGCTGGGTGGCCGCGCCTGCGAGCTCCTCAGAACTCCAGGGTGTTTTCGCTCAAAAACAGATGGAGACACCAGTTTCCTCACTGAGTGGTTTTGGTTGGGGGTGGAGTTCCCTCCTGGCTTTGGAAGTTGCTTTTGGCCAGCTTTGCCTGCCTGTGGAGTCCTAGAAAATTCCACAGTGCTGCAGTCGGGTAGACCCGAGTGTGAGTCCCGCCTCCCAGGATAAGGTTCACCTTATCTTACTCAGATCCTGAATCCCCTCTTCTTTAACATGGGGAAGGAGACAGGGTTATGGGTTAGATGAAATTAAGCATGTTTGAGGTTCTTGTTTTAGATGAAGTACACCCAAAATTCTTTGGTTATAAGTTTCTATGAAACTTGAGGAAGTTTCTATTTCTTATAACCAAAGAATGTTGGGTATACTTGAAACTTGAAACTTTGGGTATACTAGAAACTTGAGGAAGTTTCTATTTCTGCCTTGTGTAAAACGGAAATTTTTTTTTTTTTCTGAAATCAGGGTACTCTCATGGAAACAGGCTGCAAAACCTCTCAGAGAATTGGAATCAGGAATTAGGAAAGGGATTTGCAGTTTCTCTCCCTCTGTCTCTGCCTGTTCTCGGGTATTTGCTTCCCTCAGGGCCTCAGTGGTAGGCTCCTGTCTGTACAAACCATTTACTCAGAGCCCCAGCCTTGGCCTGACATCATTTCCTCACGCTGGGTCCATGGTTAGAGCTCAGTGAAAGACAGCAGGTTTCTGTTGTGCTGCTTGGTTTTGCACATCAATATTAGCATGCTGAAGATTTCGTTTGTCCCTCCAGACCCACTCGCTCTCCTTTCTTCTCCACCTTGCCCTGATCCTGGGACTGGCCTGTAGGAACCACGTCAACTGAGCTCCCGCACCTTCTGGGTTCTGGTTGAGTTCAGCCCATCGTGGCCAGCAGCAGGGAATAGGAGGGCAGGAGGAAAGAGCCATCCTGGCACTTACTGTTCTCCCTCTTTGCCATGGGGGGTGGCTTGGTGGTGAAGTGTCTGGTTCCTCTACTGAAGGCCATGGCACACTTTCCAGCAAGCCCCTCCTTTGGCTATAGCTCTGTCTGCGTTCTTTTGTTGTTATTGGTTTTTTTGCTTGTTTGTTTTTTGTTTTTTGTTTTTTTTTTTTGAGACGAAGTCTCACTCTGTTGCCCAGGCTGGAATGCAATGGCACTATCTCAGTTCAGTGCAACCTCCGCCTCCCAGGTTCAAGTGATTATCCTGCCTCTGCCTCCCGAGTAGCTGGGATTACAGGCGTGTGCCACCACATCCAGCTAATTTTTGTATTTTTAGTAGAGATGGGATTTCGCCATGTTGACCAGGCTGGTCTTAAACTCCTGACTTCAACCCACCCACCTCGGCCTCCCAAAGTGCTATCTCTCTGCATTCTTGATGCCACGTTCCCGCCTTGGTCCTTCACGCTTAGGGTGGTGATGGCTCCCCACTGTTACTATCCCAGAGGTGCTGCACCATCCTTGTTCATTTTTTTCCATCTTGCCCATGTCTGCTCACTGTATTCTCTCCAGTGACTGAGCTGTAACTTTGAATTGCCATCTCTCTCCTGCTGGGACTCTGACTGATGCAATAAGATCAAGGGGAAGTCAGCTTTGTCTCTTTGCCCCACCTCCCACTCCGGCTCCCATAGGAAGTGGATGAAGAGCTCTAGGTTTGAGATAAACATTAGCAATAAGATAGAACTGAGCAGATACCCGTTATTCTGCTAGAGTGAAAAAGAATGCACGTGCACTGGGTGGAGTTACTTCTTTTGTAAAAAACTTCATTTTCCCGGGAGAATGTGACCACTGGGAAGAGGCAGAAATACGCTATCAATTTGGTCAGGGCTCTCTCTTTTTCTGGGCACACAGATGCCTAAAATTTCAGCATCATACAGGGTGTGGACAGAAAATATTTTTAAATTGTCAACTTCTAGGTATTTTTCACTCTCAAATTCATAGGATTAGTCACCGGAATCCCTGTCTTTTCCTTTCCTTTGGCAGTTTGGCTCATGGATATCTTGCTTTTGGCTTTGACTACTACAATAGCCTGTGACCCTGTCTCTGGTCTCTTTTTCCCTGTCTGTTCCACAGCCCTCTGTCAAGTTTGTCTTGGTTTGACCCAGGTCTATACATGTCAAGACCCAGATCAAAGCATTTTATGGCTTCCTGCTGAAGTGTCTGAACACTTCAGCCTGACATTCAAGGCTTCTGCAGCAGTCCTCAACTTTCTGGTCTACCTCCTATTTCAGGAACTTCCCACACCTGACAAATCAGATCTTCCTCACTGACCTTCCAACCCCTGCTCCCACTCTCTCCATCTGTTCTTCAACATGCCGTCCAAATCCCACATCCCAGCTAAGGCCTTCCCTGCCCACTCAGATGGAGGTGACTCCTCACGGTTAACCCCTGCCATTCTGAAGTGGGAGTGCTCAGAGATTAAGGAGGAAGAGCTGATGGAAAGAGAACCATATTCATACACCAGTTGCAGCCTCTGCACTGTCCTGTTTGGATATCATTCAGGGACACACAGAGGACCCTCTGTGCACCTCACTGCACAGATGCATAGCCAACTTCATCCCAAAGGAGCTAAGGGGAGACCCTGTGGCTCCAGGCAGTGTCACCTTCTCTTCAGGCCTCTCCATTACCTGGTTTTGTCCTCTGGCTTCATCATGTGATGGTGCCGGTCACTCTCTCTTGACAGAAAAATCTGGGGCCCCAGGTTGTGTCATCTGAGTGCTTGGATCAAAGGGTAAGACAGGGGACCTTAAGCAAGTATCAGGAAGAACTTCACCCAGGAGGTGCCTTCACAGCACAATCTGCCTATCTTCAGATGGGGAGTCCTGACCTGGCCTTGTGAATGCTGTGGGACCCCAGGCCTCCTTTTGCCCATATAGAAAGTCCAAGTCTTTGCTGCTTTTGAGGTTAAGCATCAGTTGGTTTCAACTATCTTTGGCTACACACACACACACACACACACACATACACACACAGAGCTTTGAGGATTCATAATACTTTTGCTCATTCAATCTTGAGTTGCAATTGCTTTGACCATAGCAACAGAGTCCTCCATAACAAAGGCCTTTACAACATTTTAACAGTGAATATAATGCAATTAATTTTTTGCAGCAATTAATTACACATGCGTTAAGAAACCATAAACTTGTAGATTTCTGTCTCTCCCTGGGAAAATTCTAGAATGGTTCATTAAACATTAGGTTGTGACTACATAGAATATAAATTAGAAATAAGAAGAATTTAAATTGGAATATTTTTAAGTTAAAAGAAAAAATACAAATCATTGGAAGCCAATATATTTTCTAAGAATATATCATGTCAAATTAATCTCATTTTCTTTTCTCGCAGAGTCAACAAGCTGATCTGTTAGAGATTTACTATAGATATAGATTTGAAGAATTTTAGGTGAAATGCATTGGTTTCCACAAAGCACATAGGAATCCTCTCATAAAAGCTGTGATAGTCATTACAGTGGTGCATAGATAATCAGTTTTTCCTCCTCTCATCCCCATAGTAAGGTTGTATTTTCTTGCCTTCTTTGAAGTTAGATGCTATCATGTAATCTGCTTTGGCCAATGAAATGTGAGTGGAAGGACACCCCATGATGAATGAATCAAGGTACCAGGTAATTCTTGGATGAACACTCACAGACAATAAATGAAGCCACGCCTGGGCAGCATTATCAGTCCCTCCAAAGGGCAGGCTAAAGAGAGAAGAACCTTTCAAAGTAAATAATGGCAATGACTTTGGAAACAAAGAGGTGTTAATCAGAAGAAAGTGCTTGAAGTGACACAAGTCAGCCTTCTGGGTGAGACGTGGGGCCCAAGCATAGACACATCAGAATCAGGGTGGTCAGAGCCAGGAGGCATGACACCACGGTCTGTCTGGTGGCTGGCTCTGTGACCTTGGCCAGTTCATACCTTTGAGCCTCTGCCTCCTTCCCATATGTGACTGGGGGCTCGATGAGGGGTAAGTACATTTAGAGAGAAAAGCTGCCAATAACTTTTCCATCTCTGTGGATATTGAGAGTCACCTTGGATTAGATCTTGGTTGTCTTCTCCCCCTGAACCTTACTGGCCACTCTGAATTGTGCAAAAACAAAAAAAGGGGCCCCTATTGCCACAGGGCCAATGTATAGTAGGAGCCTTGGCAGCCAAGCAAGATCTGTTTCACCCAGCACCCTCTGTATGCAGAGATGGCTGCCTGGGGGACAAGGAAGTTCCTGGGGAGGCAGAATTAAGACCCCCAACTGCTTCCCCTCTGAATATCACTGTCATTAGGACCTCCCTTGTGGATTGGAAGAGACCCTACTCAGGACATCATTATCGTGAAAGAAAAGGAGGGCAACAAGGCCTAGAGGATTGTGGGGAAAGGCTGCTCCTGGCCAAGTACAAGAACAAGTATAATAATGCCCTGGACACTCAGACACACACAACTTCTGCTGAGGCTGAGCATAGAAGGGTGAACTTGGAGTTCCTGCTCAGGAGGCTCCTGGGGAATCAGGCCAATGAGGTCATCACTGTAGAAGGGACAAAGCTGCAACATATGGGGCAGGACTAGTTTTTAACCAAGACACAGCATGGTGGCAACAGAAGCAACAAGAACAATCCCAAATCCCAGCCTCTTCTCTAGGCCTGGTGGCTGGGGCAGACTGGGCTCTTTGGATGGTCAGCCTCTAGGGGTCCTTGGGCAATGGTGTTGGCAATGGGGTGGGGAAAAGTGAGAGGAAAGCCTCAAAAAAAAGATGCCAGGCCTGGTGCTGTGTCTCACGCCTGTAATTCCAGCACTTTGGGAGGCCAAGGTGGGCAGATCACTTGAGGTCAGGAATCTGAGACCAGCCTGCCAATATGGTGAAACCCCGTCTCTACTAAAAATAGAAAAATTAGCCAGGCATGGTGGTGCACACCAAAATCCCAGCTACTAGGGAGGCTGAGGCAGGCCAATTGCTTGAACCTGGGAGGCGGAGGTTGCAATGAGCCAAGATCGTGCCACTGCCCTCCAGCCTGGGCACAGAGCGAGACTCCATCTCAAAAAAGAGATGCCAGACCTCCCTGCTAATATACGCAAATGGGTGCTCAGGCAACTAATAGGGAAAAAGCAACAGATACTTTGATTTAAGCTTGCAAAATGAGTCAAAGCTATTACGTGAATATGTGTTTCCAAAGACCAGCCCACGTTCAACCTGTGGGATTGAGATAATAGACAAGAAAGTGTATTTGAAAAGAAGAGTTACACAGGCATGAGGGTGGCAGGAACTACCACCGATTCTCCCTTCCTTCTTTGTATTAATAGATTTAGTCTTGAGATTAAGCTGGGCTTATGGCTGCCCAAGTAAAGACTTCATTTCCCAGCCTCGCTTGCAGCAAGGTGTGATCATGTGGCTAAGTCTGAGCCAATGGGATGTGAGCAGCAGTGATGTGTGCAACTTACAGATCACACTATTATCAGTAAATGGCTTGTCCTCCACTTTTCTTCTGTTCTGTGGACTGCATTGTGGACATGGTGCTGGTGAGTGAGCAGTTTTGATGATGTGGACAACCTCATTAAACCAAATGGCCTTCCCACCTTGTACTGCCAGTCGACTTCTGACCAATTTCATAGGCAAGGCATAGACTTCTATCTTATTTGAGCCTTTGTAGTCACTGTATTTCGAGGTGTCTGTCACCTTACTTGTATCTTCACTAATATAAGGAGTGGTGAATTCTACCACCAAGAACATTGTTCAGCTTCCTGCTTCTAAAGATTAATGGGGAAGCAATTTGTGGTTATGACTGTCTTGGTATATTTTTTTCCATTCATTCAGCCTGTCAGTCAGTCCATCAATGTTTAATGAGAGCTTCCCAAGTGCCAGGTGCTATACAAGGGGCTGGAGATACAATGGCAAACAAAACAGACATGGGTTCTACTGTAATAGAGATTTCTGTCTAGTGGGGAGAGTCACATGAAAGAAATAATCCCACAGATAAATATTGAATTACAGACTGTGATATGTGTTTGAATTAAAAGTACAGGATGTGGGAGGCTGAGGCAGGAGAATTGCTTGAACCCGGGAGGCAGAAGTTGCAGTGAGCCGAGATCGTACCACTGCACTCCAGCATGGGTGACAGAGGGAGACTCTGTCTAAAAAAAAAGAAAAAAAAGTACAGGATGTCATGAAAGGATATAGTAGGGTCTTCATTTAGTTTTGAGAACTTTAGAGGACCTTCTATGTTGAGACTTAAAGAATGAGTGAGTAGGAATTAACCAGGTGAAGAGTTAGGGGGAAGTGTTCCAGAAATGGGAACAACTTATTTCAGAGGTTGATACTTCAGGCACAGGAAGGTTAGTGTGGCCAAAGGAGGGCAGACAATGAGGACAATGGCTTGGACCAAGTCAGAGGGAGAGAGACATAGAGGCCAGACCATGCAAGGCCTTAGAGGCCACTGTGGTAGGCTGGATTCTAAGATGAGCTCCAAGATTCCTTCCCCCTGTGTACACACCCTGTATTATCCCTTCCCCTTGAGTGCAGGTTGGACCTGTGAATATAATGGGATGTCACTCCTGTAAATAGGTTACATTTTACGGCAAAAGTAGAGAGATTTTGCAGATGTGATTAAGGTTCCTAATCAGTTGACTTTAATTGATAAAAAGGAATATTATCTTTTTTTTTTTTTTTTGAGATGGAGTTTCGCTCTTATTGCCCAGGCTGGAGTGCAATGGTGCAGTCTCAGCTTGCTGCAACCTTCGCCTCTCGGGTTCAAGTGATTCTCCTGTCTCAGCCTCCCGAGTAGCTGGGATTACAGGCATGTGCGACCATGCCCGGCTAATTTTTGTATTTTTAGTGGACATGGGGCTTCCATGTTGGCCAGCCTGGTCTTGAACTCTTGACCTCAGATGATCCACCCACCTCAGCCTCCCAAAGTGCTGGGATTACAGGCGTGAGCCACTGTGCCCAGCCTGGAACATTATCTTCTTGGGTGGATGACCATTAGGTCAGTTGATGTGAGCCATTTAATGGAAGGCCTACAAGCCAGTTACAAATAGACGAATACTGTATGACTCCAGTTATATGAGGTACCTAAAGTAGTTAAAATTACAGAGACAACAATGTGAAAGTACTTAATGCCACTGAACTGTACACTTAAAAATGATTAAGATGGTCAATTTTCTGTTACGTGCATTATGCCATAATTTTTTTAAAAAGGGTCTAGATGTCAGAGTCAGAAGAACCAGCAGAGATGTTCTCTCCTTGACCTTGAGGGAGCAAATTGCCATGTTGTGGAGAGGACCATGTGTTAGGGAACATCAAGCAGTCTTTAGAGGCTGAGTGTCAGACCTATAGCTGCAAGGGACCTGCTGAAAATGAGCAAGTCTCAGATGAGATCATGGTCCCCATCCGCACCTTGACTACAGCCTTGTGGGGTCCTGGCCAGAAGACCCAGTTTAGCTGTGCCCAAACTCTTGACTTAAGAAACTGGAATTATACATGTGTGTTCTTTTAAGTTACTACATTTGTGGTAATTTGATATGCAGCAACAGGAAACTTATACACCATGCTATAGGTTTAAGGTCTTCTACATACTTAGGAATAAATTTAACCAAAGAGGTGAAAGATCTCTATACTAAAGACTATAAAATGTTGATGAAAGAAATTGAGGAAGATACAAATAAATGGAAAGATATCCAATGTTCATGGATTGGAAGAATTAATATTGTTAAAATGTCCATACTACCTAAAGCGATCTACAGATTCAATGCAATCCTTATCAAAATATCAATGACATTCTTCACAGAAATAGAAAAAAACAATTCTAAAATGTGTATGAAACCACAGAAGACCTCGAATGCCCAAAGCAATCTTGAGCAAAAAGGACAAAGCTGGAGGCATCACACTACCTGATTCCAAAATATACTACAAAGTGATAGTAATCAAAACTGCATGGTACTGGCATAAAAACAGACTCATAAGCCAATGAAACAGAACAGAGAACCCACAAATAAATCTATGCATTTATAGCCAATTGATTTGCAACAAAAGAGCCAAGAACACACAATGGGGAAAGAACAATTTCTTCAATAAATGATGTTGGGAAAACTGAATATTCATATGCAAAAGAATGAAATTAGACCCTTATCTCCCACCATATACAATAATCTACTCAAAATGAATTGAAAACTTAAATGTAAGACCCATAACTATGAAACTACTAAAAGAAAACATATAAGAAAAGTTCTATGACATTGGTCTGGGCAATGACTTTTTGGATATGACGCCCAAAGAACAGGCAATAAAAGCAAAAGTTGACAGTGAGATCATATCAAACTAAAAAGCTTCTCATAGTAAAGAAAACAATTAACAGTACAAGACAGCCTACAGAATGGGAGAAATATTTGCAAACTATATATCCAATAAAGGGTTAATATTCAAAATACATAAGGAGCTCAAACAATTCAATAGCAAGAAAACAAATAACCCAATTAAAAAATGGGCAAAGGACCTGAATAGATGTTTTTCAAAAGAAGACCTACAACTAACAGATATATGAAAAAATGCTCAACATCACTAATCAGCAGAGAAATGCAAATTGAAACCACAATGAGATATCACTTCATACCTGTTAGAATGACTGTTATAAAAAAAAACAAAAGATAAGAAGTGTTGACAAGGATGTGGAGAAAAGGGGAACACTTGCACACTGTTGGTGGAATGTAAATTAATACAGCCATTATGGAAAATAAGATGGAGATTCCTCAAAAAACTACAAATAGAACTACCATATGATCCAGCAATCCCATTTCTGGGTATATATCCAAAGGAAATGAAATCAGTATGACAAAGAAACATCTGCACTCTCATGTTTATTGCAGCACTATTCACAACAGCCAAGATATGGGATCAACCTAAATGTCCATCAATAGATAAATGGATAAAAAGAATGTGGTATATATATATGCAATGGAATACCATTCGACTATAAAAAAAGTATTAAAATCACCCAGGCATGGTGGCTTATGCCTGTAATCCCAGCACTTTCGGAGGTCAAGGCAGGAGGATCACTTGTGTTCAGGAGTTTGAGAGCAGCCTAGACAACATAGTGAGACCTTGTCTTTACAAAAAGTCAAAAATTAGCCAGGCGTGGTGGGATGTGCCTGTAGTCCCTGCTACTTGAGAGGCTGAGGCGGAAGCCTCGCGTGAGCCCAGGAGGTCAAGGCTGCAGTGAGCTGTGATGGTGCCACTGCATTCAGCCTGGGTGACAGAGTGAGACCCTGTCTCAAAACAAAACAGAAAACAAAATCCTGTCACTTGTGACAACGTGAATGAATTTGGAGGCTATTATGTTAAGTGAAACAAGCCAGGCACAGAAAAACAAATACTGCATAATCTCACCCCCTTTTTAGATGTGGACTCTAAAAAAGTTGATCTTAGGGAAGCAGAGAGTAAAATGGTGGTTAGCAGGGGCTGTGGTGGTTGGGAGCAGAGTGGTTGGGAAGATACTAGCCAAAAGACGCAAAATTTCAGTTAGACAGGAGGAAAAAGTTCGAGAGATCTATTTTAAACATAGGGACTATGTTAATAGTAGCTATAATAGTAAATATAGTTAATAGTATATTAGTAAATATAATAGCAATAATAGTAAATATAGTTAATAAGATGTTGTGTTCCTTACAAAACAAAAATGATGACTATGTGAGGTAATGCATTAGTTTATTAGTCAGATTTAGTAATTCCACAATGTATATATACTTCAAAATATCATGCTGTACATAGTAAATGCGTACAATATTTTTGTTGATGTAAAAATAAAATAATTTTTTGATGCTCATGATCTGAAGTCTAAAATAATACTATTTTTTTTTTTTTGAGACAGGGTCTCATTCTGTTGCCCAGGCTGGAGTGCAGTGGCACAATCATGACTCACTGCAGCTTCCACCTCCCAGGCTCAATTGATCTTCCTGCCTCAGCCTCCCAGGTAGCTGGGACTACAGGTGTGCACCACCACACCTGGCTAATTTTTCTTTTTTTTTTTTTTTTTAAGAGACAAGGTCTCCCTATGTTGCTTAGACTGGTCTTGAACTTTCGGGCTCAAGCAATCCTCCAGCCTTGGCCACCCAAAGTACTGGGATTACAAGCATGAGCCACTGCACCCAACTTAAAATAGTAATAATAACTTTTGAAAAGAAGAAATAGAAATTGCTATTTTTTAAACTCTTCCCCTGTGTCCAAGGAGAATCCATGAAATAGTTTACGGATGGAGAGCAAGAATCATATTTGCACTCTTCAAAGATTACTCTGCCTGCTTCGAGGAGGGAGAACATGGAAGCAGCAAGATCAGTTGGGAGGGGACTGCAATAGCAGAGGCAAGATATAAAAGAGGGGCTGGAACTCCACTGGTGGCAAAAAATAGGGAGAAATGGACCAGTTCAAAATATCTTGGGGAAGTAGTTGGTAGATTAGGAGGGTGGAGGTGAGTGAAGGAAGGGTCAATGATGTCTTCAAGGCTTTGAGCGTAATCAGCTCTGATGGGAAACCCTAGAAGGGAAAACTTGTTCATTGGACATGTTTCTATGGATTCCTTACTGGGAAATCACTGTGCTAGTTAAGAATGCATTTGGGCTGGGCGTGGTGGCTCATGCCTGTAATCCCATCACTTTGGGAGGCCGAGGTGGGCAGATCACCAGGTCAGGAGATCCAGACCATACTGGCCAACATGGTGAAATCCCTGTCTCTACTCAATATACAAAAATTATCCTGGCGTGGTGGCAGTCGCCTGTAATCCCAGCTACTTGGAAGGCTGAGGCAGGAGAATCGCTTGAACCCAAGAGGCGGGGTTGTAGTGAGCCGAGATCATGCCACTGCACTCCAGCCTGGCGGCAGAGTGAGGGCGGCACTCCAGGGTGGCCGAGTGAGACTCAAAAAAAAAAAAAAAAAAAAAGAGGCCGGGCGCTGTGGCTCATGCCTGTAATCCCAGCACTTTGGGAGGCCGAGGCGGGTGGATCATGAGATCAAGAGATCGAGATCATCCTAGCCAACATGGTGAAACCCTGTCTCTACTACAAATACAAAAATTAGCTGGGGGTGGTGGTGCTCACCTGTAGTCCCAGCTACTTGGGAAGCTGAGCAGGAGAATCGCTTAAACCTGGGAGGTGGAGGTTGCAGTGAGCCAAGATCAAGCCACTGCACTCCAGCCTGGTGACAGAGCAAGACTCTGTCTCAAAAAAAAAAAAAAAAAAGAATGCATTTGGCCACAAGTAATAGAAAACCCAAATGACTAGACTTAATAATAAAAATGTTTAATTATATTATAATTAATATAACAAAGACCTAGAAGTAGGAGTTCCAAGATTGGCTCATGAGTTTGTGGAAACAAAAACTTACAAGCCATACATTTTTAAACTCAGCTTTGGCTATAAGAGTTTAATCCAAGCTCAAGCCTGCAAGTCTGAATCCATAGTTATTGAAGAACTATGACAGAATGGGTGTCTAATGACATACATGCTTTAGGAAGACAAGCTCTGAGTCAGCCATTATAAGACAAAGAAAAGTTAGCAAATATTTCCATACCTATTACCAAACAAGGTAAGTTAAATCTATACCTTGTCCCCCCTATTTTTATCATAAAATTCAGTTTCCAAGTTTTTTTATTGAGAAGGGCATAGAGTTTTTCTGAAATAGTGTTAGTTCTAATAGTAATAGTCCTAAAGATCATTGATTGACTTACAATCTTGAGACCAGGATATGTTTGTTACAGTAACATCTGCCAGGATGTGTGTTGTAGAAAACTTTTGTTCACACAAAACTGCAAATTGTGTTTGGCATAGGCATTTGATCTTATCTACCAGTTGAGGTGATTATTAAACCTGACTTCATTGATCTCACTTTCATTTACTCACCTTATAAAAGAGGACTGTGCAGGTTTTCTTAAATTTAGGAACATGGTGAAAGGTATTGTCTTCCTTGTAAAATGTAAGAGTGGTGACAGCAAATCAACTTTAAAATATAATGCAGAGGCTAGGCTGGTGGCTCACGCCTGTAATCCCAGCACTTTGGGAGGCTGAGGCAGGCAGATTACAAGGTCAGGAGATCGAGACCATCCTGGCTAAAATGATGAAACCCCTGTCTCTACTAAAACTACAAAAAATTAGCCAGGCATGGTGGTGGGTGCCTGTAATCCCAGCTACTCAGGAGGCTAAGTCAGGGAGATTCACTTGAACTCAGGAGGCGGAGGTTGCAGTGAGCCGAGATCACACCACTGCACTCCAACCTGGGCAACAGAGTGAGATTCCGTCTCAAAAAAAAAAATACAATGCAGAATGAAATGGGTCACAACCACTCAACCATGCCAGGGCCCTAGGTCAGCCCTCTGCCAATCTCTAGGCATGCCAGTGGCAGCAAGGTGACTGCCAAGGGAAGAAGGGGATGGACCTCTCCCTATGGATGTAACTAGGTATTTTCCCAGAAGCTACTTACATGCCATTGATAAGGGTCTGGCCAGTCAAGAGCACAGGGGCTGGGGTTGCTATGATTGGTTTAGGCCACTTATAGCTGAACATATTACAGCCTGATTGAAACTGGGGTTTTGTCAGTAGGGGAGGCAGAGCAGGCAGAGGGGCTGCAAAGTAGGGAGTGAGATGTCAGACAACTGCCTTTGCTGCCTCCCCCTAGTCCCCATTCTGGGAGCCCACTGTAGAAGACACAGCGGGCGGTAGGAAACATATGTGAAAAAGCTCGATTTTTACAATGCAATAAACATTAAACAGCTTTGTTGGAGAGCAAGGAGCCTCATAAAGTGAGTCACCCAGGATCCTTCTCGCAGGACTGGGGCATGCCAAAGAGCAGGCTTTGAGTGTAGGTAGACCTGGCCGCCTCTCAGTGCACCTCTGATGGCACCAGCTCCTGGGCAGGGAGCTGTTCCCCCAGGGCACTGGCATCTGGGCAGGGCCAAGGAAGTCCTCACCTCTGTGACTCTGCTCCCAGGCACTCGACATCCTTCTTGGCTGGGAAAGTGTGACCTCCAGGAAAATGCTGGGGACGTGCAGAGGCCAGCGCCCTCTGCATGGGTCTCCTGGGAGGCCTGTGAGGGGCCTGGGAAATGATCACAGGCTTTTCCCAGCCTTCCTTCATCCTTGGGAAATTCGCTGAAGGCCAGTCCCCTGTTGAGTGTGGGGCTCTAGGCCCTCTTGGGTCCTGAGCAGAGCTGGGCCCCACTCCTTTCTCTCCCAGCAGTGACCGTAAGACACTGCCCCCAAGTGAGGAGAGGGACCCCTGTGTGAACCGGCTGCAGGAAGCCCTTGCTCCTTTCTCAAGGCTGCGAGCCAAAGAGAGCAGGCTCCTGGGGCTGTCTCTTCACTATCCAGTCCAGCCCTAACAACCTACTCCTGCTTGGGTCTCCCCGCCCCCTACCCTCTGCCCTGTGCTCCCACCATCCACTTCAGGCGAAAGGGAGAGTGTGCTGTCCTGTACATGCTCACACATTCCTGTGCCTATTACCTGGCCCCTCACCTGGAAGGCCTGTCTTTGATCTTCCACCTAGACAGAGTTGCCCCCCTCTGGCCCTCCCAACATGCAGCTGACCCAGGATGGTCCTGCAGCCCACAATGGCCTCGATGAGCACATCTCACAGGGCTAGGTAGGGGGCACTGGCAGAAAATTAGCACCCAATGGGGAGAGGCTGCAGCAGGACCAGAGCAGGAGCATGGCCAGGGCAGGATGCCCACCTGCAGCCGTCCCCAGGGGGCTTGGCCATGTGGCATGCGCTGCTGGTGGAGGAAGCTTGGCTGAGCATGGGGGCAGGGGAACAGGCCCCCACACACACTCAGATGCACGTTTACAATCACATGAGCTGCATTCTAACAGCTAGTGTATGTCCTTTTTATTCTCAAAAAAATTTTTTTACTGTAGTGAAATACACATAATATAAAAATGACCATCTTAACTATTTTTAGCTGTACAGTTCAGTAGCATTAAGTACATTCACATTGCTGTGCAACTCTCACCACCATCCATCTCCATAACCCTTTTCCTCTTGTAAAACTGAAATTCTATACCCATGAAACACTAACTCCCCATTTCCCCTTCTCCCAGGCCCTGGCAACCAGCATTCTGCTTTCCATCTTTATGGTTTTAACGATGCTAAGTACTTCAGTCTTGAATACTTTTCTCCATTCCCCACAGCACCCCGCTCCCCAGTCGCAGACACCCTTGCCTGCTCTTGATTTGCCTGTGACATTGCAGTGGTTAACATGGGCCCCCTTGCCTCCAGTCAGAAGGCAAATCAATCCCTTCCCTGCTCTAGCAGGATTGGAAGTCACTGAACCTATTTGCTTCTCATTCAAAGTGATGGCAGCCAGAGGGTGGTGTGGCAGTGCTGGGATGGGTGGGGTGCAGGCAGTGGAGATGGCAGGAAGGACAAAAGCCTCAGCTGTTCTAGGGGACAGTGGCAGGAAGAGCCGCCTGTGATCCAGACAGACCCCAGTATAGGCATCTGCGCAGCATCTCTAAGACAGATGCAGCATATCCCACACAGGAGGAGGAAAGAGAAGGGTGAACCCTTCACGAGAGACTTTCAATTGTCTCTGATGGCTCATCCCTACCTCACAGCCTGCTGTGATGCTTAGAGTTCTCTAGGCAGCCATCCCTAATTGAGTATAATGGACTGAATGTCTGTGTCCCCCCTCAAATTCATATGTTGAAGCCCTAACCCTCAGTGTGGATGTATTTGGAGATGGGGCCTCTAAGGAAGTAATTAAGGTTAAATGAAGTCCTAGGGTGGGGTCTTGATCCAATAGGATTAATGTCCTTCTAAGAAGAAACATCAGAGTGTGCCAGCATGTGCTCGTGCTCTCTCTCCTCTCTTCTCTCTCTGCCTCTGTCTGTCTCTCTCTGTCTCCTTGTGGAGGAATGAGGAAGGGCCATGTGAACACACAGCAAGATGGCAGCTTCCTATAAGCCAAAGAAAGAGACCTCAGAATAAAACCTACCTTGCGGGCATTTTGATCTCGGACTTCTGGCTGCAGACTGTGAGAAATAAATTTCTGTTGTTTAAGCCACCCAGTCTGTGGTATTTTGTTACAGCAACCCAAACTGGCTGAGACATCGAATCATCATGAAGCCACGGGGCAAAGGCATGGGAGTATTAACAGGCATAGCTTGTATCAGAAACGGGGAGTAGCATGGTGTGTCCAGAGGCCATGGCATTTAGAGAGGGGTGTAACTAGAGATGGAATCAGAGAGCTAGAGCCTCTATATCATCTATGGCAATGCAGGCCATGCCAGGGCCTTGGGACTTACCCTAAGAGCACTGAGGAATGATCTTCACATTTGCATTTAGAAAGAGCTATCTGACTGCTCTGTGCAGGCTTGATCAGTAGAAGTGGGGAGGAGCAGTGGAAAGGGTGGGGATGAAGGGGCAAGAGATCAAGAGGCAGCTGTTCCATGGATCAACCATAGGGTAGATGTGGGCCATGGGAAGGGATGGGCCTGGTCACCAATTAGCTGCAGATGAAGAGGCAGTTTCTGGCCTGGATGATGATGAGTTGCACAAATAGTTCTCCCCTTGACAGAGACGTGATTGACTCCCAAGCCTGGGCAGGTCCCAGGTTCCAAACAGAACAGAAGTCCCTGAATCTTATTTCTACCACATTCAGTTGGTCAAAGCTAGTCACAGGCCAGCCCAGATTCAGTGCTGGTGGGGCCTACCTGACGGTGTGAATACAAGGAGGCTCAAGTCGCTGGGATCATTTCATAACACCCCACCACCACATCCAAGTTCCAGACAGGAAGAAAGGGAAAAACAAAGCCAAAGGCCAGAAGCACTTGCCACCTAGCTAGGCCTATCCTTTTGAACAAGCTTTCCCCGAAGTCTCATTCAGTGCCTTCCTCTGGTCCAGAGAAAGAAATGGGTCACATGACTATCCCTAGCTGCAAGGGAGTCTGGGAAACAGTATTTTAACCTGAGCACACTGACACCACCAATAAAATCCAAATTCTCAGTAAGGAAGAAGGAGAGGATAGATCTAGAGGAAGCAACTAGCAGGGCCTGCTTCAGAGGCCATGGAAGAGTTGGGGGGAACCACCACCACTAAGTGCTTTTATGGGAGAGAAGCCATGCTCAGCATGCACCAAATTATGAGAAAATGGAGAGGCTGGTTCATTAGGTCTGGGGTGGGGTCCAAGGTGTGCATCTCCAACATGCTCCCAGGGCTGCTGATCCTGGCAGTAGGAAGATCACACTTGGAGTGGCCCTAAACTGGGTTATACTGGGGTCACAAGCAACCCCACATGTCAGAGGTTTAAATAGCTGAGGTTTGTTCCTTACTCATGCAGCCTGTGCACTGTGAGTTGGCTGGGGCTTTGCGCCTGGGAGCCAGGTGGCCAGAGCATCTACCATCTGGAGCAGCACTGGTGACCAGGCCAGAGGGAAAGAAGTCATTCATGGCAAAGAATTAAGCAACTCTTAGAAGTCATTCAAGTCAAATGGCCATGCCCAACATCTGGCAGGGAGGGGAAGCCGGTACTGGTGAACCATACTACAGACTATGACAGCTTCACAGAAGAGATGGGATTTAAGCAGAGGGGTCTTTGAAGGATAAATAGGAGCTTACTCTGTAGAGAAGGGGCCAGAACATTCGAGGCTGAGGGAACATCATAAATAACTATAACACCAATGTTGAGCACCTGTCGTGTACCAGAAGCATTCAAATCGTTTCCTGACTGGTCTTCATGAGAACACTGAGATATTATTAGTCCATTTTATAGAAGAGGAGGCTGGGGGTCTGAGATCAGCTGGCCACTTGCTGAAGGTCACAGGGCCAGAAAGTGGGGCCCAGGAAATCAAACCCAGTGTCCTGGCCCTTCCCTCCCCTGCCACAGTGGAGTCATGGAGCCTCGTGACTGTGTGGAGTGTTTGCAGAATAATCTGTGTGATGCTCTTTCTCTGGAAATGGCCCCAACACCCAAAGGGTTTTTTGGGGGTGGATGGGGAATTATTAAGGGGTTGCAATATTTTTTTATTGTGGTAAAATACACACAATGTAAAAGTTATCATTTTCATCATTTTTAAGTGGCATCATTTTAAGTTCAGTGGCATTCAGTACATTCACATTATTGTGCAACCATCATCGCCATCCATCTCCAGAACTTTTTCATCTTTCATAATTGAAACTGCCTCCATTAAACATTAGTTGCCTATTCCCTCCTCACCCCAACTCCTGGCAACCACAATTCTAATTTCTGTCTTTAAGAATTGGAGTGTTCTAAGTACCTTATATACATGAAATCATATAGTATTTGTCCTTTTGTGTCTGACTTTTTATCTTAGAGTAATGTCCTCAAGGTTTACCCATGTTGTAGCGTGTGTCAGAATTTCATTCCTTTTTGTGGCTGAATAAGGTTCCATTGGATGTATATACAGTATTTTGTTTATTTATGCATCGGTCCATGGATACTTAGGTTGTTTCTACCATTTTGGCTATCGTCAATAATGCTGCTATGAGTGAACAAATATCTGTTTGAGTCCCTGCTTTGGGTCCTTTTGTGTATAGACCCAAAAATGGGATTCCTGGTTCTAGAGGAGTTTTTCTGTTTGTTTTGTTTTTTTAGACAAAGTCTCACTCTGTTGCCCAGGCTGGAGTACAGTGGCACAATCTCTGCTCACTGCTACCTCCACCTCCCAGGTTCAAGTGATTCTCCTGCCTCAGCCTCCCAAGTAGCTGGGATTACAGGCGCGTGTTACCATGTCCAGCTAATTTTTGTATTTTTATTAGAGATGGGGTTTCACCATGTTGGCCAGCCTGGTCTCAAACTCCTGACCTGTGATCCGCCCTCCTCGGCCTCCCAAAGTGCTGGGATTACAGGTGGGAGCCACCGCGCCTGGCAGGAGTTTTAAACATACAAGACAAAGGTGCCTGTGGGCTTCGTTGGGGTCTGGGAAAATGCTGCGCAGGAGCACTGCAGGAGGATGCCAGGCCCTAGGATGTCCTAGTTCATCTCCCTTCAGCTGGCTCTGGGGAGGAGGATCTGTGGGAGCCCCGCATCCCATCCAAGATACACAAAACTTCTCTGCCAGTTGTTTAACTGCTTCACAGGCACAGACCTTGTCCCCAAGGAGTCGGAATGTTCTCACGGGAAAACAGTCGATAACACACCCGAGTCTTCCTTTCCTTCATCTATAAAACAGAGGTGCTGGTGTCGCCCGCCTGCCTCACAGACAGTTGTGAAGTTTGAATGAACTAATGCCTGCAAAGGATGCAGAGAGAAGCTGGAGGCTCATTCTGCACCTGCTGCTGCTGTAGGCCTGCCACGCCCAGCCCGCTTGCGGGTCAAACTGGGGCGCTGACAGGAGCTGCTGTCTGCAGAGGCTGGGGGCCTCTGGGGCTATTTCCACAAACCCAGGAGAGTTCTGGGGCTGAAACAGCTAAAAAGAGGGCAGACCAGAGGTAAGATGGCTTCCTCATGACAGTTCTAGGGCCGAGGTTCTCAAACTGGAGCATGAGTGAAAATCCCCCTGATAGTGTTCAAACTCAGATAACAGCCTCCACCCTGCAGTTTCTGACTCGGGAGTCTGGGGTGCGGCCTGATAATTTGCATTGTAACAACTCCTCCTCCTCCGGCTCCTCTTCCTCTTCCTCCTTCTCTTCTTCTTTTTTTGAGACAGACTCTCGCTCTGTCACCCAGGCTGGGGTGCAGTGTCACGATCTCATGATCTCAGCTCACTGCAACCTCTGCCTCCTGCGTTCAAGCAATTTTCCTGCCTCAGCCTCCCAAGTAGCTGGGATTACAGGCACCCACCACCACGCCCAGCTAATTTTTGTATCTTTAGTAGAGACAGGGTTTCACCACATTGGCCTTCTGGTCTCGAACTCCTGACCTCAAGTGATCTGCCTGCCTCGGCCTCCCAAAGTGCTGGGATTATAGGTGTGAGCCCCCGCACCTGGCCTGCATTCTAACACATTCTTAGGGGCTGCCGTTGCTGCTTACCTGGGGACTTCACTGTGAGAACCACTGCTCTAGAAAATGAAGGAGAAAAAGATGTTCATTTTTGAGGACCGTGGACACATGGATTCCCTCCTCCTTCTCTTTTTTCCCTTTCCTTCCTTCTTTGTCCAATATTTAATTGAGCATTAAAATTGGGACTACAGAGAAAAAAAAAAGACAGAGTCTTGGCCTATAACAGAGAGTCTAGAGCTGGGCTGGCCAGATGGTCGCCGGCTGCCCAGGGACCCAGCCTGCTGTGACCGGACGCGGAGGAATCCCAATGAGTCAGCCTGCAGGTGGAAGGGAAACACCGTGTCCCAGGCCAGGGGCCAGGGCAGCTTGCCAGGTCCTGTGAGAGCCCAGGCAGAGCCCGGGCAGCCCTGTCCCTGGGGTTGGGTGGTCCCCAGGCGGCAGGACGCTGGGTGAGGAGCCGGTTTGTGGAAGAGCACCTGCGACAGGGCTGTGCCCGCCCAGGCCAGGCCTTCAGAGGCCACGATGGAAGGTGGATGAGAAGTACAGTGAGCAGGACAGACATCCTATGGGCAGTGGAATGGCCTTGGCTCAAGTTGTTCCATTTCCCCTTTTCAATACTCTGCCCCCCATGCTGAGCCCCGCAGGCTACCTTCCCATGGATCCACCCTCCAGGCTTCTGTAGCCTTCCATTCCCTCCCTCACCGACCTGGCTTTCATTCCTCAGGGGCCTCCTATTTTCAAAGGAGAGAACTAGCCACTTTGATCAGCACGACCTAGGAGATGTCACCCTACACCAGTCAGAACCCGAGGACGATGCCAGAGGTGCCCCACGCAAAGGCACATCTCCAAGAGGGGCAGCAGACCTGGCCTCCCCTTCACCACTAGATCCATTTCTTCAACTGTGAAATGGGGCCAACAGGACATGTGTCGCCGGGCTGTGGGGATTTGATGAGATGATATCACAAAGAGGTTCTTTGTAACTGGTACAGTCCATAGCCAGGTCCTCTCCGCAGGAAAGCCCCAAGGCTGGAAGATCCCTTTGGGTTAACCCACCACTATTTCCTCAAACTCTTCAATATTGACTTGTGCTTTGATTTGGGCCATCACTTGGGAGTCTCAGTTCCTTAAGGTGACTGCTTGTTATTCATTTGCTCTAATTTCATCTCTTGTGAGCTGCCAGCTCCCCAACTAGATAAACTGCAGACCCCACCCCCTAGTAGTCTCGTCTGTACCTCCTAGAGACATACCTTAGAAGAGGTGTTCTGGGGCCTGGAGAGGCATTTGGTGCCCTCACATCTACCTGCCATACCACATGCAGGGCAGCCTTTAACAAAGTCCAATCCTCAGGGTCTGTCCAAGCAAAGGGGGTGGACACAGAGAGGAGATTAAGGACCCAGACTCTGGAGACACCTGCTTGGCTTCAAATTCCTGTTCCACGACTTGATGACTATGTCTTTGGGTGAGTTACTGTAAGACGAGGAGAGTCACCATACTCCCTCACTGGGTGGTTGTGAGGAGTGGATGGATGAACAGGTATAAAAGACTGGGGCCAGCCTGCACCTGGTGAGCTCCAGGTCAAAGTGAGCCCCTGCATTTGTAAGCGAGCCAAGCAGAAGCCACGAATGACGGCAGGGCTGCTTCATGTTGCTCCTGATTTCTGGTAATTTTCTGCTCTTACCACAGTCCCCTCCAGCACAACTGGACATGCTGCTGTAAGTGTAGTCTTCTTATCCATCACAATAGGTAATTTGCCTTTTTAAAAAATTTTATTTTTGAGACAGAGTCTGGCTCTGTCACCCGGGCTGGAGTGCAATGGCACAATTTTGGCTCACTGCAACCTCCACCTCCCAGGTTCAAGTGATTCTCGTGCCTCAGCTTCCCAAGTAGCTGGGACCACAGGCGTGTGCCACCATGCCTGGCTAATTTTTTGTATTTTTAGTAGAGACAGGGTTTTGCCATATTGGCCAGGCTGGTCTCAAACTCCTGGCCTCAAGTGATTCTCCTGCCTCGGCCTCCCAAAGTGCTGAGATTATAGGCATGAGCCACCATGCCCAGCTGTGCTTTTTCAATCAATCTATGTACCTTAGAAAAGGTTGCAGTGAGCCGAGATTGTGTCACTGCACTCCAGCCTAGGCGACAGAGAGAGATTCCATCTCAAAAAACAAAACAAAACAAAACAAAAACAAAACAAACAAAAAAAACTGCTCCAGAAGCCCTAGCCAAAGTCTAAAGGCGGCCACTGGCCTGGGTGGCCAAGAGCTAACATCTTTACTCAAGGTTTTACACAATGCAGGGACTGTGCTGAATTCTTTACCTGGCTTGGGAGAAAAATGTTTAGCACAGTGACAAAAGGTTATCTATATCTATAGTAAATACAATTCTTTAAAATTGACAAAAGCAATACCAATAACCCAATAGAAAAATGGGCAAAGGATACAAATAGGCAGTTCTCAGAAGTGCAAATCAGAATAACCAATAAACATGTGAAAAGATGCTTAGATTTATTAATAGAGAATTGCAAACTGAAGTACAAATGAGGCTGGGCATAGTGGCTTACACCTGTAATCCCAGCACTTTGGAAGGTGAAGGCAGCAGATCGTGTGAGCTCAGGAGTTTGAGCCTGGGCAACATGGTGAAACCCCGTCTCTACAAAAAAATTAAAAAATTAGCTGGGCATGGTGTTGTGTGCCTGTAGTCCCAGTTACTTGGAAGGCTGCGGTGGGAGGGTTGCTTGGTCCTGGGACTTCGAGGCTGCTGTGAGCCGTGATTGCAACCCTGCACTCCAGCCTGGGCAACAGAGTGAGACCCCGTCTCAAAAAAAAAAAAAAAAAAAAAAAGATGCCACTGCTTCATCTATCAGAATGGCTAAAATGTAAATGATTCCACTTTGTAAAATAAACAATGTTAACCCGCATCTATGTGTATGTGGCAGGGTTTCCTCAACCTCGGCATTATTGATATTTGGGGCTGGACAATTCTTTGCTGTGGAGACTGTCCTGTGGACTGTAGTTTAGCAGCATCTCTAGCCTCCACTCCCTAGATGCCAGTAGCACCTCCCTCCAGTAGCAACAAAAAATGTCCGCAGACACTGCTGAATGTCCCCTGGGGGGCAAATTGCCCCAAGTTGAGAACCACTTAGTGTATAGGTAAACATGTATAGTTGTGTGCAATTTAATGAACACAATTAATTTTACCACCATTTTACATAAAAGGAAACTGAAGTGCATTTCTTAGGGTCCCACTGTAAGTTGAGGGCTTGAGATTCCAAGAAAAGTCTTATTTCAGAGCTCAGTGTCTTGCCCAAAACGCAGCCTCACTGCTCAATCACATTCTTGAGGTTTGATTGGCTGAACGCACGTGGAACATCAGGTTCATGTTTCCAAGCAAGAATCATGGGTTGGGGAAGGCAAGTGTTTACTGTGGTCCAGCTGAGGACTGTGGTGTCTGAAACTTTGTCACATGGGAGGCTACAGGCCCGGGGCTGGCTTGGCTCCCGTGAAAACACTGCAGCGGGCAGCCAGTCCGGAAGGCAGCATCTGGCAGGGCCTCCAGGCCTTCTGAGTAAGGAAGACCCCAGCTTGCAAAAGACATAGAGGCAGCACTGTGACTGGAACTGAATAGCCACACCTATATCACCCATATTCAAGGGCAAAGGGCCAGCAGCCAGGGTGGAAGTGGGGGCAGGAGGTGGGGAGGGGATGGCTGGACTCCTGATTCTTTTTCAGTTTCCCTCCCTTCTGGCTGTTGAACACCCAAGTACCTCCCCACTGTCCTCTCCACTCTGTCCTTCCTACAAAGCACCCTCTAGAGTGCAGCCAGCTGGGCAAGGCATGGTCCTATAGGGGACAGTGTGCATGTGCATATGAAGCCTGCTGGGTACCTCAACCTTTGGCCTGATCATGAAGACGGTGAACTGGCTTGTTTGGGGCAGAAGACTACAAGTTCTGTGAGGGCAGGGCCCACATAGCTTGTGCATCTTAGGGTGCCTGGGACACAGTGGAGATCAAGGTTGGATGGATGCAGCATGGGGGAGGGAATGGTGAGGATGGGCATGGTCAGGTATCTGTCGGCTGGGACAAACCTCCCAGGCCATTGAGTCCAACTTGCGCGAAGATAGTCACTGGGGAGCTGCAGTGACACCTGAGCCTGTGAATAAACCAGGTCCTATCAGGGGGCAGTGTGCACATGCACATGAAGCCTGCTGGGTACCTCAACCCAGGCAGTTACCCAGGTACCCTGCCGGGTAACTCAGAGTTGAGTTAAACCCTGCTCCTTGATGACCACTCGTGGTAGGACAGCGATGCTGCTTAAAGAACTTAAGGAACGAATCTGATTAAATAATTATGATTTAGCATTTTAAGTGGAAACCTCTCATGGAGCTGCTTGTAGGAAACGCTGGCTGGCTGAGTTCCCTCCTTCTGCCCCTGCTGGACAAATGGCCTCGCTTGCTGTGCTGGGCTGGCAGAGCTGCAGGCCTCCAGGTTTCTGCTGGAAGCATCATCCCTTTCTTCTTTCAGGCTTTGTTGAGCCCCAGGTGGAGCTGATGGTGGCATCCTTTGGACCCCACTGTAAAGTCCTTGCAGACATCTGTCATGGCACGATGACAGCTTTACTGCACGTGCACTCACTTGAGGGCAGAGATCAGATCTTAAGATCCTACTGCAGAAACCTAGGGCCAGTGACTCCTTGAGATGTCATCGTACCGATAGGTGGTGACGGTGGCTGTGCATTTCCACAATTTAGGGCTTTTTCTGTCCGTGGCTCTCAATTCCGCTGCACCTTAGACTCTCTTGAAGATTTTCTAATGCCTAGGCCACACTCCAGGCCAATAAAATCAGAATCTGGGCAAGGCCTTGGGATCAATCTTTTTTTCAGACGGGGTCTCACTCTTGTCACCCGAGCTGGAGTGCAGTGGTGCGATCACAGCTCATTGCAGCCTTGAACTCCTGGGCTCACTTGCTCCTCTCACCTCAGCCTCTTGAGTAGCTGGGACCACAGGCACATGTCACAACACCTGGCTAATTTTTGTAGATACGGGGTCTCACTGGGTTGCCCAGGCTAGTCTCAAACTCCTAAGCTCAAGTGATCCTCCTGCCTGAGTCTCTTAAAGTGCTGGGACTGTAAGCGTGAGCCACTGTGCCCGGCCAGAATCAATCTTTTTTTTTTTCCTAAGACGGAGTCTCACTCTGTTGCCCAGGCTGGAGTGACATAATCTCGGCTCACTGCAACCTCCAACTCCCCGGTTCAAGTGATTCTCCTGCCTCAGCCTCCTGAGTAGCTGGGTGAAACCCCATCTCTACTAAAAATACAGAATCGATCTTTTTAAAAAGCTCCCTAAGTGTTTCTAAGGTCCAAAACTGAGAGCCTCTAAGTGGACTTTGGACGGAAGTGGGGTGGAGGTTGATGGTGTAGGAACTTTGGAATTTTTGACTGTAGCTATTTTGGTGGTTGTAATTGAAGTAAAACTGCACCAGGGTCAGGAGACCTGCGGTAGGCCCAGCAACTCTGTGACCTATCTAAACTACACAACCTCAAGGGCAGGCTGTGGTACGGGGCTGCCCCACTGAGCCATCTGCAGAGGTGGTATCACTCAACGATGAAAGACTCAACGAACCAGCCTTTAACGACCAGTCTTTTCTATTTCAAGAGCAGTCTGGACTCTGACAGCCCCTGATTCAGGTGCAAACTAAAAATTTTAAGATTGGCAAGCAACAGACACTCCTTAAGTGGTTCCTAACTCTCCCCAGGTGCAGAACACTTAAGGGTCCCAACATCTGATTGAAACACAGCCCACACCAAACCACGAGATGGCACCTCATACACATTAGGGTGGCTACTATTAACAAGAACAAGGATGTGGAGAAATTGAAATTGTTGTACACCGTTGGTGGGAACATAAAATGGTGTAGCTGCTGTGGAAAATGGGACAGCAGTTCCCCCAGAAAAATTAAAGAATTACCATATGATCCAGCAATTCCACTTCTAGTATATATTCAAAGGAAAGCAGGGTCTGAGTTTTTGTTTTTTTTTTTTTTTGAGACGGAATCTCACTCTGTCACCCAGGCTGGAGTGCAGTGGCGCAATCTCGGCTCACTGCAACCTCCACCTCCTGAGTTCAAGATTCTCCTGCCTCAGCCTCCCGAGTAGCTGGGATTATAGGCGCGCACCACCACACCCAGCTAATTTTTGTATTTTTAGTAGAGATGGGGTTTTGCCATGTTGGCCAGGGTGGTCTCGAATCCTGACCTCAGATGATCTGCCCGCCTCGGCCTCCCAACGTATTGGGATTACAGGTGTGAACGCCTGGCCTGGCCTCAGATATCTGTATATCCATGTTCACAGCGTTATTTGCAACAGCCAAGAGGTGGAGGCAACCCAAGTGTCCACCAACAGATGAGTGATTAAACAAAATACGGTATATACACATGAGGAGGTATCAGCAGCCTCAAGCAAGAAGGCAATTCTGACACATGCTACAGCATGGATGAACCTTGAGGACATTATGCTAAGTGAAATAAGCCGGTCACAAAAAGACATGCTGTACTTTTCCACTTGTATGAGGGACCTAGAGAAGTCAAATTCGTAGAGACAGAACGTAGAACAGTGGTTGCCAGGGGCTGGGGAGGTGGAAGGAATAGGGAGTTAGTGCTCAATGGATACAGACATTTGTACATATTATTTGGGGGTAGGGCAAAGTGAAGAGAAAAGAAGGTTCAAGTTCCAGACTGGGGATGAGACAAGGTGCTTCACCCCTTCCTCGGTTTTATTCTTACTCAATGCAGGATAGAAAATGTTTCAAAGACTCACAGGAATATCTGTGGGAATGCTGATAGTGTTTCTGGTGAGAACCCAAAAAAGAGACACTAAAAAAAATTAACTGGCCAGGCACGGTGGCTCACACCACCCAGCACTTTGGGAGGCCACAGTGGGAGGACCGCTTGAGCCTAGGAGTTTGAAACCAGCCTGAGCAATAAACCAAAACCCGTCTCTACAAAACAAATAAAAAAACTGTTAGAAGCAAGCAAGTAGGTATGGATATCACCCCAAAGGGCAAGGTGAGAAGGATGTCCAAACAGTGGCTAGCTAATGGCATCTGAGGATTCTGAAAGAACTCATAGCTCTGGCCGGCACAGTAGCTCACGCCTGTAAACCCAGCACTTTGGGAGGCTGAGGCAGGCGGATCACCTGAGATTAGGAGTTCGAGACTAGCCTGGCCAACATGGTGAAACCCCATCTCTACTAAAAATACAAAAATTAGCCAGGCGTGGTGGCGCATGCCTGTAATCTCAGCTACTCGGGAGGCTGAGGCAGGAGAATCGCTTGAACTCGGGAGATGGAGGTTGCAGTGGAGCCGAGATTGCGCCATTGCACTCAGCCTGGGTAACAAGTGCAAAAGTGCATCTCAAAAAAAGAACTCACAGCTCTCATGAAAAGTTTGTGAACCCCACCAGATGATCAATCTCCATTACATTTTGATTAAAAATGACAACGCAGATTAGTCCATGTTCTTGAATCCATCCATCAGATTTGACTTGGGCCTACTTTCCAAAACTCAAATGCATCCTCAATGGGCACTTACAGTCCTAAGAAGACTCCAAAGCCTCTGCCATCTTAAGCTGCCAAGGCCACTCTCAGAGGCTTCCGAGCATAGAGAACCACCAAAGTGAGCGTGTAATTCCCTAAGGCCACCACAGTGAGTCCCTGCTCATCAGGATGTGCAAGCTCCCAAATGTCTGTTTAAAAACCAGACATGCTGTCTTAATACTCATCCATCAGGAAAGACACAGGAATAAAACAGAGCTGCCCAGGAACCATGTGGATGGGTGGGGCAGGAGGGCATCCCTCACATCCCAACACAGGTCGGGGGTCTGATCTAAGTGCGATGGTCACAGCCCTGCCAATATGCAGGGCTTGCTCCTTCGCCTCTGCGCCCTCAGTGCCTGGGAGAGATGGAATCCACGGACCCTGTGCCACAGTCACCAGGTTACTTTGTGATCTCCTTCAAGGACACTCTCACAATTCTAGTGTGTGTAGAAATCATCAAGTGAATATGGCCTTTAACTCAAAGAATGAATGTCTTACCCTGCAGGCTGGGCCCTTCCTGCCTGCCTCAAAACTGTCATATTCCTCTGTGCCCATGCCTTGGTGAACCTGGCAGACCCCGTTAGGAGGTACTGATTTCTGTCAGGCTTTCCCCAGTGTAGGCCTAGGAGGTGCAGGCTGGGTCCTATTGCATGGATGTAGGGAGCAACATGGTCACTCTCCCTTGACAAAGCCTCCCTTGATCCCCAACCCTACCCCTAAGGTCACAGCAGCAGCCTCCCCACCCCAGACCAAGGCTAGCACAGCTTCTGCATAAAGGCTTCTCCCCTCTGCTTCTCCTGGCCACAGGGCCAGCAGCTAGCTCTGGAAGGAGGTCACAGCAGAGGCAGGCCAGGGGCAGAGGTGGAGGAGGCTGCAGAGGCTGAGCTCTTCCCCCTAAGGCCTCAGACAAGAAAGCACAGGAAGAGGGACCCAAGACCTGACTGTGCCAAGAAAATCCCCGCCCTGGGTTCTCAAATCCAAATGCAGAAACTGCAAACCAAGGGAAAAAATTGTTGTAAAAAAAACCAAGTTTTTTTTCTTTCCTAATAGCTAGTTCCAATGATGTTAATTACCCGCCCTGAGCTGAAATAACAGTAGACAAAGATAGAAGCTAGCCTCTGGTTTTACAAAGCCTTTGTATAAGTCCTCTCTGTCTTTTCTGTCCATGCCAGGGAAATGTATTGCTGGTGCTAGAGGGAGAGGAAACGTGGACGGCCAAGAACAGGGCGGCACAGTCCTCTGGGCTGGAGGCCTGTGTTCCTTCCCATAAGCAGGGCCTGTGGGGTGTATGGGGCAGAACATAGGCCTCCACACCAAACTGACAGCAGAGAAAAGCCAGGCAACCTGTTCAATCGCCCCAGCAGTGACCTGGGTTCTATGTGTGGGAGTGAACTGCTGCGGCCCTGGAGCGACTGCTCCCAGCCTTGGGGCTGATGTGGTCTAGAAGGACACCTCGCCACACAGTGGCAGGGCCAGGACCCTGGCCAGGCAGAGAGGTTGGGTGGGTGGAGGACTATGCTACGCTGTACTTGACTCAGGGAAGAAGTCTTGATGGGGACTCTTTGTGGACTCTGCCCCCAGGGGCTGGAGCAGCCGGAAGGAGCAGGCCTTGGGCAGCAGGCTCCACGTTCCTGCTCATCGGGAGCCCCCAGGAATCTTGTCTGTTGTCCCTGGCCACTCACAGCAAAAGAACCCCGCTTCCCTACTCTGGAGGTGCCTGGGGTCCCCAGCAGCAAAGCATGGCTTCCCCTTGGTCTTCTCAGTGAATCGTGAATCAGGACTTCTCCTTAGGGGTTATGCCACAGAGGCCTCCTGCAGCACAGGTGAGGCCCCAGCCATCTCAGGGGGACTCAGAAGACTTGGTAAACCTTGATAAAAATCCAGAGACAGGGAGGGGCAAGGATGAGCAACTCTGTCACTTTCCAGGTGAAGCTGGCCCAGCTCAGAGGCCCACTGCTTTCAGGCCCAAGGTCGCTGCTGTGCTCTGTACTGTCACTTGGAACTGCCCTGGATTCCAGTCTCCTGGTCCTCTCATGCAGAAGGCAGGCTGGGCCACGCCCTCACCAAGGGTCCTTGGAGCTGGGCAGATGGTGCCGGGGTAGCTGCTATCTCAGAGGCTGCTTGAGCTCGAACAGGCCTGTCCCGCCCCTGACGACCTTCCCGACCACAAGGCAGGCAGAAGGAGACCTCAGCTCATCGTGGGATCCTGACAGAGACACAAAAACATGTGTCAGGGTGTTGAGGTAGAAGTTGGGAATGTCATGAGGTGATTATGGGGCTGAACACTGAAGTCTCGGGACTCAGGTGGGTCCTGAGTCTCTGAAGCTGATGGGATCACGAGGCAGCCCCCCTCTAGCACTTGAGAGGGGAAGGCCCTCTTCCTGTTCCTTCAAAGCGTAGAGGCAGCTGTCGTGTCTGCTGTTCAGCCCCCTCCAGCCGCCCCCGCTCCCCTCAGATCCCAAGATCCCACTGGTGTGCAAGGAACCATGGAAAGATGCCCATGGGTGAGCCCGTGTGCCCAGAGTCGTCAGTAGAGGGGAGGCCAGGGCTCCTGCCCACGCACTAACCCAGCATGGTGGCTTGCTTCAGAAACTGGAAGCTGGTTTCAAATGTCATCTGCTGTAGCGGGGAAGAGTTTGACCGGATCCCAAAGCGATTCAGTGGCTTGTAAACACCCTCGAAGCACATATAATCAGCAACCAGGGAGAGATGGCGAGGGTCGACCGCGATGCCTGTCAAACGGGAGGTAAAATTAGGAGGGATTAAGCAGTGACCACGGGAGCAGTCAGCAGACACAAGCCAAGCTGCCTCCACATCAGCACATGGCTTGGGAGTTAGACTCTGGGGCTCCCCTTCAGCTCCGCCACCTGCTCACGCTACTTAACCCTTCCCCGTGGTCTGGGGCATCTTTCCCTGACCCCTGCATCCTGCTTCCCGCTTCCTTCCAGCAGCACAGGAAATGAGGATCTAACCGCACTGTTTTCACTTGGGAACTGAAACCCCAAAGGCAGGATGGGGCCAAGTTATCAATCAGGAGCTTTCTCTAAGGCACCAGCAGATGAGACACCACTGAAGCGGTCTCAGTGATGGGAGACGTCACCTCTTCACAGATCTGCAGTCTCCTACAGGTGCACTCACTGCACGCATGCTGCAGTGCCTGCCTTAGTGCTGGACTGACTCGGTGCTGGACCGACACGGTCCTGACCCTCCTGCCGAGCCTTCTGGTGTCCTGGCTGGTGCCCAGACCTCGGGGTGTTATCTGCAAGCTCCCCTTACCATACACGGCAAACACATCCTTGATCTCCTTCTCGATCACCCGCAGCGCGGCCTCAATGCCATACGTGTTGGCTATGGCGTGGATGTCGTTGGAGTAGAGGCGGCGCAGATCCAGGACCTGGAGAGAGGAAGGAAGGGATTTATTTAGAGGGCCTGGCCTTCTGCTCCCTTCTGCCTGCGTATCTCCCCCTGGCCGCTCTCTCTCTCCTTGTGTCTGGCAGCTCGGTACAGCTGATGACAAAGTGGTCAAGAGGTGGCCCAGGATTAGCAGAAGGAAATGGCTAGGCAGAGCTGCTGACGGCTCGCTGGCCGGGGCCCAAGGTCTGTATCGTCATTACAAGAATCCAGCGTGTCCACTTTGGACACGCTTTAGATTCAATGGGAAGAAAAGGATTTTTTCTTCTTATTTTTAAACTGAGACCTGTTTACTAGGATTAAGGCTTCCCTTAGGAAGCAAGGAAAGTTCCCCTAGCAGCGACACATTACACACCCCTCCAGGGTGCATGGAGTGGGGGCCAGTCAGCCGCACAGGCATGTGCTGGGCCTTACCAAGGGGCCAAGGTGCGGCTGAGCTGTCTTGGAGGAGCCTCTCACCCTGCACTCTTGGCAGGTGCCAATCCTCCTTGCTCATCCTCTGGGAAGTGTTTGGTAAAAGGGTTCAGGGGAGCAGGAGACTTTGCAGGGTGGTCATTGGTGGGGGCAGAAGTGTACGTGGCAGGGGGAGCTTTGCCAGCTTAGCATAGACTTGTTGGGGGGTTAGGCTAGAGGGCCCCAGTTCCTCAGTGTTCTGTGGGGGAAACCCAGAAAGTTCTGGGAGAGTTGGTGAAGTGGGAGTACTTGGAGACACAGCTCAAAGGACAGATGAGCTGGTGAGCAGGTGGGACAGGAATGCCAGGGCACCTCTACCCCTGGGACCCCCTTTACCAGATAAAGCAAACAGCATCTAGGCAGGTGATGCAGCAATGATTTCTCACAACTCTACTTCGGGAGGGTCTTAATTTCTTTCTTTTTTTTTTTTTTTGAGATGGAGTCTCACTCTGTCCCCCAGGCTGGAGTGCAGCGGCGCAATCTTGGTTTACTGCAAGCTCCGCCTCCTGGGTTATCGCCATTCTCCTGCCTCAGCCTCCCAAGTAGCTGGGACTACAGGCACCCGTCACCATGCCCGGCTATTTTTTTTTTGTATTTTTTAGTAGAGAAGGGGTTTCACCGTGTTAGCCAGGATGGTCTTGATCTCCTGACCTCGTGATCCGCCTGCCTTGGCCTCCCAAAGTGCTGGGATTACAGGTGTGAACCACCACGCCCGGCCCGAGGGTCTTAATTTCAAGGAAAAAACTCTACTCAAATTAACCCGGGCGACTCTGGGTTGGATAAGTTCAGCAGGGTGCTTTACTGGGGACCTGAATGAGGCTAACGTGCCCCAGAATCCCCGGGAGGCAGACGAGGACACGCACACTTGGTTTGGGGAATGTGGCCTGGAAGCACAAATGGCTCAGGAAGGGCCAGAGTAAATCGCGTAGAGCGAGCCTCCCAGTGGCTGGGTCTTGAGACAACGTGGGGTGAGGACTAATGCTTTGTCCCAGGCCAGCAGACAGCCTGTCTTACCTCTGCATACTTGAATAGCTCTGGGAGGTTGATTCCTTCTGTGTTTAGCACAAGCTCCTTCTCGTTCTTATTGTTGGTTGTTTCATTCAGGAGGCACCGAGTGATGCCCTTGGTCGCATAGATGACGGCACCATGGGCCAAAGATACTACCAGGGAGCTCATGTCAAAGTTGATCTTCATCAGAGGGAGCTTCACTGTCACCTGCAAAAGGAGGGAGAGCTGGGTAGGGTGACAGCTACTCCAGTCCCCACAAAGAGGACTGAGGCGAGACTCCTTCAAAACCTTTTCAGGAACTCCCTGGCTGGGGGAAAGTGGTCCTGCTGGGCAAGCCAGCAGGTAGTCTGAACATTGGAGATGGCTGAACTGTGTACAGGTCAGCCATCTCCAGTCCCCCAGATTCAGGGGGAAACAGTGGGGTTGTTTTCACAGCTGTCGGTGACAACATTGAGATTCACATCCACTCTGCACTGCTCTTAATGTCCTTAAAGACCACAAGGCAGGGTACACGTTGTTTCACGCGTGCAATCCCATCAGTGGTTCTTGTTATTACCCCATCACTTGGGAACCACTGAACTGGATCAAAGGAAAGACAAAGCGTAAGTGTGTGCACATGTCTAGGCATCCAGATCATCCAGGCTTTAAGGGAACCATGAAATCCCTAAAAAGATGGTGGCAGGGGCTGTGTGTGTGGGGAACTGAAGTGTCCCTGCCTGAGGGCACGAACAGTGTCTCTACAACACGTGTGGTCCATGGTAACATATCTGTTGTACTGAAGATTAAAGGAGGTGGTGTATTTGAAAGTACCTAAAGGGCCTGGTAGATCAGTCTTGTGTGTCTTGAAAGATCGGGGAGAACTGGCTTACTAGGGGTTTGAAAATGACACGTGTGGGCCCTTTTTCGGGGCAGAGGGTTTATAGCCATCACCAGATTCCTAAAGGGATCTGGGATTAAAAAGAACAAATGACTCTCGCAGGCCCCAAACAGGAGGCCTGGCTGTGCTCTGAGTGGGAGACCATGGGGAATGTTGGCTGCCCCCTGCCCAGCTGTGCAGGGGAGCTCAGCAGGCCCCTTCCACAGAGGGATTTGGCCAGCTGGACCAACCACCCAAGCCCTGGCCTGCACGGCCACACTGACCTGGCACCACAGGCTCTCCTCGGTGTCGTACTGGTAGTCATCTATGAACGGGTGGATCTCACGCACAGCCTGGACCCGGCGCTCCATGGCCTCGGGCCCCTGGGGCTCCTGGCTGTGGGTGGGTTTCCGGGGCTGCGTCAGGAGGGCGGGAAGGGACGGGTCCTCCTCAGTGCCTAAGCCCACCTCTTCATCTTGCTCTTGGGTCTTTCGAGCACCTTCCCTGTGGGGATTTCGTTCCTCCTGCATGTCTTCATCGTCGTTCTCCTCGCCCTCCCTCTCCTCCTCTTCCTCACTCTCATAATCAACCTGGCAGAAAAGGGAGCACAGGCTGTGTCACTTGGGGACCCACCATCTACCTGGACTCTGCCTGTGGAACAAAGACCCCTGCAAAGCCTTGGCTGGCCTGGGCTACCTAGGCCCCACCTGCTCCACACTCCCGGCTCCTCTGCTCCGGCCTGGTTGGTCTTTCTTCTTCCTTTTGCCTTGAGAATGCCACCTCTCTGTCCCCCTGAGCCCCTCACAGAGGTGGAGCTCACCCTCACTCAGCCCTCACTGGTGTACCTGCTCACCGGTAAGTTCCCTCGGCCATTATGACAGCAGGAGACTGGTTTGTGGGAGGAGAGAGAGGTATATTTTCATTGTAAAAACCAGAGGCAGCCTGACTTTTTCTTGCCAGAAGCCTGTCTGGATCCTTGAGTCCGATTTAAGTCCAGGGATGGCCACATCTAAAAGGCAGCCCTGGAGTGGACCTGTGCCAAATTCCCACCCTATGAACCCCATCTTCTCAAGAGAGAGGTATGCTGGGCAGGCAGGTGCTGCTTCAGGGTTCCTTGTGGGTTCATGACACAGAGGTGTGGCCTGGGTGCCGGGAGATAATCCCTCCAGGTTAACAGGGAAGGGGGCTGGGACCACAGCTCCTTCACCCCACACAGGGTCTCTCACCTCCTCCTCCTGCTTCTCCTTGCGTTTGGCATCAGAGGCATCGGCGTCCCCCTCCTCAGCTTCAGCATCCACAATGTGCCCCTCCTCTTCCTCATCACCCTCCTGCTCTCCCTGTGGTTTGTGGGCAAGGAAGAAAAAGATTAACTCCAATATCTAGTGCTCAGTGAATCCATCCATCCACCCACCAACCCATCCATCCATCCATGCCCCACCCTTCTAACCCCTTCTCCCATCCAGCCACCACCCTCCATCCACTGCCACCCAACCCAACCCGTCTACTGGCATCTACTCTGTCCAGTCCCAGAACCCAGGCCTCCTTCCCTTCAGTCTTCATCTTTACATGCACCACTTACTTGCAAAGTTTCATTCCCAAAAATTAAAAAAAAAAGTGCCAGGACTTGCTTTCTTAGAAGAAGATGGTGTCAAATATTGTTCCAAATATTTTTGATCAAACCCAGTTGCAGGTGGGGATGAGAAGGAAGGGTTATCTTGTAGAATACTGAGTATCTCTTCCTTTCTCCTCCTGAACTTGGCTCCTAGTTTTTTATACTCTCCTTCTGGGTGAATTAAGAATCAAGACCAGGCAGCATTCTAAAGATAGTCCACACCCGCTTGTGCTTGAGTGAGCTAGCAGGTGAACTCACGGAGCAGGAGAGACCTAGCATTTTCCCTGGTGTAGGCCAGCCCCTCATTTTAGGGGTGAGAAGACAGACCCAGAGAAGGGTGACACAACTGAGACCACAGAGCTGGTTGGGGGTAGTCCCAGTCCACATCATCCCCAACCCAAGCAGGCTGGCTGCTGGCTCAGATGGCACCCAGGGACCTGCTCCCACACCACCCTCAGGTCTGGCCTGCTCCTGGGTCTCCTGGCAGATATCTGATTATTTATTCCTGGACTATTTTGCTCCTACTGGTTTTTTCCCTCTTCCCCTTTTTGTCACTGCAGCCCAACTTCTCTGCTTCCAGATACCTCTCTGGTCCCTGCCAGTGCCCTGGTGGGCCTCAGTTCATCTTGCCTGGGCAAGTCGAAGGCAGAGCCAAAGGAAACCGGAAAAAGAACTTTCAAAGGCTCAGCGCACGCCATGACCTCGAGTCCCTCCTCAGGATGAAGACCACTTACAGCGGGCTCTTGGAGAGCAGAGCTATGATGCGGAGGCCTGCCCCGGGGCTGGCTACACCATGCTGCCTGGCAGCCTCGCTTGCCTGGCCCATCAGGCCAAGAAGTGAATGCTGCTTCTGGGCTCTCAGAACAGCAGGTAAAAGCTGAGATAGGTAGGAGATGGGCCAGCACCAGGATGGGGCTGGAGGAGCACAGAGAATAGGCACAGAGCCTGCCCAGTCTGGGGGCTGTCCCTGTGCAACTCTAGTGACCCCCGGGGACTCACTCACCCGACTCCTCCCCAACTCCCCAGCGTTGTCCAGATCCCGCTGTGTAGCTCTTCGAGTGTTTACGTTCCTGAAAGCTGATGCTTTATTATTCTTCTTTTTGATGGATTCCATCAGAAGTTTAAAGAATCTAAAACAAGAAGAAAGCCAAAAAGCCCTGTGCAGTACCAGCATGTCCAGCCCTACCCTCATTTGGGGGATAGGACGCTGAGGGATTCCCACAGGGGATCAGTGCACGAGATGGAGGCCCAGCCTCTCCTAGCCACTCACTTGTCCCTACCCGCTGTTTTGGAACCGTCTCTGGCGTATCAGGAACACCGGTTCCACAGTCCAACAGGCCTGGTCTCAATAGGTGCACTGCCACTCCCGGGGTATGAGTAGGACAGGCAGCTTCCTCAGCTTTAAGCCCCATTGTCTAGAAAATATGGGAATTACTACGTATTCTGCAATCTTGTTTGCTAATGATGAGAAACAACCCTATGTCTGATTCCTCTCACAGCGCCTGGCAGAGTGCGTGCTTGGTGAAGGACAGTTGTAGGTGCCGCTGTGGTCGTCCTCTAACAAGGAAGGCAGAATCTACTGTAGGAGAGGGGAACCCCACCCAGGACTAGGACCTTCCCCTGCCCACAACCTGCAGCATCTCCAGAAGGTGGTGTTGCTCTGGCCAGAGAACTCCCTTGGTGTGGGAGCCCCGGCAATGTGACGAAAGAACGAGGACTTCGGAAGGGCTCATCAAAATTTCGAAGGGCAGAGATAACTTAGCTTGTGGCAATGAATCGTGTCAACAAGTTAGAACCACACCAATTTAAAAGAACCAACCTGAAGCTCAGAACCTGGCCCCCTGCCACTTCCTCCAGAGCCATCTATTTTTAGGGCCTCTTAGGATCCACCCTGTCCCCTCCATACCACTTCTTTCCTCATGTAACCCCCTGCCTGTCTTTTCCAACAGGCCAGAATAGCACACCAAAAAGGGCTGCTTGTGACTGTGAGAATCGGGTCCCTCACACATCCAGCCAGCCGTCCCACTTTCTCTGAGCGCCTATACTGTGCCCAGCATGTGCCAGCCCTGGTGGCAAAGCAAGGACGAAAAGACAGACTCCAGGCCCTCAAGGAGCTTAGAGTCTTCATTTGAAAAAGTAGGCAGGTCAAATGTATACTATTTTGCTCATTAAAAACAAAAGAATGCCACTCATCTTCCCTAATATTATTATTATTAGTTCCCCCCACCGTCCCGAGATGGAGTCTCTCTATCCCCCAGGCTGGAGTGCAGTGGTGCGACCTCGGCTCACTGCAACCTCCGCCTCCCGGATTCAAACGATTCTCATGCCTCAGCCTTCTGAGTAGCTGGGATTACAGGCATGCACCACCATGCCCGACTAATTTTTCTATTTTTAGTAGAAACGGGGTTTCACCATGTTGGCCAGGCTGATTGTGGACTCCTGACCTCAGGTGATCCACCTGCCTTGGCCTCCCAAAGTGCTGGAATTACAAGGGTAAGCCACTGCACCCAGACCCCAATATTATTTTTTAACTTTTTAAAGGTGTACGTGGTTTGCCCTTGGCAGAAAAAAAAGCCCCCTCATCCATTAATCCAGAGAAGAGCTTGTTTACCAGGCACTGGGGACAGGAACAGGATAGCCAGATGAGAGAAGGCCGGGCTTGACTTTAGAAAGATACAATCCCACTGGAAAGAGGGGGTGGGAGAGATGTTTCTGTAAGGACAGGTTCAGGTTAAAGTCCTGACCTGCCACAGACTGGAGAGGAGGGCCTTGATCTCATCTGCAACATGGGATCACTCTCACTCTGCACCCGAGGCTACTGTGCAGAGCAGAGGAGATGGAATGAGGCGGAGTGGGGGTGCGGGGCTCAGCTGCTGCCACACACAGGGCTGCTTCCCTCAGCTGGGCGCCCCAGCCTGTCTCAACTTGTGGCAATGTCACGGCTCTGATGCTTTTGCCCCCAGCATTTCACATCTGGCCTCAACTCTAACTGCCCATCTGCTCCCTCCACCCTGTGCACCCTTTGGGCCTTTGCTTGAGCGGCTCACTCTGCCAGTAACTTCCCTGGCCAATATCTACCTACTGAAGCTGTACTCATCCTTCAAGGCCAGGCCTCAGCAGCTGTAACTCCTCCAAGAAGCCCTCCCTGATTCCCCCAGTTGGGGATGCCTTCTGCCTTCCCTGCCTCTTTTGGTGACCAGGACTTGTGGAGAACGTAGGAGGGAAGGAGGTGAGAAGGCAGAATGAATGGCTGGTGAGTAAGTGGTAGGCATGTGACCAGTGTGCCAGTTTTCCTGGAGGTGCAATTTGCCCTTCTATGGTTTTGCCAAGAGCAGGGGAACTAACGGCCCACAGTGACTGCCTTCTCAAGGTTGTGCAGCTCACCTGAATGTAGCAACAGAAAGGGAACAGGAGGGGCAGGGGCAGAGAAGCCTCCCGTCCCACGTAAATAATTACAAACAGAGCACATGACCCCTGGCGGTTTCTGAACGCGCCTGGCAACAGCTCCACCACCTGCTGTTTGGAAAGTCAGATTCACAGAAGCTACAATTACAGACTGTCAGCTGGGTCTTTTCATGGCTGGGGACCGGAGGCCAAAACTTACAGCCCCTAACTCCTAGCTCAGTGCTCTTTCCACTTCATCTCCCCTGCCACCTGCCAGACAATTTACACAAACAGCCCATGTGATGGGTGCCAGTGCAGAGATCTGGGGGGCCTTCTACGCTTGTATATCTCTACCTAGGGAACCATCTGTCTCGTGCTGTTTTTCTCCAGGCTCTGTCAAGGGTCTCATGACTCCACAGCTGGGAGAAGGGAGGGTGGGGGCAAAGAGAAAGAAAAAGAGGGTGGCAGAGAGGAAGGAAGGGGGAGGGATGGGAGAAAGGAAGGAGAAAAAGCTTCTTGGGGGTTGGCTGCTCTTTTGAAAGTGCACTCACACTTCCTCCCATTTCCTGTGGGCGGCCAGAGGCCTGAACACAGCTGCTCTGCTGCCTGGGGCCTGACAAAGGGAGTCCAGACCGCACCCAGCTCATCCACTGCCCCATCTTTTAGCTCTGCCTAACCCCTCAGCCCCATTCTGCTGAGTCCTTGAGGCCACCTCCACCAAAAGCTACTGCGCATGGCTTTATTTATCACAGATTTTCAAGTTCACAAGCAAAACACAGGGAGGAGTTGAAAAAGTACTTCACGGCTGGGAACAAGCCAGGGCTGTCCCTCATCAGGAAGAAGTCTTAAAAAGTGATTTCCTATTTTCAATTCCATGAGGTAATATAAGTAAAAAGAACCCCAGCATGGGCTGGCGCCAGCCTCATGCCGACCTACCTGCTGGGCTGGCCTGGGCCTCCTGTGAACAGAACTGGGGCAAAACATCTAACTCCGTCCACCCTTAGTTATTCTCTAGAGGCCATGAAATCTGAATTCCCATTTCCCAGAAAACCACTGCCAGGCCAGCACAAACGCCCCCTGCACTTGGTAGTTATGTTCCTCGCTGTTAATTAAGGAGCTGGCAGGCGGGTG
Source organism: Homo sapiens (assembly GCF_000001405.40). Taxonomy (NCBI): domain Eukaryota; kingdom Metazoa; phylum Chordata; class Mammalia; order Primates; family Hominidae; genus Homo; species Homo sapiens. Next base: position 86,037,173 of record NC_000002.12, read on the forward strand.
CACACAGCACTCCCCTGCCACTCTGCCCAGTGCCCAGATAGCACAGAGGACCACTCGACAGAAGGAATGTTCTCAGCCCAGGCTGGCACCAACGCAGGTGCTCCTGAGGCCCAGCCAACAACAACTTCACCCAGGGCTCGTGAACTGGGGCAGGAAGCACCTGGCCAGTGACCCCCGTCCAAAGGACTGAGTTCACATCCAAGCTCCTCCACCCCAAGACCCACCATCCCAAATGCCACCTGCACAGAGGGCTGGCTCGAGGCCAGGCCCCATAAGGTGAGAGGGCAGAGGGCTGAGGGCAGAAAAGTCGTACTGTGTTGCCCACGCCTGCCCCCGTGACTCAGCGACGAATGGGCATGGCTCAGTATGTGTTTGTGGGATGGCTGAGTGCAGGGAGCTTTCTGCTTCTGCTCTGTCATTGCTTCTCTATCTGAGCAGCTCCCAGAAGACCAAGAACTGGTCTAGATTAGAGGCAGTGGTCAGTGGCCTGTGGCCAGATCCTGCAACAGATGAGAACCATCTGGGCCTTACTGGGCTTTTAAAAACACATGAATTAGTTGCTGATGTTTAAAAGTCAGGAGACCTCAATTATATAAAAGCAAAGGCAAGTAAACAAGTGACCCAAGAAAGAAAAAAACGTAGGGGGTGGGAAGCTTGTTTTCTTTCTTTTTAAATCAAAAGATGTGGCCCCCCGGGCCTCCATTCCTGCATAGTAACAGGTGCCCCTTGAGACAGGTTCCACACTCTTCAGTCTGCCGGGGGCCTCCAAGCCTGCTTCACTGGCCTGTCACCTGCTGGGCTATGCAGCCTTTTTGTGTTCACACTTCACCGTCTAGGGTTAGCTGGTGAGTCAAAAATGCTTCGTGGGCTCTTCCAGTCTTGCCCCAGTCCCCAAAAAGCCCATCCTCCTGCTCCCCGGAACTCAGCATTGTGGCCTCTGCTTTTCAAATATCTAACAGTAACTTGAACTTGAGACAAAAGTTCCTTTTCCCTACTGGACAGGAACTCGGGACAGGAACTCGAATTTCTCTGGAGGCAATCCTGGTTATAGAATGGAGATCTAACAGCAGCGTGCCACCCGCACATTGTTCATTATTCACAGAATCTAAATGCATCAGGAACCACATTATACTGCCTGCAGTAACACCCTAGCAAACATTAACAGCATGTGCTGCTCCGACACCACAGAAGCACCGCTTTGATGGTGCTCCCTTCTCTTTACCACACCCACATTTCCATGTCTTAATGCCTGCAAGCCCCAGAAGACAACAATCCTGACGTCAACCCAAGAGAAGAAATGGGCTCAGGGAGTGACGTGTGGCTAAGAAAGTCATACCCACAAGCCAGACTGTGGTCAGGTTTCCAGATCAGGCTGCAAGGCCCTCTGCTTCCTAAACACTTCCCTTGAAGGGCTCATTTGGGCAAAGGCACTCAATCTCTAGGAGCCTTGTGGCTAGGTGCTTCCTGCCCCAGTTCAAGCGCATTCTCTGGGTCAAGGTCAATGACAATCACAGCCTGAGCCCTGACCTTGTTTCCATGAAGCGCAGGATGTCCTCGGGTCTCAGGCACTTCTCCTGCTGGTAATATGCATGTGGCAGGAACTGAAACCGCAGCTGGTACACCTGGAATTTGTTCTGTTTTTCTTCCATACAGAAGGACTCCTGGACGTCAATTTTCTGCAACACCTGGAACCAGACGGACAGAGAGAACTTGACTTGTTCAGGTCCTAGGTGACTGCGCAATGTGAGTGGGTTACGAGACCCAAGGGTTTACAGAGATAGCAGCTGAGACCACAGGCCAAACCCCAAAGAAACCCTGGTGAGCTATACTGGTGTGGATCTGCTGGGGGGCCCACAGCCTGCAGTCACCTCCAGAGAGTGGCCTGAACCTCCTAGGAGTGGCCTCAGCAGAGCGGGTAGGCAAACTCAGGAAATGGTTTATTTTTCAGGCACAGGAGGATGCTGTGGAACTAATGACTCTCTTAAAAGCTTCCTGATCCATCTCTGCTCAGCACCTGGCAGAGACAGCTTATCTCTCATTGGTGGGAATCTGAGCCTAGGGTCAGAGCAGTAAGCAAAGCCTGTTCTTCACACATGGGGAGGATATAGGAACATGCCTTCACCCCGTCTGCAACCTGGGAAGGAGAGACGTTACCTCCCCCAAGCACACCCTGGTGAGTTGCTTCTTCAGGCTTTTCACTCTCTTCAGGGCTTTCTTGGTGTTGAGCACGGGCACGCTCATCATGGGTGTCTTGATGTTGGCGCTGGCCACCATGAGAATCTCCCGCAACCTGTCACAGAATAAGGGCACATCCAATCATGAGTGGCAACCAGACCTTCTGTTTGGGTGCAGCTTCTCCTAATGATGTCAGAGTTCTTTTGGAATCTGAGAGAGGCCTGGGGATCTCACAGGGATAATATGCTAGATCAGAGAATCCCAGCTCTGGCCTCGTGTGCAACAGTAAGGGACTCCCCTGTCAGTTTCCTCCCTGGAGGGCCCACTCCTTGTGCTCAGGGCTTTGTCTGATTCTTGTTTCCTATCACCTGTGCCTTGCAAACAACAGGTGCCTGCTGACGCTTACTGAATGAACAAGCGATGCAGGGAAGGCAACTAGCACCCACAGTGCTCCTGCTGAGCTCAGCCAGCCCTCACTGCCTGGATGTATAGTGGGTCCCAGCCTCTGGCCTTCCACAGAAGGACCCCCTGAGGTTTGGAAAGTGAGGTACCTGTCCAGAGTCTTTCTGCTAGAAAAAGGCAGGGCCAGGGACTGAATGCAGATGGGTCTGACCCCACACTCATTCCCCTTGTCCAGCACATATATTTACCTGAAGGGCCAGGGCCCAGGGCCACGTGGGGGCACGTTCTATGTGAATGGCTCCCCTGGAGTTGGGCAACCAGGCACCTTGTGTGGGGCTTGTTAACAATGTACGTTCCTGAGTCCTTCCCCCAGCAGTGTGCAGTCTCACAGGCATCCCCAGGAACGTGGATGCAGGAGTTGGCAGAGGAATAAATGGAGATCCTACCAGGCCTGGGCACCAAAGAAACCAGCTGGGCTCTGGAAATTCTAACCCTGATCCCCACTTTAATGAGACCCTGTCCCTCTCTCACACAGACACACTCTCTCATTCACACACACTCACTCACCCCCTCTCATTAAATGGCCCCTTCTCCAGGAGAGGCTAGGACAGACCCCACCCTGTGCTCCCTTGTGCCCCACACCTTGGAATGCCCAGGGTGACGTTCATCTCGCCTCTGCCTGCAAAGTGGAAGGTGTTGAGGGTCATCTGGGTGGAGGGCTCTCCGATGCTCTGGGCAGCCAGCAGGCCCACAGCCTCGCCCGGCTCACACAGTGAGCGCTGCCACTTCAGCTGCAGCAAGGTCCTCAACCTAGAGACGGTGGTGGGGGGTCAGGGTGGGGGTTGTGGCAGGGGTCAGGAGCAGACACCACAGACTGTCAATGCTGCCCGAAACCAGAAAACTGAAACCTCTACCTCTTTCTGGACTCGTTTTTCCTAGGCAAAAGATCCCTCTAATCTTCAAATTCCCACCAGTGACCCTGAGATGTCCTCAAATTACACAGCACAGATCCCAGCTGGGTGGCTGAAGCTCTAGACATTCATGCTTGGACTCCTCATGTTTGCCCCCAGAATGTCACATATCCACTCTGGGACTGTTACCACAAGCCCCCTAAGCAGGAGAATTTCTGGGTTCATTATTCACTTTTTCCTTTATCCATTCTTTCTTCTCAATTATGACAATTTGGAGACAGTTTAAACCTCCTGCTATAAAAATTAGAAAGAGGTTCACTAGGCCATTATGGGGATGGGGGTGATGAGAGTGTTTATATTTTTAGTTAGTGCAAATGGCTGCAGACCACATCAGAAGTATTCATGCCGCACGATTCTGTAATTTACTAACCATTTTTCCTATGAAGCCTGACCCTGTTAAGAACAGCCACTAGGAGCGCTGAGCTACACTGTGTGTGTGTGTGTGTGTGTGTGTGTGTGTGTGTGTGTGTGCGCGCTGAGCTACAGTGTCTGTGTGTGTGTGTGTGTGTGCTGAGCTACAGTGTCTGTGTGTGTGTGTGTGTGTGTGCTGATCTACAGTGTCTGTGTGTGTGTGTGTGTGTCTGTCCTAGTCCAAGCTGAGGCCTTCAAATGGGAACCCAAAGCTCAAAGGTGTGTGTGTGTGTGCGCGCGCGCGCTGAGCTACAGTGTCTGTGTGTGTGTGTGTGTGTGTGTCTGTCCTAGTCCAAGCTGAGGCCTTCAAATGGGAACCCAAAGCTCAAAGGATTACTGGAGTAATCGGATCCAAGGCCTCATGAGAAGTTAAGACCTGGTGTCCCTGGGCATGAATGACCTGCCCTGGGTCACACGGTTGGCAGCAGGTGAACAGTGACCAGATTCCCTGACTCTCAGTCAGCCCCACCCACCACACCAAACCCAAGAGAGCAGACTTTCCTGCAAGCCTCCCAGCAGACCACTATCCCTATCTTGGCCCAGATGGGGGTGTCCACTCCTGCCTCCCTTGCACTTGTTCACTCCTGGGCCCTTGGGGCTTGTGCGTTGCCCCTGGCTGTCTTACTGCCCTCCCTCTAGCTGAAGTCTCAAACCCAGGAGGCAGCCCTCTTCCGGAGTGAGTAGGGCAGGGGCTAGGAGGCAGGGGCTAGGAGGCAGATTCTCCTGCACATGTTGTGCAACAAATCACTGTCAATACCTGTCGAGAGAAAGCTCTGATTTCTCATAACTCTTCTCTGTTTGAGCTGCCCACTCTTGACTGTAGTCATCAACCTTTGTTTCAAATGTTTCTGACACTGATGCAAAGTAGATGTCAGGACGCCAGACAGACAGACTGGGGTCAGGACAAGCGGCCGCCTTCTTCTGGTATTTCCTTCGGCTTTCCTCATCCAACTCATACCACATCCTCAGCATCTGAACAGAAGGATGGGTCTCAGCTATGTGGGAGGGATACCCAGTAGCATAAGAGGGATCAAAAGCATTGGCTTCCAATGAGAATAAAGGGAGACAGAAAGAAACCTGATTGCAATGAGAAACCATCTCCCCATTTAAAATGGGGAGAGACTTCAACCTGTCCTAGGGCACCCTGCTTGACTATAAGCCTAGCAGCTCTTCATCCTGGCCCATTCAAGCCCAGGGAGGGCAAGCATGTAATTTACTGAGCAAACTGGGCTTCTTTTAGAGTGAAACAGGAGACTGTTATGATTAGGCTAGGACAAGAGGCAAAGCCACGACTGTCTCAGGCCAGCTAGGATGCAGTCACTGTGCTGGATCCATGGTTATTTCTGGATCCAGGCTCTTTCACACGCTCTGTGCCCTCAAGGCTGTCCCAAAGTGACTGCTTCAAAGAGATCCCCTGCTTCCAGCTCCCAGGTGTGCTTGGCTGATGGGAGGCACCAGCAGCAGAGGGAAAGGCAGGAGGAAGGGGATCCTGGTATTTATCCTCAACCCCCCTCTAGTGGGTCTCTACCCAGGGCTCTGTCCAGTGGCCCTAGCACATAGTCGTCCTCTCCGTTTCTCATGACTGCTCCCCATTCCTTCACACCTGGGATCGCGGGGAACCCCGAAGTCACAGGCCCCAGTTAGTCCCCCCAAACCCTGCCTACACCCTTGTTAAGAGTCCCCACCTTACATTCCCATTTGAGAGCCATTCTGTTCTGACTGACGGTGAACAAAGCTGGAGTTCATGATTCTACCTTCTCTTAGGAAAACAGCCCCTCATCCCTCACCCACTGACTAAGCCTGGACGTGCTGGACATTAAGGACACCACCTCCCTGCATCACCTCCTGAGTCCCAGGGCTGCGGCCATTGCGGTTTTCACTCTCAAGTTTCAGGGCTTTCACAGCTTCCTGAATTTTCTGGGAATAACTCAAGAAGGCGCCTCTTCTCAGCAGGGTGTTGGGGTGCTTGCTTTGCCATTTTTTGATAGCTCTGAAGTGGTGGAGAGCTTTTTTGGGATCTGCTCTGGATAAAACTTCATGGAGATGCTGTGATTTCATTATCACCTAAACAAACAAACAAAAAAACAAACAAACAAATCACACACATGAGATCAAAGAGATGAGGGCGTGACAAGAGGGCCATGGAGCACAAATTCAGGGGACCCAGGTGGCTGGTGTGGAGCCCTCATGATGGGGCCGAGCACCACTCTCAGAGAGGCTGAGCATCCATTGTTAATCAGGGCCCTCACTTTGTGCAAACCAGATTTGGGAACCAATGGTCTTGGGAGCAGAGGGAGACACAGGAAAGAAAGCAGCACACTCAGAGCCCCTCCAGGAGCACAAGGGAGTTTCTGGGAAGAAAGGAAGAGGGGAAGAGTGATGGCCAAGCTCAGGGATAGGAACCAGGATGGAAAGGACTCAGCACCAGAGCACAACCCTCAATTCTACCATCAGCTTGATGACCTTAGACAGGTCACATCGGTTTCAGTTTCCCTATCTGCAAATGGGGTGACTGCCCAGTCAACAGTGATGGTCACTACAAGGGCATTAAGGTATACAATGAAAATCATGAGTTTGTGTCTGACGGGCCCATGTTCAAATGCTGGCTCTGCCACTCACCGACTGTTTACTTATGCTTTGATACTCAGTTGCCTCAGCTGCAAAATCGGCAGAGTAATGCCTACTTCCCTGGGTTGCAGTGAGGAGGAAAACGGATAGTATTGATAGTGTGCTTTAGCTGAGGGCCCAGCACACGGCAAATGGCCCCAAAGAGTAGGTATTATTCCAGAGGTGCTCGTGCCCTCCAGCCACCTCAAGTGATGAAAGTTCACAGGCTTTGAAATTGTCAAGTGTTTCAGGGCACTGACCGGTGTCTTATAAACCCTTCCCACTCTACTTTCCAATGGCCACTTGGACTGGGTTGCAAAGCTCAGCGCATTCCAGTTCTCTAACCTCGGTGGGGGAGGCCTACTGCTCGGCCCCCAGGCTCCGGGATCTAGCACACTACCTCGTAGTTGCTGGCCAGGAAGGGGAACTGCTTGGGCTGCAGGAACTGTGTCTTGGGGATGTCCAGGCCATCCTCCCCATACAGGAACTGCACCACACTGCCGTCACTGTCACGGACCGTGAGATCATACTGCACGACCAGCCCCTCTAGGTGCTTGATGATGCACCTGTAAGGACACCATCGGCTCAGTCCCCGCCGGCCCATCACCTCCCCAGGGCAGCCTCTGATGAGGGTTGGGGGCAGTGGAGGGGAGGGAAAGGGGGGCTCCTGTTCTGCAGGCAAACAAGACTTCAGAACAGGCTAGATCCAATGCCCCGGGGTCTGGGCTTGCTCCAGTGTCCCCCAGCCAGGGGCTGCATTTCCTGATGGTTTTCTAGGAGGAGGAGGCTGCAGCCATGTTACTGAGCAGCTTGGCTGCCACCCCTAGACCTGGGCTCCCATCTAGCCCCAGCTGCTGAGATGACTGTCTGCCCCTACACTCTCCCACAATGCAGAGCTCCCCAGAGACCAGTGTCCTTAGAACCAAAAGACGGGCGAAGCAGGGGAGCTGTCAAGGATTCTCAAACTTGGTCAGCCCAGGGATTGCCAAGGACACTAAGGGGTATTGGGAACCACATGCTGATGTGAATCCCTCCACTGGCGGCCTTTCTCCTCAGTTTTATCTCAACTTCTTCTGCTCTCTGCCCTGGTCCTAGCCCCTTTGCTTACCTCTCCGGACACTCTGCCTAGGTTTCCCCTCCTGCCACCCTAACAGTGGGCTTCCCAGCAGTCACTGTCCCTCCACCCCAAGCTGTGGGGACAGAGCTCAATGTTAGTCACTACTGTCTTGGCAGCTGAGCCTTCTAGGAAGCAAGATAAGCTTGCCACTGCCCAAGACCTTCTCCCACAGCCATAGCTTCCCCCAGGGAATGGCAGACCCTCAGAACACAGAGCCCTTGGTATAAGCCTCTGAGCTCATGCTCTACCGATCCTGCGAAGGGGAACAGTGTTTGCTGCTTTCTGTCTCAGGCCATTCATGGAAACTTTCCAAAAGTTTTTTCATCCAAGGAATCTTAAATGAGCTGCTGATATAATGTGAAAGATGATGGCAGGAAGGGCCCTGGCACTCTACCTCAAGGGGCACGGCAGATACATTTTACCTTTGGAGATAGCCTGAGCGGCTGGTTTTCACAGCAGTGTCCACCAGGCCCTCTCGTCCTGCCATGCAGTGGAAGAAGAACTCCTGCAGAGAATGGGACCCAGGTCCCAAAGGTGACAGTGAGGACAGTGCGCTTCCTGAAGGGCTCAGGCCAACACCTCCAGCAGCCTTTCCTGACCAGACAGGCCACTCCCTTCCCTGATCTCCTAGGACTTTTTGACCTCGACAGCTACAATAGCCCCCAGTGTCTTCTGCCCTACCCTGTAGGGCAGTCATAGTTCACCTACAATTAAGCCTAGAAATGAGGGAAAAAGCTAAATGGAAAAACCAAAATACATACAGGAGGTTTGATGCCGGTGAGGAACCTGCCAGTGACAAAGCCACCAGCCCTGGGGGTGAACTCATAAGGCTCAAAGCAGGGCAGTGACTTGCCAGACGCCATCAGCGGGGGTCTCCGACCTTCCAGTTCAATCTGGCCCAGCAGGCACGAGATCTGGAGGACAGGAAATCCACAGGAAACTGAAGATCCACATGTGTGTTTAACAGTGCTTTGTCCCAGCAGGGAAAGTATAATCTGACCTTGAAGAAAAGCTGCATGGAAACCGAGTTCTTGAAGGCTAACCTACATTTCTAAACAAACCAGGAAGCCTTCATTTTAAGAAAAAAAAAATACCTTCCTTTGGTTGACTGATCTGGATTTTCACATTTGGGGTCAGTTGAAAATGGGTGCTCTCTATAAAAAGAGCCATGTCTCAGAACCATCTCATGTTATACCTGTAAAGGACTGGAGGGTCCTGATGGGGAAAGAGAGGCCTGCAGGAAACAGCCATTTATTGCGATCCTCACATTCTAGAGCCAAAAGGGAACTCAGGGCCGGGTGTGGTGGCTCACATCTACAATCTTAGCACTTTGCGGGGCTGAGGCAGGAGGATCCCTTGAGCCCAGAAGTTTGAGACCACCCTGGGCAATACAGGGAGACTCTGTCTTATTTTCAATTAAAAACAAAACAAAACAAAACACAACAACAACAACAACAAAATGGGAACTCAAGCTATTGAGCTATTTGCTTAGAAAGCTGCCTGTTAATACTCTTGGCGTGTTGGAGGAGAGCAGTATATCTAGGTTTCGATGTAGTCAGGGGATTTCCTAACGGCTTTCGGCCTTTCTGTTGTCACACTCAACAGACAATGGGGTGGGCCTTTAGACCCTCTCAAGGTCACCAAGGTTTAAGGTTAAGAAATCTCTAGGACAATGTTTATGTTTATAATTTAATATTATGAAAAGATCGGCCAGGTGCGGTGGCTCATGCCTGTAATCCCAGCACTTTGGGAGGTCGAGGTGGGCAGATCACGAGGTCAAGAGATTGAAAGCATCCTGGCCAACATGGTGAAACCCCGTCTCTACTAAAAATACAAAAATTAGCCAGGCATGGTGGCGCATGCCTGTAATCCCGAGAGGCAGGAGAATCTCTGGAACCTGGGAGGCAGAGGTTGCAGTGAGCCAAGATTGCGCCACTGCACTCCAGCCCGGTGACAGAGCAAGACTTCATCTCGAAAAAAAACGAAAGAAAGAAAGAAACAATCATGCAAAATTACGTAAAAATTGTGTGAGTATACATAATTTATCTATATAACGTGAATATATGTAATAGTACAGTTTGTAAATTTGTAATATATATCTACGTTATACATATCCCATCTGCATATTCATAACTACATCTGCCTTTAACATTGGCATGTTAACAGTGGTTAGCTCCTGTAGTGATTTCTACACGCTTTCCTCTTTTTACTTGTCATGTTTTATAGGGAACAAACTGAAACCACCTCCTGCTATCCCCCACCTGCCTTTGCTGACACCTGTAAAGCTGCCAACCCGCCTCTGCACATACCTGCATCGTGTTCACAGTTGAACCTTTGGCTCCCGACTGCACCATCATCTGCAGGCTGTTCTCTGGGAACTGTCTGTGTAGGCCAAAAGGCATGCATGCCTGCAGATTAAATCAGCACAGTGGTCAGTGACTTCACCTTCTTTAAAAATCCCAGAATCAGGATGTAAATCCAGGAAGCAGAAGCAATACAGCCAGAATATTTATTCAGACCTAAGTACCAAATCCCACTCGAGGTAAGAGAAAGCCTCATTCAGCATTAATCCTTCCCTGGAACCCCTGAGAGGTCAAACAGGTGCTCCCTGCCCTGCACTCGCTGGACTTCCTCTGCCAGGATCCCCGAGGTTTCATTCATTGGCCAAAGAGCAGCAAAAAGGGAGAAGGAAAAGGAGAAGTAGAGGGGCTGGCAGATCCAGTTCGTGATTCTAAAAAGAAGCTGGAGAAGAATAAAATTTAAGGTGATGCCCTTGATTCGCCCAGCAGAGCCTGGCCTGGGTCCTCTCCCAGCGTGAATACCAACATCCGCATCATGTCACATTTACGAACATGCCACCCAAGCCCCATGTAGGAAGCTCTGTCTTGGCTCAAGAGCCAGCAGAACCAAGCATGCCCCTTCAGGGGGATCCTGGGGAGATGCTGAGAAGGGGGCTCTGAGTCTGGGGCTTCTAGCCTGTGCCTGGAATTCCACAGACTTGGCCCAACACAGGAGAGGCAGAGCCTGGGTGGGCGGAGGTGGTGGGAAGAGGGCAACTGGAGGGACAAGAAACCATTCTGAGATGCATCTGAAGACAACTTCCCTACTCCTAGCATCCCCAGTCAGCCCTAGAAGCTGAGCTTCCTGGTTCTCAGGGAGGTGCTAGGAAAGCTCCTGTCAACAAAACCCCTCAAGGATGGAACCTGTCCCCATGAGAAGTCGGTCTTCTCAGCAGCCTAAGGGATGCTAAAAGCCAGGCAAGAGAGCACTACAGACGAACTTTGACTTTTGATGAGTGTTGGCATTGCCTCCTCCTCCCCACTCCTCAGGCTGGGCCCCAGGGCCCAGGAGGCAGGGTGAGGGCCAGGCCAGCTCCTCCAAGCAGCAGGATGGAGAACCCTGGCTCTGGGGCAGAAAGGCAGAGAAAAGCAGGCTGTGGTTTCAGCTCATGCAGAGATTTCCCCTCTCCTTTCTCAACTGCCCAGGAACTGGCTTGGCATTGTGTACTAGTAGCTCCTGAAGCCTCTCTGCAGCCCTGTGAGGTGGTGCCCCTCACAGCCCCACTTCCAGGTGAGGAAACCAAGGCAGGGACTGGTTATCTCACTTGCCCAAGGTCACACAGCAAGTTCAAGGCAGAGCCAGGACTGGAACCTGAGCCTTCACTCCTGGCTCCGCTGCATGAGCAGCCAGGGCGATCCGGGTCCCTCACCCTGCTTATTCACCCCTGGTGGCCCCATTCAGCCCCTTTAATGCAGTCACCCCAAAATAAAAACATTTATAAAGAAAAACAGCACAAAGCATTCTCTCTTGGCACTATTCTGAGGCCTGTATAGACCCTAACTGGGGCAGGGAACAAAGCCCTGGGCCCTTCAAAACAACGAGTTCTACCCATCCCACCTCGCATCTCACCTAGTCAGCTGTTCAACAGCCAAGGTGCTCTGTAGGGCCCAGGTGAGAATCAAAATGTAATTTTTTTAAAAATCAGCATTCATAGTGGTGGGGATAAATGCATGCAATGCTGGGCTAACCTTGTTAATCTCATTGCTGTAATGGTTCACTTCCTCCTTGAACTTCAGATCAATCATGTTAAAATCCCTCTGGTCCTTGCCCAGATGGGCATCCTGCCATTTTCCTCGGACCTCATCATATGATGCGGCTTCTGGCAGGTTTAATGCAGCCCTGACAGCCTAGAATGAGAACAGAAACACAGCGGAGGCTGAGGCCAAACGACGAGAGTGTGGGTTTTGACTCAGCACACACTTCACCCCTCTAGGGCAGGCCACGGCCTCGAAGTCCCTCCTTACCTGGGGCCCGCAGTGGGTGGATTCTTCAATGATACGTTGCCTCTTGACATCTGCCTTTGGCTTCACCAAAATGTCTTCCACGCCTGTGAAGTGAAACAGACAAGCTTGTAGGCGACCTCAGGCCTGATTTCTCCCACCAGACTAAACTCAGTAAGGCCAGAGCACAGAGTCCAGTGCCACAGATGCAGGAAATACCTGAGTAAGGAAGATGATATTAACATCATTATTAACAGATTGCCACCATCTCTTAGGTGCTTACCAGAGCCCAAACCTTATAATCCCCATTTTACAAATGACAAAACTCAGGCTCAAAATTGGGCTACTTTCCCATGGTCGTATGGGTAGAAAGTAAACCCAGGCCTGGGTCCCAAATTCATGTTCTTAGCCACCAGCTATACTATCTCCACTCCATAGACATGTGTTGGATGAATAGGCTGAAGGTGAAGAAGAGGTTTTGGATGAAAAGATAAGCTCAGGGAAAAAGAGAGAGAGAACATCTCAGTCTGGGGTCCCAGAAGTCACATGTCACAGGGGCCACCCTATATAGCTGAGTATACCTGTGTAGGCACACACACAGACACACCCGAGCCTGGGTGACAAGGACCACCACCACAGGTCCCTCAGCATTGCTTCAGGAGGATGACAGCCTGGGTCACTTCAGTGAAGCCTGCCCTTCTGGCTCAAAGGGTTGAGGAATTCCTCATCCTGGGCAGCAGTAGGTCTTTCCACATCAACTCTTGATCAAACTAGTGTTTTTTTTTTTGTTTTTGTTTTTTGAGACTGAGTCTTGCTCTGTTGCCCAGGCTGGAGTGCAGTGGTGTGATCTCGGCTCACTGCAACCGCTGCCTCCCAGGTTCAAGTGATTCTCCTGCCTCAGCCTCTCCAGTAGCTGGGACTACAGGTGCACGCCACCACACCCAGCTAATTTTTGTATTTTTAGTACAGACAGGGTTTCACCACGTTGGCCAGGATGGTCTCGATCTCTTGACCTCATGATCCACCTGCCTCGGCCTCCCAAAGTGCTGGGATTGCAGGAGTGAGCCACTGCACCTGGCCAAAACTAGTTCTTTTCTGCAACTGTAAGTGCTACTGGACTCAAGAGTCCCTCAGCCAAGATCTGAGTGGGAAAGAAAACAGCAGGTGTACTGTTCAAAAGATGGGGCTGAAATATTTGGAATTCCCAACGCAAGGTCCTGGAGGGCTTCTAAGAACATGTGTGAACAGAAGGGGAAAGAAACAGTTCCTCTGTAAGCAGGCCACACCGTGAAAGTGGGCATTCCCATGGGTTCAGCTACAGGCCAACTAGCTGTGCCCTTTATGGACCCCGCTAGCTGAGACGGGCTGGAGTGAAGTCAATCTCTCGCCTGTTCCCCCTTGTAGCCCCACTCCCAGCTTGGCCCTGCTTCCTTCTGCAGCCCTGAGCCTCTGGATCATCTTCACACTCAAGGGACCAACTGCTCTTTGTACCATGCACTAAGCAGAGCTAAAGCCTGGCACCTTTGTTAAGTTTGTTCCTCATCATGAGCTGGGTGTGGGATCTTCCTCTATTTTCGTTTCAAAAGCGCTCTGATTTTTTCTAGTTAGCAGAAATCCTTGTGCTTATTCTAGGTCACCATTTGAAACTGAAATATACATTTCATGAGGTGTAGTCATCATGCTTCACTTTCTTTGGTTATCCTGGAAGGTACTCTAGTCTGGTTCCCAACTGGAAGTGGGTGACCTTGGACCTTGAGCCCAGAAGTGGCTCAGGTCTCTTAGTGGAATTAAGATGGGGGAAGGTGAGTTTCAGCTGCCAAACAGACTTAACTTATAATCCTTATCCTGGTAAAATAATGGGACATATAAGCCAAGATGTTTGTTCAAGGATGCTCATCCCAGCAATAATGTGAAAATCTGGACGCAGCCTAAATGTTTAATTATAGGAACTGGTTAAATAAACTACAATATATCCATAAGAATGGAATAATCTGTAATTACCAGACATGAGGATGTAGACTTGTATTAGCTGATCCCAAAGGACATTTATAAATACATTTGGACATTTGGTGGGTGGGTGGGTAAGGGAAGTAGAGTATGTAGCGTAGGATCCCACTTTTTCCAAATGTATTTGTACTAGAAAAGTCTAGAAAAACAAACATCAAATTACTATTAGTGGTTATCTCTGACAAATGCATGCTGGGTGATTTTAAATTATCTTCATGTATGCTTTTTTTTTTTTAACCTTTCCATGATTAAATATATGATACAATTAAAATAGAATAAAATGTATAATGCAGGCCCCAGTGTGGGCCAATGAACAAACTCCAGCTGCAGCAGCTGCAGGTCCACAGGCCCTACGCTGAGACTCCCACTCTGTCTGCACACGAGTGGGTCTGTGAAGCAAAGGAGCCTTACTTCCACCATGAACCAGACAACGCCTATGCACACTGCGGTGCATGCCTGACACGCAGCATCTCGCGTCCCCCTAACGCGAACAGCGTGGAAGGGCTGGACCCTGCTCTGTGTACATGGAGGTGCAGTGTCCTCCATAAGCCTGGCCAGGGGCTGAGCCTTTGGACAGATCTGATCTCAAGCCCACACTAAAAGGGGCCAGGTGACTGCTTCAGGGGAGCCCCAGGGCAGTGAGCCCAGCACTCACCCAAGGTGAAGCCTCTTTATCAAAGCCATTTTCCTAAAACAGCGTGCACTCATTTCTGGGGTGCAAACAAGGTAGTTCCTCTTCGTGTCTTAGGATCACCCCGACAGGTTTGCCCAGCATAGTGTTTCCAAGAGCGCTGATGGCCCCACCGCAGTGGGAAGGCGTGGGCAGTTCTTTGGCTCCATCACCCAGGCTGGAGTGCAATGGCACAATCTCGGCTCACTGCAACCTCTGCCTCCTGGGTTCAAGCAATTCTCCCGCCTCAGCCTCCTGAGTAGCTGGGATTACAGGTGCTTGCCACGACACCTGGCTAATTTTTGTATTTTTAGTAGAGACGGGGTTTCTCCATGTTGGCCAGGCTGGTCTCGAACTCCTGGGCTCAAGTGATCCACCCACCTTGGCCTCCCAAAGTGCTGGGATTACAGGTGTGATCCACTGCACCCAGCCGGCAGTGGGCAGTTCTGACAAAAGGGAAACCCCTCTGTGGAGTGGGATGGGCCCTGAGAATTCTGAAAGGGCACTTGTGTAGCAGGGAATGGGGTTGTAAGAGTATGAGAAATCAGTCCGAGGACAGAAACCTGTAAAGGGAGGGGTTAGGAAAGAAACAGAATGGAAATGGGCACGAGGGTGCCATTCTGCACTGTGAACGGGAATAAGCACTGGCTGTGGAGGAGAGGGGTGGCCAAGTGAGGGCGCCTTTGTAGGAGGAGCCTGGTTACTTCCCAGCTCCTTCCCGAGAGGACACAGAAAAGAATTTCTAGCTGTGTAATGTAGCACACATGAAGCATATGGTCTACAAAGGAAAAGAAACCTGGCAGTTTTGGGGGTGAATGGACTATCTGTTAAGACCCTGTAATAAAGCGTGGTGCACTGGGGACCTGGAAAGACTTCTCCACTGGGAACACACAGAAGCCTTGGAAATCTTCAGTGTGGACGGCTCTCTCTGTCCTGGGCCTGGGAGATGGCCAGGCGGCTGCGCTGACGGGTCACTGCCCCAGGGCAGCGAGCCCGGCACTTACCCAAGGTGAAGCCTCTGTAGAGCTGCAGGTAGGCGGTGAAGAGGCGGGCCAGGCAGGTTAGAACCTTGCCGCTGGTCTCGCCTCCATAGATCTCATAGCAGCAGTGGACCAGGCCGTAGGCGGAGCTCCCATAGTGCGCCTTGTCCAGCACTCCGCAGAGCAGCTCCCCTTCCCTGATGATCACCTGCAGAGGGCAAGGCCACCAATGCCGGGCTGCGGGTGATGCCTCCTGTGGGAGTCACCCACCCTCTACTCCATGTGTGACCCTCGTTGTGCAAGTCCCTCTACTGTGACCCGCCTAGAATCCTTCATGGAAAAAAGTAGGGCATATGTGAAACTAGTATTTTCTCTCTATATATATTATTATTATTTTTTAATATAACAGAGGCAAGCATATACAGACCAGCAGTTTTTTTTCTTCCCTTCAGGGACTATACCACAGAGACATACACACACACTCACACTCTCTCTCCATGTGTTTTATATCCCCTACTCCCCACACCCACCCACGCTGACTTGAGGTCAAGTATCCTTGACAAAGACCTGTGACCGGACATGGGAGCTTCTAGTTACAAGGTCTTCCTGAAGTGGCGAGCTTCAACCTCGTAACTGTGCCTCTGGCCTAGGTACTTCCTCCCTTGAACCCTGGGAGTAACAACAAAATCTTCCTAACATCCTCTAAGGCCTGAATGTGTACTTTCTCAAAGCTGGGTTAAAGCATTAGAAGCTAATGAACAGAAAAGCATTTCTAGCTGCGTAATGTAGCACCCATGAAGCATATGGTCTATAAAGGAAAAGAAACCTGGCAGTTTCGGGGTGAATGGACTGTCCATTAAGACTCTGTGATAACGCGTTGTGCACTGGGGGCCTGGAAAGACTTCTCCACTGGGAACATGCAGAGGCCTTGGAAATCTTCAGTGTGGACAGCTCTCTCTGCCCTGGGCCTGTCCTTTTGTGGCCTGGTTCCTAAGGCTCAGAGTTATGGGTGTGGAGCCTTATACCAGTTTGATTATCTGAAGCCACTCAGCAGTCTTGCAGGAAAACAGGACTCTGCATTGCCAAGCTTTGCATAATCAATTTCAGCCTTTTTGCAGGAGAAGCTTTCCTAAACTGCTTGTGAGTTTTATACTGAGGGTCAAATGCTGGAGATCAACCCTGAACCCTTCCGAAACAAAAGCTGACAACAACTCAGGCACAACGCCTTCTCTTCTGAGGCACAGTACCTGCTTCTGTGAATGTGCCTCCATTTCTGTCTCCATTTTAAACCAATCTGTCTAACCCCGGCACTAGAAGTCTCCACTCCACACAGCTGGACAGCCATACCTGGGACTCGCACATCGAGTCAGGGTTAAAGCCAGGAACGGATCGAGGAGTTTCCTTCACCCAGGCTTTCCCAGTGATTTTCGCCTTTCCAGATAAGTTCAGTGGGATGTGGTCCTCTGGGATTATATTTATGAGCAGCGTTGACACAACCTGCAAAGAAAAAGAGGACAAACTGATGGCAAAAAGAAAAGTGATGGCAAAATGAGGACAAACTGATGGCAAAAAGAAGAGTTAAGAACTTCCCTTTTAGGACCTCCTGCCCTTGCAATGCCATTTCTGATGATCTCAGGTATGGCAAGAAAAACAGACAGGTCCACCTCCATAGGACAAGGTGATTTCAGGTTTTATTTAAACCAATGAGGAATGAAAACAAAAAAGAACTTCACTGGGATTTTTACTCCCTAAAATAGTTCTTAAAGTGAATAATCCCCTAGACTTGAATTAAATTCCTAAATAGACCAAAGGAAGGAGAGGAAAAAGTAAATTGTTTTCATTTTATGCCACATACTCAGATATTTCTTTACTATGACTGGAATTAATTATAGCTACTGAAAAGCCAAGGAATCTTTCCCTGGCCCCAGTTGGATCCCTCAGAGGGGTCATCCACCCAACAAGCACTGCTAACAGGAAGCCAAGAGAAGCGCTTTCTCAAGCGGCTGCTCTGCAGAGAGCTCAAAGGGAGACAGCTTTATCTGGAGATAACCAGAGTTGGCTACAGAAGGGCCGAATGCAGGTGCACACATTCCCAGAGATGAAGCAGGGCAGGGGCAGACCGGCAGGTGTGACAGGCTCCAGGGCTGGGAGACTAACTGCCATCAACAGCGCTTAGTGTGCCTGCAGCAGGCCCCACAAAGTAGTGTCTTTAGATGTGTGCAACGAGGGCGCGGTGGCTCACGCCTGTAATCCCATCACTTTGGGAGGCTGAGACGGGTGGATCATGAGGTCAAGAGATCGAGACCATCCTGGCCAACATGGTGAAACCCCATCTCTACTAAAAATACAAAATTTAGCCGGGCATGGTGGCGTGCACCTATACTTCCAGCTACTCAGGAGGCTGAGGCACGATAACCGCTTGAATCCAGAAGGCAGAGATTGCAGTTAGCCAAGATCACATCACTGCACTCCAGCCTGGGTGAGAGAGTGGAACTCTGTCTCAAGAAAAAAAAGAGAGTGGGCAATGGGACAGGGCAGTTATAAGAGCAGCTGCCTTTTCACCCACGTGCACCAGGAGCAGGGGACAATGGACAACAGCATTATTAAAGAGAGCAGAAAATATTCTGTTTTCTCAGCAGAAGATGACCAGAAAGGTTATGACCCACACTCTCCATGCCTCAACTCCATAGAAGGCCAGCACTGTGCGGTGAGTGGGGTGAGGGAGCAAAGGCAGGAGAGTGACACGTCCTGGGGTGCCTACTTCAAGCTGCACCTCAACCAAGGTGCCACATGCACAGTGGGGACCCCCAGGCTAGGCATAGTCAAGACTGGAACTTGGTGTGAAAGGTAACAGAAACACACCCATCCAAGGGCAGGGAAATATGACCTGCCACTTCATCTGTAAAATCAATGGGGCAGAAGAGCATTTGATAAACTCCAACACCCTTTCAGGATAAAAATACTCAACAGACTAGGAACAGACTGTCACCAACCTAATAAAGGGAGGCACCTATGAAAAACCTACTACTAACATGCTCAATGATAGAAGACTGGATGCCTTCTGCCTAAAGTCAGGACCAAGACAAGGATGTCTACGCTTGCCATTTCTATTCAACAATGTACTAGAGGTTCTAGCCAGGGCAGTTAGGCAAGAAAATAAATAAAAGACATCCAGATTAGAGAGAAAGAAGTACAACCACATTTGCAGATGACATGATATTATAGAGAGAAAACCCTTAAGTGCCAACAAAACAAATTATTAGAGCTTGTAAATGACTTATTCAAAGCTGAAGGATACAAGGTCAACATATAAAAATTAATTCTCTTTCTCTATATTAGCAATGAACAATCTGAAAATGAAATTAAGAAAAAGTTCCGGCCAGGTGTGGTGGCTCACACCTGTAATCCCAGCACTTTGAGAGGCCAAGGCAGGCGGATCACTTAAGGTCGGGAGTTTGAGACCAACCTGGCCAACATGGTGAAATCCCGTCTCTACTAAAAATACAAAAATTAGCTGGGCATGGTGGCGGGTGCCTGTTATCCCAGCTACTCGGGAGGCTGAGGCAGGAGAATTGCTTTAACCAGGGAATTGGAGGTTGCAGTGAGCCGAGATTGCGCCACTACACTCCAGCCTGGGTGACAGAGCGATACTCCATCTCAAAAAGAAAAAAAAAAAAAGAAGGTAGTGCTAAGCGAGAAGATCTAGCTAAGATCACTGATGAAGGTTGCCGCACTAAACAATAGATTTGCAATGTAGATAAAAGAGCCTTCTATTGGAAGAAGATGCCACATATAGGACTTTCACAGCTAGCGAGAAGTCTGGCTTCACAGCTTCAAAGGACAGTCTGGCTCTCCTGTTAGGGGCTAATGCAGCTGGTGACTTTAAGTTGAAACCAGTGAACATTTACCATTGTGAAAAATCCTAGGGCCCTTAAGAATTATGCTAAATCGACTCTGCCTGTGCCTATAAGTGGAACAAAGCGTGGGTGACTGCACATCTGTTTACAGCATGTTTTGCTGACTATTTCAAGTACCTGTTGAGACCTACTGCTCTGAAAAAAAGGTTCCTTCAAAATATTACTACTGTTCATTGACAATGCATCTGGTCACCCAAGAGCTCTGAAGATATGCAAGGAAATTAATGCTGTTTTCATGTCTGCTAACACAATATCCATTCTGCAGCCCACGGATAAAGGAGTTATTTTGACTTTCAAGCCTTATTATTTAAGAAATACATTTCATTAAGGCTGTAGCTGCCATAGATAGTGATTCTTCTGATGCATATGGGCAAAGTAAATGGAAAACCTTCTGGAAATGATTCACCATTCTAGATGTCATTAAAAAATTTGTGATTCATGGGAGGAACATCAGTATTAACAGGAGTTTGGAACAAGTTGATTCCAACCCTTAAGTATGACTTTCAGAGGGTCAAGACTTCAGTGGAGGAAGTAATGGCAGCAGTAGTAGAAATAGAACTAGAATTAGAAGAATCTATAAAGGAAAAAAAAGAACAAAAAATAAGTGTTGGTGAAAATGTGGAGTAACTGAGACCTTCATACATTGTTAGTGGAAATGTAAATAACACACCTGATTTGAAAAATAGTTTGCAAGTTCCTCAGAAAAGTTGAATATAGAATTACTATATGATGCAGCAATTCTACTTCTAGGTATATACCCAGGAAAACTGAAAACACACGTTCATACAAAAACTGGTACACAAATGTTCATTGCAGGTTTATTTGTAGTATCCAAAAAATGGAAACAATCCAAATTATCCATTTATCAACTGACAAATGGATACAGAGGAAACAATGGAATGTTATTCATCCATAAAGAGGAATAAAGTACTATTACATACTAAAAAATGGATGGAACTGGAAAACATTAAGTAAAAGAAATAAGTCATAAAAGGCTACATATTGTTTGATACAACTTATATGAAATGTCCAAAACAGGCTAATTCATACAGGTAAAAAGTAGTTGTCAGGGGATGAGAAGGAAGGAGGAATTGGGACTGACTGCTGTACCTATTAGGTACATGTCATCTTTTTGGAGTGATGGAAATGTTCTGGCATTACAGTGTGGTGATGGTTGCACAACATAGTGAATACACTAAAAACCTACTTATACACTTTGAAATGGTCCTTTAAAAAAAAAAGAGAGACAGGGTCTTGCTCTGTCACCTAGGCTAGAGTGCTGTGGCACAATCATAGCTCACTGCAGCCTCATACTCAGCCTCCCAAGTAGCTAGGGCTATAGGTGTGTGCCACCATGCCCAGCTACTCTACTCTACTCTCTCTACTCTACTCTACTCTATTCATTTATTGAGATGGAGTCTCGCTCTGTCGCCCAGGCTGGAGTGCAATGGCACGATCTTGGCTCACTGCAAGCTCCACCTCCTGGGTTCAAGTGATTCTTTTGCCTCAACCTCCTGAGTAGCTGGGATTACAGGCATGTGCCACCATGCCTGGATAATTTTTGTATTTTTAGTAGAGACAGGGTTTCACCAGGTTGGTCAGGCTGGTCTCAAACTCCTGATGTCGTGATCCGGCCGCCTTGGCCTCCCAAAGTGCTGGGATTACAGGTGTGAGCCACCTCACCCAGCCTTTTTTTTTTTTTTTTTTTTTTAAATAGAGATGGGGGTCTCACTGTGTTGCCAGGCTGGTCTTGAATTCCTAGCCTCAAGCAATCCTCCTACCTCATAAAATGGTAAATTTTATGTTGAATATGAATTATATCTTAATGAAAAAAAAAAAAACATAAAGGACCCAGACAAGAGGAACTGAAGTCTCCTCTTGCACTAACATTCTAGAAATGTATAATTTACTTTCTGGTCATAAACTATGCTAGGGAGAAAAAATCTGCAATGTTTTCTTAAACCAAGAAGGGCAGCAATATCTATGGGAATTATTATTTATACTAAGCCTGTATTAACCTTAAAAAAAGTCTTAAAAATAAAATGGATTTAAAAAAATGTATTGAAATGTCTATATCCTTTGACCCAGCAATTGTACTTTAAGAATTTATCTAACAGATATACTTGGCCAGGCATGGTGGATCATGCCTGTAATCTCAGCACTTTGGGAGGCTGAAGCTGGAGGATCACTTGAGGCCAGGGGTTCGAGACCAGCCAGTGCAACACAGTGAAACACCAGCTCTACAATAATAATAATAATAATAATAAAAGATAAGTCAATGAAAGTACACTAACATATACAGAAATGGGTGTTCACCACAGCACTGTTTAGAATAGTAAAAACCAGGTAATAATCGGAACATCCACTAATAGAGGGACAGTTAAGTCATCTGTGGTATACCCATATCACTGAATACAACACAGGAGGGGTTAAAAAGAACGAGGCAGATCTACATGTACAGACACAGAATGAGCCCCCAGTACATCCAGTGAATGAAATCAGTCACAAGACAATTACAAAAACATTTGTCAGCATAGCCTATGAAAACATTTAAATGAACTTCTTGCCATATTTAGAGTGTGTTAGTGTGGTCCCAATGAAAAAGCAGACTGTCTGATATAATGGAGTTCCCTTTGGAGGACTTGGTGGCTCGTTCAGAGTAAGCCATCTTAAAGACCAGCCAAATCTGAGGTCCATGTGCCTGGCCATCAGGAAAATGCATGCTTCAGGTACCAGGATGTCATGGTCAAACAGGTGGTTGTAAATATCAGATTTATCAGGTGGTTGAATGTCAGATTTAATTGTGGTTCATGGTTCTCCTGAACAGTCCCAGGGAAGGTATGATATGATTTTATTATTTCTTTTATTTTTTTTGAAACAGAGTCTCGTTCTGTCGCCCAGGCTGGAGTGCAGTGGTGCAATCTCAGCTCAATGCAACCTCTGCCTCCCACGTTCAAGTGATTTTCGTGCCTCAGCCTTCTGAGTAGCTGGGATTACAAATGTACACTACCACCCCTGGCTAATTTTTATATTTTTAGTAGAGACGGGGTTTTGCCATATTGGCCAGGCTGGTGTCAAACTTCTAGCCTCATGTGATCCACCCACCTTGGCCTCCCAAAGTGCTGGGATAATAGGCATAATCCACCATGCCTGGCCTCATTCTTATTTATTTTCTATGAGAGTATGTGTGTATATGGAGAGTGGGGTTGGGGAGGGAGGGAGTTTTTCCTTTTATCTTTATCAATAAACTTGTTTACTTTTATAGTTTAAAAGAACTTGAAGGACAGAGATCTAATAACTGAATTCATAAAGCTTGTCGAATATAAGGACAATATACAAAATTAATTGTATTTCTAGACACCAATCATAAACAATTAGAAAATTTAATAGACAGTATCATCTACCATAGCAGTATCCAGGAGTGAATCTAATGAAAAGATGTATAAGGCTTTTACATAATTGAAGGACATACTATGTTCATAATTTAGATGACTCAATAGTGTAAATACGTTGATTCTCCCTAAAGTGACCTACAGAGGCAATGCAATCCCAATGAAAAATTCTAGCAGGTATTTGTGTGCACAGTGTGAAAGTTTACAAGCTGACTTTAAAATTTATATGGAAATACAAACACCCCAAAATAGTTGACAGTCTTTTTTTTTTAAAGGTATATTGAGATGTAATTAAAGCCTATCAAGGCAGTCTTGAAGAACAAAGCTGTAGACTTTTACTATCAGAAGTCAAGATTTAGTATAAACCCACAGTAATTAAGACAGTGTGCTGTTGGTGCAATGGAAACAAACAGGGTCCAGAAACATACCCACTCATATATTACTACTTGGTTTGTGACACAGGAGTACTAGCAGTAGAGCAGTGGACTTTTCAACAAATGATGTTGCATTCACTGGCTAGGAAATCCATATGGGAAAATATGACTCTTGACCCCTACCTCACTTCATGCACATCCACAAAAATCATCCCTAGGCAGATAGCAGACCCAAGTGTGAAAGGTAAAACAATATAGCTACTAGACGATAACAGAGGGGAATACCTACAAGACCTCAGGGCAGGCAAAGAGCTCCTACAGGACTAGTCACAAAAAGCCAAGATTGGCTATAAATTAGAAACTTCTGATCATTAGAAAACAGTATTAGGTGAAAAGGCTAGCCACCAAGTAGAAGGTATTTGCAATGTATATATCTGCTAATGGACTTATACCAAATTATAGTTTAAAAACCTCTCATCTGTCAATAAGAAAATGACATAGAAATAGGCAAAAGATTTGAAAAGGCACATCACAAAAGATGATATCCAAATGGCCAATAAGCATATGAAGAGGTGCTCAACCTCTCTTGTCATTAAGGACATGATAATTAAAACAGTAAGATACCACTACATACTCACCTGAACAGCTAAAATTAAACAAATAAACCAGAAAAAGAAAACAACAACAACAGCTGGGCGAGGTGGCTCATGCTTGTAATCCCAGCACTTTGGGAGGCTGAGGTGGGTAGATCACCTAAGGTCAGGAGTTTGAGACCAGCCTGTCTAACATGGAAAAACGCTGTCTCTACTAAAAATACAAAAATTTGCTAGGTGTGGTGGAGCACATCTGTAATCCCAGCTACTCGAGAGGCTGAGGCAAGAGAATGACTTGAACCTGGGAGGCAGAGGTTGCAGTGAGCCAAGATGGCACAACTGCACTCCATCCTGGTAGAAGTGTGTATTATTACAAGCATTTTGGAAAACTTTAGGAAACTATCTATTAAAGTTAAACACATATCTTATGACCTAGTAATTCCATGCCTCAATAGTTACCCACTGAAATGTATATATGTGTTCAACAAAAGATACACACGACAAGTGTTCACAGTAGCCCCATTTGTAACAGTCAAATGAAGGTAAGTGAAGACAACTCAAATGTGTATCAATAGAAAAATGGATAAATACATGATGGCATATTCACATAATAGAACATTATAAAGCAATAAAAAATAAACTGCTACTATATACAATAACATGGGTAACACACAAAGATAGATTTCATTTAAATAAACTTCAAGGAAAGACAAAACTTGTTTATAGTGTTGGAAGTCAAGTTAGTAATTACCTTTGACGAGGGGTAGAAACTGGGAGGGGCCGTGGAGGGGTCTTCTGGGGGTGCTGGTGATATGCTACTTTCTGATCTGGGTGAGAGTTTGCAAAGATGTATTCACTTTGTGAATGTGCACTGAGTTATAAACTCGAGATTTGCAATGACAGGCAAATCTCTTTCTTTGCATGCTCTTTGAACAAATAATGAGAGACCTTCGGTTTGTAAATAGAAAATCAATCAAGAGGCTGTATGAAATGACCTGGAGAAACACTCTAAGACTTCATTTCCCAGGGCAGTAGAAATAAACTTCCTAAGCTAAGTTCCTTATCTTCTGATTCTAAACATGGTTTTTCTCTGTAGCACCAGGCTGAACCATGAACAAATTCTTGTGTAGTGTAGTCACTCTTGCCCTTTTCACCTATTTGCAAAATAAAAAAGCCTGTACCAACCTTTAGAGATACAATGAAAAACTTCACCCATGACAGAAGCAAAACCTGGGCCTATTTCCCAATTTTATTTGGTACAAAGGATTTGAAAAGGATCCAAGGTGCAGTCTCTAGGCACAATGAAATTAAACCGGAAATCAACAATCGAGATATTTGGAAAAGCCCTCAATATTTGTACTTCTAAATAACTGAACAACATACTTCTAAATAACTCATGGATTGAAAAAAAAAATCAAAAGGGAAATTAGAAAGTATTCTGAAGTAGATGAAATGAAAACACAACATATTAATTTGTGGGATGCTACTTAAGCAGAACTTAAGGGGGAAATTTATACATAAAATGCCTACATTGAAAGAAGAAAAGGGGTCTCAAATTGACTTAAAGAACTTAAAGAACTAGGAAAAAAAAAAGAGCAAATTAAACCAAAGTAAACAGAAGAAAGGGAGTGATAAAGTTCAAATCAACGAAACAGAAAACAGAAAAATAAAGTCAATAAAACCAAAGACTTTTTTTTGAGAATAAAACTGATAAACCTCTAGGCAAACTGATCAGGAAAAAAGAGAAGACACAAATTATCAATGTCAGGAATGAGAGAAGTGACACCACTACAGGCAATACAGATAGAAAAGGTCAACAAAGGAGCATTATGAACAACTTTGTGCCTATAAATTCAGTAACTTAGATGAAATGGACAAATTCCCTGAAAAACACAAACAATTAAAGCTCATTCAAGAAGTAGATAACCAAAAATAGCTCTATGTCTACTAAAGAAATAGAAATTTTAATTGAAAATCTTCCCACAGGTTGGGCGCGGTGGCTCAGGCCTGTAGTCCCAGCACTTTGGGAGGCCAAGGTTGGTGGATCACCTGAGGTTGGGAGTTCGAGCCCAGCCTGACCAACATGGAGAAACCCCATCTCTACTAAAAATACAAAATTAGCCGGGCATGGTGGCGCATGCTTGTAATCCCAGCTACTTGGGAGGCTGAGGCAGGAGAATTGCTTGAATCTGGGAGGTGGAGGTTGCGGTGAGCCAGGATCACACCATTGCATTCCAGCCTGGGCAGCAAGAGCAAAACTCCATCTCAAAAAAAAAAAAAAAAAAAAAAAAAAAGAAAGAAAACCTTGCCACAAAGAAACTCTAGGCCCAGATGCCTTCACTGGTGAATTCTACAACACATTTAAGGAATAAATAATATGAATACTGTACTACACAAACTCTTACAGAAAACCAGAGGAAATACCTCCTAACACCTCATTCTGTGAGGCCAGGATTACCCTGATACCAAAACCAAACAAACATATTATAAGAAAATAAAACTACAGACCAATATCTATCACAAACACAGAAGTAAAAAAATTCTAGACAAAATATTAGCAAATTGAATTCAATAATATATAAAAAGGATAATACCTCACGACCAAGGAAGGTTTATCCAGGAATGCAAGGTTGGCTTAAAAAGGAAAATCAAGTTCCAGGTCCACAGACTAAGAACTGGAGAGCAGGAAGAGACCTTAGAGATCATGAACTTGAAGCTGAAGTCATTGATTTGGGACCCTTTTTCTTCTTTTCAACCTAGGCATTTTATGTATAAATTTCCCCCTTAAGTTCTGCTTCAGTGGCATCCCACAAATTTTGTTGTGTTTTCATTTCATCTACTTCAGAATGCTTTCTAATTTCCCTTTAGATTCTTTTGACCCATGAGCTATTTAAGAAGTACGTTATTTAGAAGTACAAATATTGAGGGCTTTTCCAAATATCTTGGTTGCTGATTTCCAAATTCCATTATGCCCAGAGGCCACATCTTGAATCCTTTTAAAATCCTCTGTACCAAATAAAATTAGGAAATAGGTCCAGGTTTTGCTTCTGTCACGGGTGAGATTTTTTAGTGTGTCTCTAAAGGTTGGTACGGGCTTTTTTTTTGCCAACAGGTGAAAAGGGCAAGAGTGACTACACTATGCAAGAATTTGTTTGTGGGTTAGTCTGGTTTCAAAGAGAAAAACCATGTTTAGAATCAGAACTTAGCTTAGCAAGTTAATTTCTACTGTCCCAGGAAATGATGAGGAACTGAGACACACAGGGCTAAGATCACATAGCCAATTAGAAGTTGATCCTTAAGGCTGAACTTGGATACTCAGGCAACAGCAGAAGAACATATTTTACTGTTTTTCATTATTTGGTCGCCACATATCATGTAATTTGGTTACTTTGAGAGGAAGTATGGTATGATGCTTCTGGGGTTGAAAAGTCCTGGGTTTGATCTGTCTCCTGTAGTCTTGGGCATGTAATTTATCATCTCCTAAATGGAGATAATAATGGTGTCTGCATTGCAGATTAGTCGTGAGTATTAAATCAGATAATGTGTCTAAAGCACTCAGCAAACATATGGAACTTCCCAACAAATATTACTATTACTCCACCAGCACCACTGCCTATTACCACCATATTTGTATTATGAGGACACCAAATTTAAGTTAGAAGCAAAGGACAGAAACTATGCAGTCTACTTTTTTTTTTTTTGTGGAGACGGAGTCTCACTCTGTTGCCCAGGCAGGAGTGCAGTGGCTGATCCTGACTCACTACAACCTCCACCTCCTGGGTTCAAGCGATTCTCTTGCCTCAGGCTGAGGCGATTCTCTTGCCTCAGCCTCCCGGTAGCTGAGATTACAGGCACTAATCCCACGCCCAGCTAATTTTGTACTTTTAGTAGAGATAGGGTTTCACCATGTTAGCCAGGCTGGTCTCAAACTCCAGACCTCAGGTGATCTGCCCGCCTCAGTCTCCTAAAGTGTTGGGATTACAGGTGTGAGCCACTGCACCAGGCTACTATGCAGTCTACTCTTGCTAGACACTCCCTTGAAGCCACCCAGACTCAGGAACCCCAAACAAAGGGGAAAGAAAGTCAGACTATTGCTGGCTTAGCCATTTCTCTGTCTCTGGTCTGGACTCTTCTGAGAATAAAACCTTTTACATGAGTGGCCTATTTCCTTTTGTTACATACACTGGCTGTTCTCTCCCAATTACCTGTTTTCCTGTCCACAGCGGAAAGGGCTTCAGGATGGAAGGAGAAAGGAGCTTCACGCGCCCCACTTTGTCCGTGAGTCCTCGGTACACCAGCTCCATATAGTGCTCCCGGGTGAAAAAGCAACCCCGAGTAGTCATGCTTGCCCCTGAAACCATGTGATCCTGGATCAGTCCCGCCAATGGTTGGCCATCCTATAAGCCAAAACAGACAACACAAGAAGAATGAAAATAAATCTTAAGTCAAACTCTAATCCCTAATCGCCTGCCTGGAAGCCACTTTCTATCAAGAGCCCTTCTTATATCCCTGTCTTGTCTTGCCCACATCCTCACTATGTTCTTGCTTGGGAGCCAACTGCTTCCCAAAGCACATGACCAGGGTTTAGCACTGGCTTCTACGTTTGCCATTTGCCCACTATCCTATATCAAGACTGCTTCAAACTCATCCCGTTCCCCCGGCCTTCTCTGTTTAATCCCATCTGGTTCTAGTTACTCCAGCATATTTTTGGCATTTATGCCTAAATTTGGTCTGGCTGCTGTCAGCTGTGTTCTTGTTTTTATACTTTGGTTTTATGCTTTAGTATTTTTCACACGTTTCTGGCCTGGCTCTTCTGTAAATCAGTCATGCACTCAACAAATATTTATCAGGAGCCTCCTGAATGCCTAGGCACTGGGTAGGCTTTTCCCTACTCCAGGGGACCAAACAGACATGGTCCTTTATGATGAAGAAGAACTAGACAGTAAACAAATGATTGGATAAATACAATATCACAAAGTGTTTTAAATGCCAAAGAGGAAAATAACAGGGTGGGTCATAATATAGACTTGAGGTGAGGGGGATGGTCAGAAATAGCCTCTCCGAAGGGCAGTTTCACAGTTGAGGCCTGAGGGGTGAGCTGGCCAGTGTTGGGAGGAAGGGGTTCCGGCACAGGTTCCTCAAGAGAGCTGTGAGTGGGCCTGATGTGCATGACTGCAGAAGGGAGAATAGCCATTATTAGTTATCTCTTCACAACACAGCACAGGGTTCATGGTGGGCCCTTAATAAAGGCTGTTATCTACCAGATGCCAAAAAGAAAGGCTTTTATGAAAAGCCTGAGATTTGGTGAGTGCATTAATTTCATTTGACACTTTCACAGCCATTCTGATCCCCAGTCTCCTGAACCTTATCTGTCGGGTCTGTGTTCACGGCAACATAACGCACGCTGAAGTAAAAATAGCTATGCTCACTGACGTTCTTTAAGATGTAGATTTTGTAAACTTTTCAATGTTTATAGGAATTTGAGAAAAACCTGTGCCTTGGATATAAAGATTATTAATCATTTGATTATTTGTTAAATACTAGCCAACAGTATGGTCATGTTTTATAACTAAGGCTAAGGGAACTCACAAATGCAGTCTGGGAGAAGCACCAGAAATTTAACCATATGTACTAACTCAAAGGCTAAAAAAGGATCCTTGTCAAATGGTCTAAACACTACAGTGATGGGCTCTATGTAAACTCAAAGATAACGATTACAGATGGGCTGGAAAGGTGGCACAGACCTAAGGCAAGATCAGATGGAGCACACAGCCCCTCTTATGAAGGCTTTCACTTAATAATGTACATAAAAAAATTATACTCTACCTCTTGTTGCCTAGATGGTCTTATTTTGCTTGGGGGAAAAACCCAAACCAGTATTATGCATTTGACTCATCTCACAGTCTTTGGGGGGCAGATACTGATTTTTCCTTTTGTTTTTTTCCTTAAAGAACATAATTACAGGTTCTGTGATCTATTCAGTGCCTTTTCCTCTCTCTGTCCAGATTTTTCCATGACTAGACAATTACTTTGATGGCTAAATCATTTTCAATGCAATCATCACAAATTCTATGGCAGAATGCTGATTAAAGCAATTACTAAAGGTCTACTTATAATTCTAAATTTCCTAACTCCTGCTTAGGATCAGAAAGAACACCTCTGAATCAAAACCCCAGACAATTGTCAGCTTTACTATTCTCCTTAATAGCAAAATGACATTACAATTAATGTCTCTGGTTAGGATGCTTTGTGAATAGGGTATCCCTGTAACTTGAATTTTCTAGCTGACTAAGTAGAAGTCAGGAAACATATCTGAAGCCTTGCTTAAAAACTTTCCACAAAGTATGGGCCCTCAATAAATAAACAGAAGGAAAAAAAATTAGTCCAAAAAGTAACACATAAATGAAAAGTTTAACTGTTTTCATGGAAAAGAAATGAGTTCCATTCAACTCCTATTTTAAGTAAAAAGACGCCACAAAACTCTACTAAGTACATAAAACCAACGACAAAATGTACTTTAATTCAGTATTATGGTTACTTAAGGAAGATAACCTGGTAATAGAGAAGAAATTGAATTATAAATAAAGAAATATGGAAACTAAGGGAAATAAAGATATGCTAAGAAAAATTACCTCAAAATACTGGTTTTCCTAGTTTAACCAAATCAGCTCTTGTCCTTTTAGGACTCTGCCAATAAAGACATGTTGCATTTTTATAACCATTAGCAAATATAAGGATTCCACTTCTTGGCATTTACACCAAGGACTAAATAAAATTTATCAAGAATCAAAAGCTCTTTACCTCCGACAAAAGAAAGTGAATGAAAGTACAGTGAATCTTCAAGCCATCTCCCATAAGCTTTTTTCAATAAATTAATTTATTGACATTAAGTTTATTTACCTGTGTTCTCCTGCCTCCCTTAAGTGTACGCCCAACCTAAAACTCATAGGCATATTAGCATGTGATGAGGTCCACTTGGATTTATATGTCAGCCCACTGCAGGACACAATGTAAGCATGAAGTCTCCTATGGCTTTGCACCGTATTCAATCAAAATCAAGCACAGCACATTCAAGGTCACTGGTCTGAGGACTTCAGAGCACCTCAACTCCCCACATAGCTAATGCCTCAGGTCACTCTGCCAGCAAAAAACCATCTGCTGCTCCCCGGTAGTGTCCCCTCTGGTGAAATATGACTCGGCTGCTATAGAGTCAGAGACCCACACAGTTCTGGCAGCCACTTCCTGTCACCTGCCTTCCCTTAGTCCCAGCCTTGGCTGTCGAGTGGGGCTAAGAACACGCACAGCCAAGCACATGGGCGGGGGGGGGGGGCGGGTGTCGTCCAAAGCTGCTGGGTTCAAGTCTTGGCCTCATTGCTGGCTGACATATTACTCACTTGGTGTTTCCTTGTCTGAAAATCACACCAACCTCATAAGGAAGGGAATGTCTGCAAACTGCTTACAGCAGTGCCTAAGGCCTGTGACCCACTTAATAAATGGCAGCTTTTACTGCCACCACCACAGAGCCACATTATTATTTAAATGAAAACATAAAAAGCCACTTTTCAAATTAGCAAATGTATTTTTTTTAATTTCCAAGTAATCTGGGTAGGCCCTTCACCACTTCTTCCTACATTTAGTCCCTTTGCTAATCCACAGCCAACAAAGGTGGGCAGAGAAGGGAAAGGCCAACTCAAACAACCGGGACCCTTGTGAAGCCACAGTGGTGCATCTGGTGGGAAAAGGGTCCGGGATGCCGGGCTCCTGGCCACCTGCCTGATTCCTTCGTGGCAGACGGCTGATGGGAATAGAGAAGCTCCAAGGAGCAGAGGATGCTGATTGACACTAGGCATCTCTGAGCAGCCCCTGGCACTCCCTGTGCACAGAGGTCTCCATCTCTGTGGTAGCACAAACCCTAGGAAGATCCAGGAACTCCTTGTCCTTCCTGCTGCTTCTCAGCTGAGTGTCCTTGGACAAGTTACACGAATCCTTCAAGTGTAAAATGTGGACATGAATAGCACCTACCTCCAAGGACTGTGGGGAGGGTGAAATGAGGAGCCTCTAAAGTGCTCTCTGCACAGTGTATGGCACTGAAAAAGTACTTGGGAAATGGGAGCCTTGGTTTGACGTTACGATTATTCTTCATACTCCACCACAATCCAAATGAATGATGTATAACTATGAATCATTGTGGCGCAAATGGCTTATAATTTAGGAGGACTCAGACCTTTGGGTGGGTGGTGAGGGTGAAGGAGGCACTGGAACACACTCTGTCTTCTTTCCTGCAGCCTGCCTCTTTCCCCGCTCTGTCCCTCCCATGAGCACATGCTAACTCAGGCCCCTGCCACTCCTGGCCAAGAGTCAGCTGCTAAGGAGACGGGGGAGGAAGTTCTATCCTTCCCTCGTGTCCCTCTGGACAGCTGTGACCACAAGGGGTTGCCCTTGAGGAGTGAACTTGGAGAAAGAAGGAAAGGATTCAAAGGGGACAGAAGATGCCTTCACGGGCTGCTGCGGGATCTCTTCTGGGCCCTTGGGGTTAGGCTGCTTCTTAAAACTCATGTTTGTCAGAACAAAGGATCAAAGTCATCAGTGGACCATGAGAACCATTACAGTGTTGGGATGCTAATGCTAGCCGGGGGCTACTAAGTTGCAGAATCCAAATTTAAGTGCTGAACACAAGACCTATCACACAGTTATTAAGGTTGGCTTTCTGGGATGGCTATCACAATTTCTGTCCTGATTTACATTTTACAACGCAGCAAAACAGAAACATTTCCCAGCCTCTAAGCCACTAGATGGGCTAAAAGCCCCACCTGGGAGAAACCAGGACCCTCCATTCCAGGCGCCCCTGTCCTGGAGCTGCCCAATGACCCCAGGGGCTGGCAGGGCCCAACTTAAAAGTGCTAAGTCATGCTGACGATGACCACGGAACAGCCTCAAGGCCAGACCTACCTTGGGAACAAGGTACTGCTGATCAGTGCAGGCCAGGACGTAGGCCTCGGCCCGGCCCAGCTCACTCTGGGGGAAATGGGCATTCATCTCGTCTCCATCAAAGTCGGCATTATAGGCCTTGCAGTTGGCATAGTGGAGCCGCAGCACTTTCTCTTCAGGCAGGATGCGGGCACGGTGGGCCTGGATGGAGGGTCTGTGCAGTGTGGGCTGTCGGTTCAGTAGCAGAATGTCCCCATTCTTCACATGCCGGCACACCTGGGAACAGAGTGGACAGGTGGGTGATCAGTGCAAACGTCAGTATCACCACGGCTCTTTCCAAGTGCTCACCTCAGCTTGACCAAGGTGTGGCTTTTGTCTCACGTTCTAGTTAACTAAATGCAAGGGGAATTTTTCATCTGGAGCAAAACCCTGGAAATCTCTGAGAAATACGTCCTAGGCCCTTCTGGTCCTGGCCCTTTACAACCCTGATCCTGGCTCTAGGCTCAGAAGTATAAGGAACAAATAAGACCACAGGTCTTTGTCTTCTTCAGAGATGCATAGCCGTCCCAGGTTTCTGGATTACTCTGAAAACTAATCCAAAGAAAGAAATGGATACAACTCCTGAAGATATAACCATAACAAAATGAAGACATAACCATAAAACCACTGGGTTTGAAAGGCATTGGCAGACTTTCGAATCCCCCCCCCGCCGTGATCACATGTGAGTACATTATTCTAAACAGAAATTCTACATTTCACAAAAAGTTTGCCCAGCTTCATATAGCAGAGCCAGAAAAGGGTTCTTAGTTAGTTCAATGCCCTCAGAGAACACTTTATTGCACTTCAAAAATTAAGAGCTGTAAATTGTCATAGTCTTTTGGGAACAGAGTTTGAAAATAGCAATTAAAACACTTAAAACACATTTTCTGTTGGCTCTTCAAGAAAAAAAAAAGCACCCACACAAGGTTAGATGAGTATGTATGTTTGTGTAGCAGCATTTACAGCGGCAAAAACTAGAAATAACCTGACTGCCCCATAGAAGGGGCAATAGTGTATCCACACTATGGAATATTATGCAGTGATGAACAAGGATAAGGTAAATGTATACAAGGCCTAAAGTGATAGCAATAATGTATTACAGCAAAGAAAAAAAAAACCCAGGTGGCATGTGACATGATGAAAAAAAAAAACAATTTAAAAACCAACCCAGCTTCTCTCTCTCTCCGTGTGCATGTGTGTGTGTGTGTGTGTGTGTGTGTGTGTGTCTATGGGAAAGGGGTGGTTGGATCCTCACTAGGCTGTACTATTTTTCTGAGACAGGGTCTCTCTCTGTTGCCAGGCTGGAGTATAGTGGTACAATCATGGCTCACTGCAGCTTCAACCTTCTAGCCTCAAACGATCTTCCCGCCTTGGCCTCCCAAAGTGCTGGAATTACAGGCATGAGTCACCACACTCAGCTACTTTCCTACATCTTAGCATCGTTCTTCCTATAATGAGTATGTGATGCTTCTGTAAATTTTAAAAAAGGTCTTCACTTATTTTTAAAGAAAGAAATATTGAACAAGTGCTATGCTCATTGCTAGAGGGAAAACAGAAAATACAATTTAAAGATAAGAATTTAAAAATCACAAGTAATTGTACCCCTCTAAGATAACCACTGCTCATACTTTTCCCCCCTTATAAATATCTGGCTGGTCATGTCCTTCTGACAGACATCTCTCTCACAAAGCTGACTTTCCTGTACCGCCTATTAAGACACTTACCACCCTTATCTTTAATTATATTAACTACTGGGCCTCCTAAACACTGAACATAAAGTGACACCTTAAAAGACAAATGTATGA
The DNA here is from genome assembly GCF_000001405.40 of Homo sapiens. NCBI lineage: Eukaryota > Metazoa > Chordata > Mammalia > Primates > Hominidae > Homo > Homo sapiens. Next base: position 86,071,841 of record NC_000002.12, read on the forward strand.
AGGTAACTGCCACCCCATGCATCCTGAAGGGCTCCTCTAAGTAGTACAAAGGAATTATGAAGACTTGGTGAAATCTCTGCCACCCCAAATCTCCTCTAAATCACAACAGATAGCAGGCAGGAGAAAACAACAAATTATTGGAAGTCTAGTTTCTTCTTATGTTGCCCACATTTATGAAACTGCATTAGAAAGTTCATTAAAGAGAGAGGCTAGAAGTAATTAAGAGATACTCCCCAAAACTCTCTCCCCGATTCCTGTTCAGTGAGGTTAAAAGTTTTCTCTCTCTAGCTCAGAGAAGCAGGGAGCAAAACCCTCAAGTGCTACAAAGCAATCTTAAAAGTACCTAGCATGGAGTCCGTCTTTTTGCTCCCGAAGGAATTCAAACCTTCCCCTCCCCATTGCCAAGTCCCATGTTTCCAAGGAGACCTAAACTCTGAGGGTTCCCATGAGCATCTGCCCAGGGCACTGGCTGCTGTCTGACTGCGTCATACAAGCTGAGGTCTTCTTGCTTTAGCCTCTCAAGGGAGAAACTGCCTAGACCTGTGGCCCAAGCCCAATAAGCCAGGCTGGGCCTAGGATTTGAGTCTTGCAAATTTGAGACATCCTCCAGCGTAAGCAAACTCGCCACAGCTGGGAAGGTACACAGGCCAGTCTGGTAGGCACCGGCCAATCCAAACAGAAGCCCTGGAGCACAGGGTATTCCCCTTGCCAACCCAAACCCAAGGCCCTTCCTTTCTCTTGTCTCTAAATAAATACTGCAGTGAAAATTAGCGTGCCCCAGTGCCCCAGGGTCAGAATTTTCAGAGGCAGGCTCGGAGCCAAAGGCCTGCTTCTGGCAGGCTGCTGAGCAGGGCAATGAGCCTTGGCTCTCCGGGCCATTTCCTCTTTTATTTACAAGGCCCAGGGGATGGGGCAGAGCTTTCATACTTCATAGAGGAAATGGGTCCTTTTGGCCTTTCCCCTCCTCACCTAGCCTGTGGTTCCTCCCCGGACGAGACCTCAGTGTTTCCTTCCCATCAACCTCACACAGCCCCTTCAGCCTTGCCCTGACCCATATGCAACACATTAACCAAAGTCTTCAAAAATTACAGGCCAGGAGCAGTGGCTCATGCCTGTAATCCCAGAACTTCGGGAGGCTGAGGAGGGCAGATCTCTTGGGCCTAGGAGTTGGAAACCATCCTTGGCAACATGGTGAAACCCCATGTCTACAGAAAATACACAAACTAGCCACACCTGTGGTCCCAGCTACTCGGGAGGCTGAGTCAGAAGGATCACCTGAGCCCAGGAGGTGGAGGCTGAAGCAAGCTGTGATTATACCACTGCACTTTAGCCTGGGAGACAGAGCGAGACCTTGTCTCAAAAAAAAATAAAATAAAAAAAAAAAAAATGACAGGTTTTGGTGGGTAGCAGACTACAGTCCTCAGGCTGGCCACCTGCTTCTGTAAATAAAGTTTGATTGGAACACAGCCATGCCTATTTGTTTGTGTACTACCTGTGGCTGCTTTGGTATTAGGTGGCAGAGCTGAGCAGCTACAGCAGAGCCTGCATGGCCCAGGACCACAGAAATATTTACTATCTGACCCCAGAGGAATGAGGGCTTGCTAAGGCCTGAGAGAGCAGCAAGAATTCGCTGCCTTCAGTCCCCTCTTTAGCCCTGAGGCTGGCCCCAGCACCTGGCTCACAGTTGCCTCCTGATGACCCCAAACTCTCCCTGCCCACTTGCCCTGCACATTCCCCTCAAACTTGTTTCTTCTTGGACATTATGTGCTTAAAGTCACTGTCTGTCACTGCTGTTCCCTATGGTGTCTACCACACCCCTCCGCAACAGCAATACATTTATATGCTTACTTCCTAGTGGTTCCCCCACCATGCTGTCAACTCCAGGGTGGCGAGGATCCGTCTGCAGGGACTGCAAAGTGCTAGCATGCAGGGGGCATCAGTACTGCCTCATCCCTCACCCCTTCTCCTAGTCTCTTTCTCATCCTTTCCTATTGTGAGTCTGTTTCACATGTTTGACCTGAGTTAAATGTAAGTGAAGTGAAACACACCTTGCTTCTTTTTGCATTGCTCACACAGTGCCTAGCGAAACACCAGGCACTTAGGAAAGGCAGACCGATTCTACGAACCTGAATACAAACCTTACTTCGTGCACTAGAGAAGAACAAAAGAGGTGACTTGATCTATGTTTGCATGTGCCCTGTCACCAAAGGAGAATACAGTAATACAGGCAGTGTATTACTGCTGCCCCTCAGGACGGCGGTGAGAACGAGAGGAAGCAAGAAGGCCTGTGATGAGCAGTGATGGGCACCGCCGCAAGGCCAGGAGCATTTCCTTTTCCTCTCGGTTCCTCCAAAGTTCCTTCAAGGCTGATGCAACTTTGCAGAGGTGAACTCAGTGTTAAAGAAGGGCAGGTCAGCCATGGGTATGGGTGGGCAGAGGGCAAGGAGAGGCCCTCTGTGCAGGTGGGTGAGGAAAATCCAGGCAGTCACCTATTGACTCCGGTAGTCACTTGTGGGTTACATCCAAGTCGAATCCATTTCCCTCCAACAACTGCTGCCACTGTTGCCTAGTTAGGGGTCATCTGCTACTCCCCTCCCAGCAGGAATGGCTATTATGTGACAGAGCCACAGAGCTGTCACCTGCTGATTTCATGCACTCAGCAACATTGTTAATCGATCATGTGCTCCTTCCAGTGGAACCTGATAGAGCCTCAGGATTCCCTACCACAGCACTATGGGCTAGCATTAGCAATTGCCCAAAATGGAAACATTAGTTATAACCTGTTATTTGTTGGTTATCACTGGCACAGAGCACTCCCTTCCTAAGAGTGGCTCTCAAACATCAGCATGCAGAAGAACCCCCTGGAAAGCACGGTAAAGAAAGATTCTGAACTCTATTCTCAGAGATTCAAATTCAGTAGAGGTGGGGGGATGTGCATTGCTCACAAGCTCCAGGGCTGCTGCTGATGCTGGTCTGGGGACTGCCCTTTGAGTAGTCCTGTTTAAGGGCAGCCATTCTTCTGCCCGGAGACTACAAGGTGAATCTAAAAAGCCACCCACGTGTCGGGGAGCTTCCTCCTAGGGATGGGCTCCTGTGTCAGTGCGCACCGGAGCCACACCTGATGGCCACCAATCACCAGAATCCGAACAGGAGCCGGATGGGTCCCTGACCAAAGCTGCCCTTACTCACAATTTTTGTCCCCTGGGGCTTAGGTGCCCCCGTGGCTGGGGTCAGAAGCTGCTTGGCCACGGCCTCTCGCTGGGTCATGTCCACAGCGCTCAGGGCTGTGCGGCTGCCGTCCTCATTGATGACCATGGAGGCTCCTGGGTGCACATTAGGGCCGTTGATGACCGCTTGCCTAAGTTCCTGAACATTCCATGGGGTAACTGGCTGTGGGTAGGTCAGTTTTGTGGCAAACACCTGGAAATGAGGAATGGAGGTAGAAATTCAGGGCAGGGATAAAAAAAGGTCTGATGGACCCCAAATCTGTCTCAACAGGCTGTCTTTTCACCCAAGATGTGGAGGAGCTGTTTGACTTGGCCAAGAAGGTCTTCCAGTGAGCAAAGTAACATCCTGCCTGTCTTCTGCTACTCCCTTAATGGTATAGAGACTAGGCCTCCTTTTCTACCAGTTAGTCTGAGGAGAATAATTTAAGCGCAGCAGTTTATATAATTTTTTTTTCTTTGAGATGGAGTTTCGCTCTTGTTGCCCAGGCTGGAGTGCAATGGCGCGATCTCGGCTCACCACAATCTCCGCCTCCTGGGTTCAAGCAATTCTCCTGCCTCAGCCTCCCGAGTAACTGGGATTACAGGCACACACTACCACACCTGGCTAATTTTGTATTTTTAGTAGAGACAGGGTTTCTCCATGCTGGTCAGGCTGGTAGCAAACTCCCAACCTCAGCTGATCTGCCCGCCTCGGCCTCCCAAAGTGCTGGGATTACAGGCGTGAGCCACCGCGCCCAGCCAATTTTTTCACCCAGTCTAAAACTTCATTTTCTTATCTGCCAATAAATTCAAAGTTCCCAAAGGTGGCATGGGGCACTTCCTTGAGACAGGTGGCAAATGCCTGTCCTCAAATACCCTGACATCCCTCATCTACCCTGGCAGACATCACTAATGCATCATGGTGCTGTCCCTGAGCCCAGACATGGCATCGGAATATCTCAACTCCACAGTTCTGGCAGCCATTACAATCAAGGTGGTACTTGAGATGAAACTGACGCATTCCTCTGATACCTAAGAAAATGCAGTGTGCTGTGTTTAAAGCTGGGCCTGGGATACGCTCCAAGTAAAACAAGTTCCCTGTTAAATGAGTTTTTGAGCTACTGAATATTATAAACCTCTAATGCTTCCAAATGTACACAAATACACCAGAGGCTCTGAGATGTCCTACATAAAGGAACTTGTCTAGCTTTGTACAGGTCCCGCGCAGCAACACTTTCTCAGAAGGCTCCTGGGGCTACCCCAGCCTCTGCGTTCCTCAGCCTGAGCCTGCTCTACTGTTGCTGATGCACTTACCACCCATCACCGTTCAACAGAGCATACATATACTTGTCTATCTATTTACTGTCTGTCTCCACCCCTGGACACTGCTTTATATGGGAGCACATTAGTCTGTGCTTCACTGCTGGTCTCCAGCTCCTTGCTCCTGTGGCACCTGTCAACAGTGCTCTATGGGAAGTGTGTGATCCAAGGGGCCAGAGGCAGTTCTATCCACTCTAATCTTCCCAGCTATCCTGTGAGGAATACCTACGCCCCAGGCCACCATGGCCCTGAGACTTGCAGCAGTCTGCAGGTGGGCAGAGAAGTGACTTCGGGGTCTCTCCTCCAGGGACAAGCCACTACCAAACAAACCCAGATCTAAGAAAGAGAACCCAGCACCTAGAAGATAGAAAAGGCAGCACAAAAGGTCTCTCACAGAGCTGGGGACACTGTAGGCACTATGAAGTCAAGGCCAACAAGGGTGGCCCCTGCCCTGTCCAGAGAGGGCAACCAAAAGTTGCTACATGTCTCCTCGGGACCTCAGATTTGGGAATGTCACCACTGGACTTTGCAAAGCTGGTCCTCACCACATGATCCAGCCTTTGAATGCAAGGACTATGGTTCCCAAGAGGCAGTGGGTACAGGACTGGGCCTTCTCAGACTGCTGTCTCCTGACACATCACGCCTTTGTCCAGGAAACCCAAGTGTGCCACAAAGAGATGAGGCCATGGGGACACAGGATGATCAGAAAGAACACTTCAGCGCTGCTCATCACCAGTCCCCAGAGAGGGGTGGAGGGGGTGGCGTGCAAGGAAATGAGGCTCTCCACGGAGGGAAATTAAACCACCTTCACATTACTGACATAGAGGCCGGCCCATTAAGGAGGAAGCCGATTAAAGGCTGCTGCTGCTGAGCACCACAGCATGAAGTGCTAAGGATGTGAGAAGACGAAGCTAGCTCCCGGAGGGGGTCGGGGGGAGAGCACTAACAGGTGAACAGCAAGCTGCTGACCCTGAGAAGCGAAACAGGACCTGGGCAACATGCACACGCCTCTCTCCGGGACTCACTCCCTTTCCTCTTCCCAGTAACCTGGGGTACACATTTCTGATGCCTGGAAAGTACACAGGACTGATAACTGATATGCCCCATGCCCTCTTCCTCTCCCCTGTCATGTATTCAATTTGGTGAGGAAGGTCAAAAGACTAGGCTGAAGTGGGCAGGAGGAAGCTATGCCGGCGGGGATGTGGAACACCCTGCAGTCAGCTCCCTGGTGCTGACTTGTTGGTAGGAGGTGTCTGTAAGCCTAGCAAGGAGTGACAGCAATGCCATCATGCAGCTTCCAGTCACCTCCTTGTGGGCTGTCCAGGAAGAGGCAGAAGCTAGTTCCGCCCAAGCCAGAATAATCTGCTGCACATCCTGTCCCCAGTCCTCTGCGGCATTCTCATCTGCCACCCACGGGGAGCAAATGAGCCCTGCACGCGCGCGCGCACACACACACACACACACACACACACACACACACACACACACACACCATGGGAATTCCAATTTCGTTGGTGTTGATGTACATGTCTGGGCAGATGACTGAGCGCGCAGCGTAGTCCACTCGCTTTCCCATCATGTGTTTTCGGAACAGGCCTTCTTTCTTCTCCAGGATCTTTATGGAGAAAAAAGGTCATAAAAAACATTCAACAAGAATTCCAGTAGGCTTATTAGTTTCTTGTTTCAATACACAATGTTTATTATTTATCTTCTGTAGCTAGCAATGGGAATCCAGTTTTTTGCTCACCTGCCTAATGCCTGGGTACTTGTCCATCATTAGTTTGTCCATCTCGCTATCAAACACAATATTGACGTGGCTCTGAAGGCGAATCCAAATGTTGTAAAGTTTGTCTATGAGGGACTGGCCTGGAAGTGTACTCAAAAAGGATCGGTCAATAGCAATCAAAGAGTCTTTTTCCTGGAAGATGAAACCAAGAAAACAGGGATGATGGAAAAAAGCTCCAAAAGGCCTGGCTTGATTTAATTTTTCTTTCTTACCCTGGATCTGACAACTATGCACTCTGGAGTTTATCTCCTCTGAACCTGACAGATCAGAGACAAACATGCTAATAAATCAATCTTGTAAGTACATGTCAATAAGACATATCAGCACTATTATATATTTACCAGCCTGTCTCTTTCTAGTAGTAAGATGAACTCAAAATTTATAAGCATGCTTCTTTCTTAAGGCATTTTTGCTGAAATCCCTTAATATGCAATTCCTAAAGAAAACTAAGAAGTCCTTCCCACATCAGTACATTTCTTATGAAGTTCTGTTATCTTGCCAGATAACCAATTCTCACATGCAGTTTCAGTTTTATTTATGGCTTTGAAAAACTTGATCCAAACCAATTACAAACATGCAGGTGGAACAATTTCTTAAAAGGAACTAGGTTTGCCATACGATATTCTATGTCATCAACTAAGATGTGGGTCTCCAGCTGAGCTATATCAAGTTAGTGGCTGATTGCCAAGTCTCATTGGAATATTTAACCAATCCTTTTTTAATATTTTTGCCCCTAGCCCTGTCTCCTCCTCTCTCCCACTCCCTACCCAGGGGACAGAAATACACAGAAGCCTTCAGCTGGCTTAGAGCACCACCTATTGATACTGTCTGGCCACCTACTGGCCCAATCGACTGGGTATGACACAAGGAGACAGATGGTCCCACGTCTTCCAGTGTGGGCAGATAAGAGAAGAAACCTGTCAGTGTCTTGAGGTGGGAGGGTGAGGGTGGGTGAAGATTCAGTAAACGAGAATGTTATGAAAACCCAGTAGTGATGAAGTGGGCTTGTCATCAAACCTGAGGAACACAGGAATCTTCTTTAGCTCTAGGGAAAATAGATGTATTCTACATAAAACACTCAGGGTCCCCTTCTGGCTGGAGTCCCAGAGGGAGATACGATCACCTGCATGATGACCGGGCCCTGTTAGCCCAACTCACTGCTCATGGCATTACCTGGCTCAAGACCAGTGATTGTGAAATGAGTGAGAACTTGTCTCACTGGAGTATCCCCAATGCCTAGACGGTGACTGGCAAGGGCTGCCATGAGGATGGAACACAGAGAGTAAGGGGGGAGAAAAAACACATCCTGTCAATCACAAGGAAAGAGGGCAGTGGGACATAGGAATCAGAGGATGCTATTTGCCCCTCAGAGGCGAAGCATTTGTTTGACAAAGGGGACGACCAATTTTTCTTTTTTTTTTAATTATTGAGATGGGGTCTAACTCTGTTACCCAGGCTGGAGGGCAGTGGTGCGATCACAGCTCTCTGCAGCCTCGACTTCCCTGGCTCCAGTGATCCTCCCACCTCAGCCCCCTGAGTAGCTGGCACCATAGGCATGAACCACCATGCCCAGCTATTTTTTGTATTTTTGGTAGAGACAGGGTTTCGCCATGTTGCCCACCTGGTCTAAAACTCCTGGGCTCAAGTGAACCTCCTGCCTCAGCCTCCCAAAGTGCTGGGATTACAGGCTTGAGCTATCATGCCTGGCCAGGCTGCCCGATTTTTAAGGGACATCAACCCTGGTCACTGGGTACAGTTATCCCATGGTCTTTTCTTGGAAACTGCACTAAGGCATGCACATGGCTGATGTCTTTTACACTAAGGAGTTTTTAAAAGCACACCAATGCGGGCCGATCAGGAAACAAGCAAAACCACAGAAAGCCCCAAGTGTAACCTGCACCATAAGTGTCCAAGAGACAGTGGCGCCACCTTGTGATGGGCCTGGCAGACAGCGGGACTGTCGCAGCGGCTGGAGTCTGAGAACCCGGACTGTCTACCCAAGGCTGCCTATTTGCATCCAGAGAGTACTTTAGAGCTGGGAAGGATCTTGATGACCTCAGCAAGCTTCCTGGGTGCCCAATTCACCTTTGTACCCACTGAACACCTACTAATTAACCCGGCACACAGATGGGGCTCAGGAAATGTTAGTTGAAACTGTCCTATTCTGAGAGGAATTTCCACTCTGCAATACTGCCTTCCTGACCCCAATGCTGGAGACATTAACGTGTCCAAAATAGAGCTGGCAACATGAGCTCTAGTACTGTGACCCAAAAGGGACACTCTTAAAGCCTGAGGGAAGTAGGCTATTCTTTCTAGAGCTGCGAGAGCTGGTAGCCCGGAACAGCCTAGGTGTGAAATCTCACCACAAATCACATGCACTTTATAGCAGACACTAGTATAAGGAAGTGACTCAACTAGGGTCACCTGGCATGGTCGTTCGGTGTAGAAGCTAGACCAGAACCCACACCTTTCCATGCTCAGACCCATGTGTGTCCCCCTAATGTTCCTAGGTGCCCCCTAAGCCCAGAGCTCACACTAAGGCTGCTGCCAGCTGCACAGAACATCCCAGGAAGCATCTCCCAGACCCAGTGTCTACATCCACAGCTCACAGAGTTAGCACTAAGCATGTGTGCTCATCACATCAGCAACAGAGCAGCCCTGACCTCATCTGTAGTGGGTGTGGCCACTTCCTCTGGCAACTTCTGTTCTTGGGCCATCAATGCCAGAAGTTTTCGAATCAGAACTACATCCTTCATGACAGCCTGCAAGTTCACCGTCTGGCCATTAGTAAACATCTGGTCTCCTAGGCGACTGACTGGGCGATACCTGCAGGGGGACATACGGAATAAATGAATGTTTAGTGTGAGGAAAGGGTCATGTTCTTCAGCCTCTCACCCATGCCTACTGTAGGGAGCACACCCCACCATGCTCAAAACAACCAACCTTCCTAACCAACATTCCGGCTGGGTGTGGTGGCTTAAGCCTGTAATCCCAGTACTTTGGGAAGCCATGGCAGGTGGATCACTGGAGGTCAGGAGTTCGAGACCAGCCTGGCCAACATGGTGAAACCCCATCTCTATGTAAAATACAAAAATTATTTGGGTGTGGTGGTGCGTGCCTGTAATCCCAGCTACTCAGGAGGCTGAGGTAGGAGAATCACTTGAACCCAGGAGGCAGAGGTTGCAGTAAGTCAAGGTCATGCCACTGCACTCCAGCCTGGGAGACAGTGCAAGACTCCACTTCAAAACAAACAAACAAAAACAACCAACATTCCTATTGCGTTCACAACAAACGGGAAGGAAAGCAAGCCCTCCCACCACCTGCACCTGGAGCGGAACTGCAGCTTTGTCTCTCAGTGCCCTTGGCCCTTTCACCTCTCCTAGAGGTCACATTTCAGTTCCTTAGTACGCTTTTTTTCAGGTGAAATAAGTTAATTAAAGGGTATTACCTTGAGGGCGGCACCACCAAGAAATCTAGAAAGAACACACTGGGATTGAATCTGGATTCCATACCATCATCATCCATTCCCGAAAAAAGGTAGTTCAGAAAGAATCCTGCGTTGGAAAGAAATAAACCAAGAAGACCATTTAAATCTATCACTAAGGGCATGGGAGGACAACCATAAAAATATTACTGAGTGAGGAAAAAACAGAATACAAGATAATATGTAGAGTTAAGGTCACAGTTTTCTTTTTTGAGAAAAGGTCTCACTCCTGTCGCCCAGGCTGCTGTGCAGTGGTGCGATCATGACTCACTGCAGCCTTGATCTCCCAGGCTTAGGCAATCCTGCCACCTCAGCCTTCCAAGTAGTTGGGACTACAGGTGCGTGCTATCATGTCCAGCTAATTTTTGTATTTTTTTTTTTAAGAGATGAGGTTTTGCTTGGTTGCCCAGGCTGGTCTCGAACTCCTGGGCTCAATTGATCCACCTGCCTCAGCCTCCCATATTGCTGTGATTGGAGGCATGAGCCAACGTGCCTGGCCTCATTTTTCTTTATAAAAACAAAAAATAGCCCCTGTGTACATGACAGTTTGTATGCAGGGGATATGATAGCATAAAAATGGGTACTACAGGGACAATAGCTCTTAAACCAGGGACTGAGATGGGCAAGGATGGGGAAGAAACTTCACTTGTTTTTAATCACCCTCCTGGACTATTAAAACACAGACAGCACACACATCATTACTTTGATCTTCATAAAAAATATGTTGAATAAAAAAATTTTTTTTTAAGTTAGCCTCCTCCCACCCCTAACAGTTACTGCCAAGAAAGGATCTTCTGTGGATCAAAGCTTTATTTCAGGTTTCTGGTTACTTTAAAAAATGCCTAGAGAAAAAGATTAAAATGTACTAGGGCCTGCCACAGAAGCAATCATACTAACTCCAGTGCTTTTTTTTTTTTCTGATACCTCTTTAACAACATGTTCATTTGTAAGCGCTTATTACACAGAGGTTATAGTCAGCGTTCCACAACATACTCTCACAAGGGCTTGAATATACTGCGTAGGTTTTGTTATACACTCAAAAGGAAAGAAGGATTTCCCTTATAGTAAAGTCCCAATTTAAATAAGACAGAGTTCATTCTTTGATTCACAGAAGGACAAAGCATTTTACTTACGGGCATTTAAAATAAGTTACACTGAACCTTCTAAAAATATGCCAACCTGTATTAAGTGAGGCCCACCTGCAGTTGTCATTTCATAACCAGGCTCAGCTGCGATAATTGTCAAGTTTTTGGTGCTGGGTATGACCTCTCCTGCTCTATGACTCAATGTCAATGTGCCCTGAAGACTGCCCCAAACCTCTGGATCAGTTCCAGGAGGAAGCTACAATCACTACAACTTAAAAGAAGTAATAAGGCAGGGTTAATGAGTCCAGGAAATAAAAGCCTAGAGAAGATCAAGGCTATTTCTTTAGCCTGATACAGCACCTTCATTCTTCCACAGGGCAGAAAGGTGTTCGCGGGCACTGGTGGGTGTTAAGTATCCTCGTTTTCCTATCTGAGCTTCCTCAATTCCTGGAGCCAAGGAGGAGAATCAAAGTGCAATAAATCAGAAACAGGTACTCTTTCTGCAATGGGATTTATCAATTCTTTATCCCCAAGCCTGCAACTTGACCACAAAAATCAATCTCAAGGGTAGCATATTATCAGGCCTGGATTCCCTCTGGCCCTTAATCTCATTTCTATAGTAATAAAAACCATATGGCTATTGTATAAAACCTAAAAAAAAAAAAAAGCAAAGTAAAAGAAAACATTACCCATAATCCCATCACATTAACAACTCCTATCACTTTTATATATTGTTTTCCAGGCCTTTTTGTCTATACACGTATTTTACACAACTGTAATCTTCAGTGTGGATTTATTTTGCACACTACTTTGCCCTTTTAGTATCATCTCATCAGCATGTCTGCATGTTGCTATGTAGCTTTTGCCTGATCACCATTTTTCATGGCTATGTGATATTCCATTAAGGATGATTCCTAATTCACTTAACCATATTCTCATAATTGGACATCTGGATTGATTTCCATATTTTGCTATTATAAGTAACATTATAATAAATATCTTTATCTACCTGTTTTTTACCAGAAAAGTTCATATAAGTTGAATTATGGATAAATAAGTATTTTTATAGGTAAATATATACTGACTTCTTTTTACAAATATCATACTGGTGTGTGAGGAATAGATTGGGCTTGGTTTCTCACACTAAGCAAGATCACTCTGGGATGCCATCTACCAGCAATACCCAGGTTACATGAGAAAACGAGGCTTGGGACTGCCATTCAGGAGGTAGGGACCAGGCATTTAAGATGATTACCTAAGACAAGTAAGTAGTGTGTCTTTCAGGTTCAAAACTTTCTGGGCACTTTGGGAGGCCAAGGCAGGCAGATCACCTGAGGAGTTTGAGACCAGCCTGGCCAACACAGGGAAACCGTGTCCCTATGAAAAATACAAAAATTAGCCGGGCATGGTGGTGGACGCCTGTAGTCCCACCTACTCGGGAGGCTGAGGCAGGAGAATGGCGTGAACCCAGGAGGCGGAGCTTGCAGTGAGCGGAGATTGTGCCACTGCACTCCAGCCTGGGCAACAGAGCGAGACTCCGTCTCAGAAAAAAAGAAAATACTGGACATGACTGTAATCCCAGCTACTAGGGAGGCTGAGACAGGAGAATCGCTTGAACCTGAGAGGCAGAGGCTGTAGGGAGCCGAGATCGTATCGCTGCACTCCAGCCTGGATGACAAAGTGAGACCCTGTCTCAAAAAAAAAAACACAAAACAAAACAAAACAAAAACCCCAAAAAGCTTTTCTGGATACATCCACTGAAACTAAGCATTACTCAATGTTCCTTTTTTATTCACATATCAGGACAGGCACTATGCCTTGTCTGTGTTCCTAACACTTGACAGGGTGTCTAGCTCACAGCAAATTCTAAGTTAAGAGTATACGGCTCAAATATAAAATAGCCTAAGATAGTCTACACTTAAAAACACCACTCTTGCCTTTTCCTTTTTTTTTTTTTTTTTTTCAAGACGGAGTCTTGCTCGTCACCCAGGCTGGAGTGCAGCGGCACGATCTCAGCTCACTGCAACCTCCGCCTCCCAGGTTCATGCGATTCTCCTACCTCAGCCTCCTCCATTTTTAAAAACTAGCTTCATTCCACCTCCAATTCTCCAGCTAGTTTCTTTAAAATCTGCAGAGGATATGTCATCATAAGTTTTTAGAGAAATCCCTAACTTGGAGAACAATTAACAAATGCACCATAATTTAAGTAGTCTCTGTTAATAGGTATTTAAGTCATGTCCAGTATTTTCTTTTTTTCTGAGACAGAGACTTGCTCTGTCGACCAGGCTGGAGTGCAGTGGCACGATCTTCGCTCACTGCAAGCTCTGCCTCCTGGGTTCACGCCATTCTCCTGCCTCAGCCTCCCGAGTAGCTGGGACTACAGGCATCCACCACCACGCCCAGCTAATTTTTTGTATTTTTAGTAGAGACGGGGTTTCACCGTGTTAGCCAGGATGGTCTGGATCTACTGATCTTGCAATCCGCCCGCCTCAGCCTCCCAAAGCGCTGGGATTACAAGTGTAAGCCACCGTGCCCGGCCCATGTCCAGTTATACACTATTCAAACAACACTGTGAGTATTCTAATTCCTTAGGATAAAGTCATCAAAGCAGAACTGCTAAGTCAAGGAGTCTGCATGTTTAAAGTTTTGATGTCGATAAAAGCAGAATATTTCAATGAGTTAACGCAACTGAAGGAAGCATGGGTATGCAATGAAGAATGGCCTTGACCTTCAGGGATAACCACAGCATTAGAAAGCTACATATGTTCAGTGGGAGAAAACAGACCCCATTAACCTGCATTTTGTGGGCATTTCTGAAAATGAGTGTCTGAACTTTCTCTTCTACTAAATAGGTTGGAAATGCTGAAGAAGATCGGTCGAATCTCCTCAGCTCCTGTCCCAGCAATGCCCCCACTGCAGTTTAGTCACCGTGAAGGCAGAGGCTGTTCTTCAATCACAGGATCTTAAAGTCAGAAGAGAGCTGTGGAAGCCCATCTCCTCACATGCGCTGCATCCCCTCCTAACAAGAACTTCTGCAGCTTGCAACAATGCCTTCTGCCTAGCTGGGATTTCAGAGCATCTTGAATGTGTCTTTCTTTCAGCTGTAAGAGGTGCCATAGGAAAAAGGGATTCAGAGGTCAAATAACCTGGGATCACAATGGCTGGAAGTGTCTTGGCTATATGAATTCTCATTTTAAATGTTAATGTGCCTTGTGGGGCTCAGGGGGGCACATGGAGCACAGGGAGCGCACTGGAGCAGCACGTGTGGCATTTCACAAGCTGACAGCGCTCCTTGTGGGATCACCAGTCCATGGGGACTACTCAGGCACAGCCCTCACTTTTTTTTTTTTCTTTGAGATGGGGTTTCGCTCTTGTTGCCCAGGCTGGAGTGCAATGGCACAATCTCGGCTCACTGCAACCTCCGCCTCCTGGGTTCAAGCGATTCTCCTGTCTCAGCCTCCTGAGTAGCTGGGATTACAGGCGTGCGCCACCACACCCGGCTAATTTTTTTTTTTTTTAGTAGAGACAGGGTTTCACCATGTTGGTCAGGCTGGTCTTGAACTCCTGACCTCAGATGATCTGCCTGCCTCCTGACTTCAGATGATCCGCCTGACTCGGCCTCCCGAAGTGCTCGGATTACAGGCGTGAGCCACCACTCCCAGCCTAGCCCTCACTTTTTGATTCCCTCTGATACCAGGAACATGGTCAGACCCACGCTGAGGCTGCTCACTTTCCTCCACATCACCTGCTCCCCAGGGTTACTGATCTGTGTCACTTGCAGCCCCTTCAGAGAGCAGAGACCACATGGTCTGGTCTGTGTCCTGGCATTGTGCTCATCACAAACATGGTCCTTGGCATAATGCTGAGCACCCAACAAATAAATGTGTGCTAAATACTGAATACCCAAGCCTGGAGCTGTAGAAGACTATGGTCTACTTGTTTCTAATGCACAGACTTTTGGTTGCACCATCATATTTGCGTGGCTGCAATGAAAGATGACTTTAGAAGAATGGGTTTGGTGAAGGCATTGAAAGGCTACTTACCTGCCGGACATTTGCCCCACGAAAACTATCTTCTAGAAAGAATTCTGACCATCTTTGTTCTCAATCTATGAACATTTTATAAGGCATCCTAAGGGCTACAGAAGCAATTCCCAACTGGTAATACAAGAAAATTGTTTTGAGGGCAATTTAATGGTTAAGTGTAGGAAAATCCACTCTTACAGTGTTAACTACCAACCATGAAACAAAATTAAAAAGGCTTTCTAAATGCAGTGTGGTATCCTGGGTTGGATCCTGGAGCATAAAAAGGAAATTACTGGAAAACCAGCAAAATTTAAAAAGTCTGTAGTTTAGATAATAGTGTTGCACCAATGTTAAACTCAGTTTTGACAAATGCACCATGGTAATCTACTATGTTATACAGTAGGGCAAATGAAGTAAACAGTATTAAGGAATTCTCTGTACTATGTTTACTACTCTTCTATTAAGTCTAAAAATTATCCTAAACTATAACATTTTAAAAAAATATTAAACAGGTTTTTCATTTAGTCCAGGCCATGCCAGAGTGTTCAATGTAAAACATACATCATGCATCTCCAGGAGGGGATCTTATTTCCATGCTTATCCCATATTCTCAAACCCTGGTGAAAGGTTTAGTAACAGTATCTGCTATGGACTGCCATGCATGTAACTTCCTCAATTCTAGGCAAGAGGCTTTAGGAATGCCATTATATAGAGTTAGAAATGGAAACGCCTCAAAACAGCCTTCTATCTGCCACTCAGAAAAAGTGGCAGAGCCAAGTGACAATTGCAGGTTGTGCTTTTTCTTTCTTTTTCTGAGACGGAGTCTTGCTCTGTCACCCAGACTGGAGTGCGGTGGCACGATCTCAGCTCACTGCAGAGTGCGCCTCCTGGGTTCAAGCGATTCTCCTGCCCTAGCCTCCTGAGTAGCTGAGATTACAGGTGCCCGCCACCACGCCTGGCTAATTTTTGTGTTTTTAGCAGAGATGGGGTTTCACCACGTTGGCCAGGCCGGTCTTGAACTCCAGACCTCAAGTGATCTGCCTGCCTCAGCCTCCCAAAGTACTGGGATTACAGGTGTGAGCTACCGTGCCCAGCCAGGTTATGCATTTTCTACCCTGGAACACTGATGACATAATAAGAAATGAACAGTTAACATTTACATAGCACATATTACACAGCAGGTACCGCTCTCAGTGCTTCTCTTGGAATACTCTATTTAATCTTCTGACCACTTCAGAATAAAAACCAAAAAACATTTTTAAATAAGCCTATGACTATAAAAATTAAAAAGTGGGAGTATTAAGTTATCTCAAAATTTTTCCCAAGCAGAGCTTGGGTAGGGCAGAGCTGAGGAAAGAATTCTACCTGGGGGGATCTGGGTGGACAGCCAGGAGTAGCCTGCAGGAGGCGCTCATGTTTTGCTGAATTCTTGCAGTTTTTCTTAAAAATTATTCGCCTACATTTTATTCCAAAATAGATCCACACTTGTTTTACAGTAAAATGTTTCAAAATATTTGTCAGGTAAATTTCTTAATTTCTTCCTGAAAAACCTTTCAGAAAAACGACCACCTAAGGCAAGAGGCGCCTGTGGGGCACTGCCTCATAAAACAGCCCCTCCCATCAGCTCTCCCATGTGAGAGGCCTGAGCTGGGCGCTTGCCAGGGTCCCCTCAGGCCTGAGAGGCCTGCACACTGTGCCTCTGCTGGCCCCTCCCAAATGCAGCAGAGAAACACGTGGTGAGGAGAACCAGGTATTCCCAGGGTTTAGGACACATCTGCTGGCCTCACATGGAGCTCCTCTCCAGACCCAGCCTGCTCACCCAGGGGCTCAGAGTCCTTCTGGCCAGCTGTCCTGTGCACCATGGCTGGAAACGTGATAGTCAACTTGCTGTTGTGTTCCTTTCGGACAACGGATCGCCCGGTCCTGTGCAGGAGGACAGTTGTGATTGAAGAGAGAAAAAACCCAGTAAGATATTTAATAATAGCAATGAGTGACTGCCCAGAGACGTCTCACCTGGCGCAAGGGCCCTGATACTTACTTGCAGTGGGGACAGCGCTTAGCATTCATATGTGCCTTCCAGAAGAGAGCAATGAGCTTGCTCTTGCTCTCACACACGTTCTTTACCTGTTTTTTTAAAAAAAGTCAGAGAACCTTGGAGTGCCATTTTGAAGAGAATCCAATATATTTACTTTATGGTTTTCACCTTTTATTTTTAACCAGCGGAAACACCCCCACCACCACTTTCTTAAACAAAATCTTCCATAGAACCCTAATACACTTGAGCTCTGACAATTACTGAGTGACTTCTTTAAGCCTTCAGTTTCTCAATTATAATATGGGAATAAGAATAGTAACCACCTCAGTAAGCTCTTACTAAGACAAAGAATCATGAATGCAGTGGGGGCTTGAAATACAGCCAGTACTCAATAAGTGCTAGTTACTTTCACTTGTAAAAGGAAGCCCTCTGGATGCAGCTGGCCTGCCTCAGAAGGACCTCAGGGTTCTAAGGAAGGCACATCCACAGTCCAGCCACATGAGTGGCTCTGCACCTGGCAGCAGATGGGAATCATCTGGGAGCTTTTGTAACTCCACTTGGACCCTACCCCAGACCAATTAAATCAGCATCTCTGGTGTGAAACCAAGGCATGAAGTGAAGCAGATTCCAAGACTAGTATCACAGGTGAATTATCTACCCATTCATTCATTCGTTGAACAAATTAATACTTAGGCAGTATATGAAGGGGAGAATAAGGTAGCAGTGGGTTAGAGAGAAGTGTTGGAGAAGGAAAAAAAGACCTGCTGCCATTTTTTAAGAAGAGGCTTGCTGGATGCTATACCGAAATCATATGTCACATAATCCTCTCATTGGTCCTGCAGGCAGGCATTAGAGATTAGATAGTGGACACTCAGGGACAGTTGTGTAATTTGTGAGGTTGCAGGTCTCACAAGAGACAGAGCTCAGATGCAAACTCAGGTCTACTTTGGGAAGCCAGAAGTATATGCAAAGGACAACACAGAGGGAAAGTGATAAAATGATGCCCAAAACAGCATGGGAGAAAGACAGTGTTAACTCACATGTGCGCCCTGGGACCCCAGGAGGTTGTTCTGCACAATTTCAGTTGTGTATTGTTCTAATTCCTCCCGAATTTCAGAGGCAGAGGGATCGGGATTTTCTTCCAGAAACTGGAAAACAAAGAGGAAAACTCCATTATCACAGTAATGTACACCTCTGATGAGCAGCACAACTGGGACCAACCTCTCCAAGGGTGGAAAAGATTCATTTGAAGGGAGAAAAAGAAACTATGGCTACTGTGTTGCACTTTCAAAAGAGTGAGACAGCATCGCTGTTGAAAAAAATCAAACAAGGTCAGGCGTGGTGGCTCACACCTGTAATCCCAGCACTTTGGGAGGCAGAGGCAGGCGGATCACTAGAGCTCAGGAGTTTGAGACCAGCCTGAGCAACATGGTGAAATCCTGTCTCTACCAAAAGTACAAAAACTTAGCCAGGTGTGGTGGCATCCACTTGTGGTCCCAGCTACTTGGTAGGATGATGTGAGGAGATCGCTGGGAGGGGAATGTTGCAGTGAGCCAAGATTGCACCACTGCACTCCAGCCTGGGTACAGAGCCAGACACCATCTCAAAAAAAAAAAAAAAAAAAAAATCAAATGAGAACATCCTACGTCCAATAATGGTGGGCTAGATTCCCCAGACCAAACCTAAGACTGCAAAGAGCCAAGATAGGTTAAAATATTTTTAAAACCTTAATGTTCTGAAGAGCCGACAGGACAGTGAGGAATAAATAACCAGAGCAAACTAAAGGGGAACTAGGAATCTAGCAAGATGAAAGAGCATGCAGCCACATGCGCTGATGCAGGGCTTTGGTGCTGTGCTGAAGCAGGACATCACTTGGTATACTCATGTGCCCCAGGGAATATGCCTATGATGCTCCCCAGGAGCCCTGGCCTTGAGTGCATTTTCCAATGCAGCAATTTTGAACTTTTTATTCACAAACTCTCAAATGATGTAGGAAACAGAAATGAAAGTCTTAACCTAAGCTGGGCACAGTGGTGCCTCTGTAGTCCCAGCTACTCCAGATGCTGAGGCAGGGGCTCGCTTGAGCCCAGGTGTTTGAGGCTGCAGTGCGCTATGATCGTACCTGTGAATTGCCACTGCACTACTCCACTGCTTGCCTAAGCCACACAGTGAGATCCTGCCTTTAAAAAGAACAAATTTAAAAACCTAAAGCTTTTTTAGTATAAGGTTAGAAATCTAACAGGAAGCCATCATTCTTCACCCCCCAACACATAAACATAGTAAGCCGGAACACAAAGGACTATACTCTCAGGAACTACCAGCCCTTGTACAATCACTCAGGCCATCCAGGGAGCTTTAAGCGTTGAACCTGGATAATGACAGTCCCAAGTTGGCATCAGTGCCATGCACACAGCAGAAGCAATGAGAATCTTCTCTGGAGAAGGCAGCGTCATCCTAGCCCTCAAATTATTCCCATAAATAATTTTTATTTTTACATTTATTTTTATAATTATTAGAAAACTAGAGATAGCATCTTGTTATGTTGCCCAGGCTGCTCTTTAACTCCTGGGCCCAAGCAATCCTCCCACCTCAGCCTCCCAAAGTGCTAGGATTACAGGCATTATCCACTGTGTCCAGCCCCAACAAAGAATTTTTAAAGGTCAATGACAGACAAACTGTCAAAAATAAATACACAAGGGGACAGGGAAAGGAGGGAGGGTTTTTGGGGACATAAACAATATGCTGACATTGAACTGGACTGTAAGGGTGATAGTTACTTTGTATTGGACTGTACATATAATTAATGCATTTCTGTATATATTTTACAAAAAAAAGTTTAAGGTATAATAGTAGGCACCATGAATAATTTTATGCCAATAAATCTGAAACTTTAAATGAAATGGGGAAATTCCTAGAAACATGTAACTTACTGTGAGCGCTGGTTTAAGAAAATCCTTTCTTTCTCTCTCTCAATCTGTCTTTCGGACAAATTTGACCATGAGTTAACTTTTTAGCTCTGTTCCCTCATAAATGCAATAAAAGTAGAAATAGGCCGGGCACGGTGGCTCACACCTGTAATCCCAGCACTTTGTGAGGCCAAGGCAGGCAGATCACCTGAGGTCAGGAGTCCAAGACCAGCCTGGCCAACATGGTGACACCCCATCTCTACTAAAAATACAAAAAATTAGCTGGGCATGGTGGCGTTTGCCTGTAGTCCCAGCTACTCAAGGAGGCCGAGGCAGGAGAATCGCTTTAGCCTGGGAGGCAGAGGTTGCAGTGAGCCAAGACTGTGCCACTGCACTCCAGCCTGGGTAACAGAGCAAGACTCTGTCTCAAAAAATAAATAAATAAAAATAAATAAATAAAAGTGGAAATGTCAGTTGTGTTATTAGGCAACACTACTGATGGTAAAAATGACCCCAATTGGTTAGGCTACATCTGGACTGGAAAGACTACAGCTCTGAGCTTCCCTGGGTCCTAGCTGGGCATATCCTACGGTCCCTGGAAGCACAGCCCATGGAACTGTTAGAAACGATATTGATTCCTTTCTGGGAGATGGGGCCTCTAGGCCAGGGGGGCTCCCATAGCCGCTGATGTGATCTCGTTCCTTTGCGTTTGAGCAGTCGTCTGTCATGTGGGGAGCCAAAGACAACTAGTCCCTGTGAGGACACCTGCTGAAGAGAAATGTGTGACACTGCCCTGCTGGCATACTATGTCTCCAATCTCCTCCAGGGCGTTTTAAAGAGAGAATTATCTAACTCGGCTGGGCACAGTGGCTCATGCCTGTAATCCCAGCACTTTGGGAGGCCAAGGTGGGTGGATCACTTGAGGCCAGGATTTCAAGACCAGCCTGGCCAACATGGTGAAACCCTGTCTCTACTAAAAATACAAAAATTAGCTGGGCGTGGTAGCATATGCCTATAATCCCAGCTACTTGGGAAGCTGAGGCACCAGAATCACTTGAACCCGGGAGGTGGAGGCTGCAGCGAGCCAAGATTGTGCTGCTGCACTCCAGCTTGGGCAACAGAGTGAGACTCTCTCTCAAAAAAAAAGAAAGAATTATGTTACTTATTTTATGAGGCTGACATAATCTAGATACCAAAACCCAAAAAGACAATAGGAGAAAGGAAATGTAAACCAATCTCACTCATGATTACAGAGGCAAAAATCCCAAGTAAAATATTAAGAAATCAAATCCAACAACATATTAAAAAGGTAATATATCATAAACAATTTGGGTTTATCCCAGGAATCCCAGGTTAATTTAACATTAGGAAAGGAATGGAGTCATTCACCATGTTAGCTGGTTTAAAAGGAGCCAAATTATCTGAAAATTTCAGTATATATTGAAAAGGTATTTGATAAAATGTAATATTTAGCCACCACAGCAAAATAGGAATACAAAGGAGCTTCCTTAATCCGATTAAAAGCTCAGTAAACACCATACTTAATAGTGAAATGTCGAAAGGGTTCCCTATTTTAAGGGTATAATTTATTTATATTTTGAAACAATCTCAAATTTATAGAAAAATTCCAAGTATTTCCAGAAATCTATCTTTCTTGAACCATTTGACAGTACACTGCTGATCTGATATACCAACAACCCCAAATACTTTGGTGAACATTTTCTATAAACATGGACACTCACAAATATGACCGTGATACGATCATCAAAAAATGGTAACTTAGCACTGATAAATTATTACCTTCTAATCCTCAAACAACATTCAAATTTTGCCAACTCCTTTAATAATATCCTTTACAGGCTGGGAGTGATGGCTCATGCCTGTAATCCCAGCACTCTGGGAGGCTGAGCCAGGTGGATCGCTTGAGGTCAGGAGTTCAAGGCCAGCCCGGCCAAAACAGCAAAACCCCATCTTGACTAAAAAAATACAAAAATTAGCCGGGTGTGGTGGTGCATGCCTGTAGTTCCAGCTACTCGTGAGGCTGAGGTGGGAGATCGCTTGAACCCCGGAGGCAGAGGTTGCAGAGAGCCGAGATAGTGCCACTGTACTCTAACTTGGATAACAGGGCCAGACTCTGTCTCAAAATAATACTAATGTCCTTTACAGCAAAAGTATCCAGTTTAGAGCCATCTGTTACACTTTTTAGTCTCCTTTGTTTAGAATAGTTCCTTAGTCTTTAACTTTAGTCATTAGCAGTTTTGAAGATTAAAGGCAAGTTTTATAGAATATCCCTCGATTGCGGGCATGTCTGATGTTTCCTCATGATCAGATTCGGCTAACACATCTTTGGCAGGAATATCCAGAAGCGATGTTGTGTTCTTTCAACTGGTCCCATCAGGTATGCTTCACTTTGATCACTTGAATAAAGGGGTGACTGCCAGGCAAGAAGTCTTTTCCATGGTAAAGTTATTCTCTCTCTCTGACCTTTGTAATTAAAAAAGACTATGTGTGTGTATGGGAGGGAGGGTACTTTGAAAGTGCGTTAGTAGCCTGTTAAACTTTCAGTCACTCAATTCATTCTTTCATTTATATCAACATAAAAGTAGGTTCATGGATTCCTACTTTATTCAATGGGTTATAATCACTTAGTATCATCATTTATTATGATGCTCAAACTGTCCTAGATTTGGCCAGTGTGGGCCCTTCACACAGGCTTTTGTGCCCTTTGGACATGTCCAATCGTTCTTTGAGCACATACTTCCTTTCTGGCATGTGACATTCCAGGCTGGTCTTGTACTTTCTCTGTCCCAGCTCTAGATCAGCTATTTCTCCAAGAAGCTTTTTTAGTGGAGAATGGTATTTAGAAAACAAGAAGGGGGTGCTAGGTGCTATCACTCCTCTGAGCCCTTTCAGGGACAGGGCCAGGGGAAAATACATGTGTACACACACTTTACACCCGAACTTTTAATTCCATTTTAACAATACAGGATTAATTCTGTCTTCTCTCTTTCATATATTTGTAACTCTCTTCTCTGATAGTTAAAACCTGGCCCCCATTATCCTTAAGTATGTATTCGATCAATTAAGTACTTATTCATCAACATCTCTCTCTCTCCCCGTATGTAACCACTCTCCCACCACTGCCACTGTCATCCCCTCCTCGGTGTGGAGCCCTCACCCAAATTGGGCTCAAGCTCCACATGAGCCCACCCTCCTTGTGGACCCCTCCTTATCATATTTGGGCTCATACATCCCATGCTGGGTCACCCTGCACAGGCACCCTCTCACCTGATTTGGGCTCTCACACTCTAAGCTGTGCCTTTATCTCCAAATGAACATCCTCCTTACCCTATTCGAGCTCTGGTATTCCGCACAGGGCTGCCCACATGTGCAGGGATCCCCTCTCACTCTGCTCTGGCTGAGTCCCTGTGCAGGGACACCCTTCCCACGAAGCTTTGCTCACTCTGCTGTGGCTCAGACACCACATACTAGGCCATGTCTCTTTGGGGAATCCCAGCTTGCTCTGCCCACCTAATGTCTTCGGGACTGAAGCATCCAAGAAGAGGGAGGAGAAGAGGAAAGGGGAACAACTTTTCTATGTGACAAGAAATAAGACAAAGATACCCACTACCACTTCAACACAGTAATGTAGATCCTAGCCATCAAAAGAAAACATACAAGGCTTGGAAAGGAACAAAAAGGCCAGTATTTGCAGATAGGATTGTATTGAAAATCTAAAAATATCTACAGATAAACTGTCAGAATTGATGAGACAATTTTGCCACGTTGCTTCAAAAATAATCAATAACATTTTTACATATCAACAAACAAAATGAAATTTTAAATAAGGTATTTTTAATAGCACCAGAAATTCTAATGTAAATATTAACTATGAAAAAGTATCTCTTTACAATAGAGATCTGGTCATCCCCACTTTATCCAAAAGTAACCAGCCAGAGAAATTAGGCAAGAGAAAGAAAAGGCATCCAAACTGAAAAGAAGGATGTAAAAATGTCCCTGTTTACAGATTACATATTCTTTTCTTTTTTTTTTTTTTTGAGATGGAGTCTTGCTCTGTTACCCAGGCTGGAGTGCAGTGGCGCGATCTTGGCTCACTGCAAGCTCTGCCTCCTGGGTTCACGCCATTCTCCTGCCTCAGCCTCCGGAGTAGCTGGGACTACAGGCGCCTGCCACCACCCCCAGCTAATTTTTTTGTATTTTTAGTAGAGATGGGGTTTCTTCGTGTTAGCTAGGATGGTCTCGATCTCCTGACCTTGTGATCCACCTGCCTCGGCCTCCCAAAGTGCTGGGATTACAGGTGTGAGCCACTGCACCCAGCCGACATAATCTCATATATAGAAAAACCTAGACTCTACCAAAAACCTCTTAGAACTCATAAACAAACTCAGTAAAGTTGCAGGATAAAAAAAATCAGTAGCACTTTTATACACAAACAATGAATTAGCTGAAAAAGAAATCAAGAAGGCAATCCCGTTTATAATAGCTACCAAAAAAATACCTAGGAATAAATTTAACCAAGGATGTGAAAGACTCTTGGAAAACTGCAAAACAGTGACGAAAGAAACTGGAGAGGATACAAATGGAAAAACATCCCATACTTATAGATCAGAATAATTAATATTGTTAAAATTACTACACTACCCAAAGCAATTTACAGATTCAGTACAATCCCTATCAAAATACCAATGACATTCTTTGCAGAAACAGAAAAAAAAAAATTGTAACATTTGTATAGAACCATAAAAGACCCTGAATGGCCAAAGCAATCTTGAGTAAAAAGAACAAAGCTGGAGGCATCACACTACCAGAATTCAAAATATACTACAAAGCTGTAGTAACCAAAACAGTAGGATACTGGCATGAAAACAGAAACAAAGGCCAATGAAAACAGGGAACCCAAAAATTAATCTGCATATCTACAGCCAACTGATTTTTGCAAAAGGTGCCAAGAACATACACTGGGGAAAAGGACAGTGCCTTTAATAAATGATGCTGGGAAAACTAGATATCCATATGCAGAAGAATGAAACTAGATCTCCACTGCTCCCCTCTACAAAAGTCAACTCAAAATTGATCAATGACCTAAATATAAGGTCTGGAAAAATATTTTATGAATCAGACCTCAAAGCACAGGCAACAAAAGCCAAAATAAACAAATGAGATTTTATCAAACTAAGCTTCTGCACAACAAAGTAGTCAGTCAACAGAGTGAAAAGACAACCTACGGAATAGGAGAAAATATTTGCAAACTATTCATCTTAGGGACAGAGGCTTAATATCCAGAATATGTAAGGAACTCAAACATCTCAACAGCAAAAATCCCAAACAATTCGATTAAAAAATGGGCAAATGATCTGAACAAACATTTCTCAAAACACATACAAATGGCCAACAAATATATGAAAAAATGTTCAACATCACTAGTCATTGAGAAAACACAAAAACACAAATCAAAACCACAATAAGGTTTCATCTCATCCCATTAGGATGGCTATCCCCAAAAGACAAAAAAAAAAAAAAAAAAAAAAAAAAAAGCAAATGCTGGTGAGGATGTGGAGAAAAGGGAACTCTTATACACTGTTGGTGGGAATGTAAACTAGTATAGCCACTACGGGAAACATATGAAGGTTCCTCAAATAACTACAAATACAACTTCCATATGATCCAGCATCCCACTATTAGGCATTTATCCAAAGGAAAAGAAATTGGTATATCAAAGAGATACCTGCACCCCCATGGTTATTGCAGCACTATTCACAATAGCCAAGATATGGAACCAACCTAGATGTCCAACAATAGATAAAGGGATAAAGCAAATGTGGTATATATACATAATGGAATACTATTTGGCCATAATAAAGCATGAAATCCTGTCATTTGCAACAACATAGATGGAACTGGAGGACATTACGTGAAATAAGCCAGGAACAGAAAGTTAAACACTGCAAGTTCCTACTCATATGTGGAAGCCAAAAATAAAGTTGATCTCATAGAAGTAAAAGTAGAATAGAGAATACTAGAGGCTGAGTAGGGTAGGGAAAGGAGGGGAACAGGAAGAGATTTGTTAAAGGAGATAAAATTACAATTAGACAGGAGGAATAAATTCTAGTGTTCTACACCATTATAGGATGACCATAGCTAACAATAATATAGTTTCAAACAGCTAGAAGGAGAATATTGCATGTTCGCAACACAAAGAAATGATAAATGTTTGAGAGAACTGATATGCTAATTATCCTGATCTGATCACTATACACTGTCTGTATCACACCATCACTATGTACCCCATAAAATATGTGTAAATATTATGTGTTAATACAAAAAAAGACCAAAAAAACCAAATACAAGAAGTAAACAAAGTAAGCATTACCAATAGGTGAACAACCTGACATATGCCTCCTAAAATGATGCAATACAAAGTACCCTGTATCATGTAGGTTGTATTCTTGCCAAAATGTGAATCTAATTACAAGAAATAATCGGACAATCTAAAATGTAAGAAATCCTATAAGACAACTGGCTTTGAGTCTCCAAAAAAGTTGGTATCATGAAAAAGAATTTTCTACATTACAATGTTCTACTTTAAGACAGATCAAAGAGATGTAACAATCAAAAGCAATGTCTTTTGATTGAATAAACCTTGATTGAATCCTTGGTCCAGAAAATCAGCAAAAGCTCATAAATGGATTAAATGGTATTTCACTATTGTTTCTATGAACATTTCTTTTATTATTCTTATAGCTTCCTGTTTTCACACTCAGCTATTGGTATCCAGTTATAAGATATAAAGATCAAACGTTCTGATGACTATCGGCATGGTAACTAGGACAACATACAAGCATCTCTTGTTCCCCACACCACTTTGCCTTTTCTGATTTCTGTGACCACCACTACCCACCTACCCTGTTCAGAATTCTCTCAAGCTCGTAGACTGCTTGTAGGGCCCCGACTTCCAGAACCCTCAGCTGGCAGAGTAAGAGGTGAATCACGGCCCGGGGACAAGTCAGCATGTGGCAGTTTAAACAAGAGCCCCGAAGCAGCAGGTACAGCTTCTGAAGAGAGGGAATAAAAACAAACAGGATATTAGAAAGAGACACAGTAGCCATGGTGATTTTCGGTATACTCACAAGTTTCTTTATGTAGTCAGTCTATTCCTTTAAAAACTCTACTTCAGCCTACATGCTTAGAAAGGCCTTTGTTATCTTAAGAACCAGATAAATATTACCCTCTATTTTCTTTTAAGGTTTTATTTTAATCCATTTAGATTTGAAATTTACTTTGGGCGTACAACCTGAGGTAGAAAAATATCTTTATTTTATTCCAAGATTTAATTAAGAGACTTCTCAGCCAGGTGCGGTGGCTCATGCCCGTAATCCCAGCATTTTGGGAGGCCAAGGTGGGCAGATCACTTGAGGCCAGTTACTTGAGGCCAGGAGTTTGAGACCAGCCTGGCCAACATGATGAACCTGTCTCCCGTAATTTTTGTAAAAATACAAAAATTAGCTGGGCATGGTGGTGCGTGCCTGTAATCCCAGCTACTAGGGAGGCTGAGGCACAAGAATCACTTGAATCCAGGAGGCAGAGGTTACAGTGAGCCAAGATCGTGCCACTGCACTCCAGCCTGGGAGACGGAATGAGACACTGTCTTAAAAAAAAAAAAAAAAGACACTTCTCTTTAACACGATTAACAGACAAAAATCATGTCCATGTATACCAACATATGTGTAGCTTAAAAAAAAAAATCCTGGAGGTGAGGTTAGCTGAAATAAAAAGCTGAAAATGTACCAGCATGACTCTAAACAGGAGCTTCATTCTGACCTCACTGTTGGGCTTTCTGGGGCTTTGCTTCTCCTGCCACCACACAAGTGCCTATAGAGACACCTGAAGGGCTCAGGGAGACCCTGAGAACACTGAAGTTCTCTCTATTACCAGGCAGGTGCCACTGAGATTTCTGAAGAGCACAAAGCCCCTGCAACAAAAGGTGTAGGGAATGAATCTGAACTCTCCCCGACCCTCCACGCAAACGGAATCAGGCTGTGGCTCTATTCAACTGGAATCAAACTGATATTCATTTATTTAGGGCCACAGGGTAAGTTGAAGTTATTGTATTTGGCTCAAAACTTCAAAATCTCATTCTACAGAATGCTTTCATTGGAGTGCCTGGGGCTTAACCTCCTTAGACCACTCTTGTGGGAGAGAGGCAGCACTCACAAATCCCACCAGCAGCCCGGAGACCCACACAACTAAGGCAGCACTTACATCGAAGAGGAGAGGGTTATACACTGTGAGTGGGAGCTCAATGTGGCCCAGGTGCCCAGAACAGTTGCTGAAGTCCTGCACGCAGGTGGAGCACACCTCTTTGGAATCTGCAGGGCCCAAAGCTAAATCGTACAGGCCGTTTGCCGATGGGTTCCCCAGGCTGTCCAGGTATCGAGGGTTCGTAATGGATTTAACACTTAATTTCCTAAGGGGATAAAAAAGACCAAGAGGAAAGCTAAAGTTACCAACCTCTCTGATGTTTCCTTTCCAGCACAAACCTATAGTTAAGTGATTATTTAATGCCTGCTTGATAGCTCTGGAGGGCACAATCTGTCTTTCTCACTAGTGTACCCCAACACTAAGTGCAGAGTTGGTACCCAATAGTTAATAAATACATATGTGCTAAATGAATAAGTCATAAAATACATATGTGCTAAATGAATGAGTGGTAACTTCTTAAAAACAGATTTAGAACAAAACTTGCACTAAGTACACTGGTAAACTGTTCATAAAAAGGAGTTAAGCATCTACTATACACTGACTGCTTCACAGGCAGCATTATTCTGTCTTTTTTTTTTTTTTTTTAACAAGGTCTCACTCCTGTTGCCCAGGCTAGAGTGTAGTGGTGCAACCTCGACTCACTGCAGCCTCAAACTCCTGGGCTCCAGTGATCCTCCCACCTCAGCCTCCCGAGTAGCTGGGACCACAGATGTGTGTCAATATGCCCAAACAATTTTTCGATTAATATTTTTTTGTAGAGACAGGATTTAGCCATGTTACCCAGGCTGGTCTTGAACTCCTGAGCTCTAGAGATCCGCCTGCCTCAGCCTCCCAAAGTGCTGGGATTACAGGAGTAAGCCACCATGCCTGGCCGCATTATTTAGTCCTGATCTTAATCCTCTGAAATACTCATCACTACATGTACTTTTCAGAGGACGAAACCAAGGCTCAGGGAAGTTAGGTGATTGAATCCAGGTGACACAAATACAAACAGAATGTGGGGGAGGCAGGATATGGAATAGACTTAACTCCAAAGCCCACCCAGTTCAATGAAGGGAATGTGATGCAACAATCCCTGTATGCAGAAATAGTAAATTTGACAACATTAAACACATTTAGTCAAACCTTAAAAAAGGTTTCATCACATTTTATGTTTGGTTTGAAAGGTGCTCCCATAGGACACAACTATGTTTAGTAGGCTAACTTTGCTTTTACAATTTTCTCCTTTCTGATTTAGAAAATAAAGACAAAGAAACCATCCCAATCTGACAGCCTAGAGGAAATCCGAAGGCTGAAACGAGAGTCCCCTAATGATGTAAACACTCCCTTTAATAAAGCACAAAAATAGTGTCAAGTTTTCATGAGTGGTGACATGTTCTGAGTGTAAAACAATGTTAGTCTATCAGGAACTAAGCTGCTCAGCTCTAGAAGATTCTATGTTGCATGGCCAGTGTCACTCTAAGGGCCAAGGCGACAGGGAGGCAGATCTGCTGCTGTGGCTCTTGTCTATATGGTCACCTTGCTGCCAGTAAGCTAATTTCATGAGAAACTTGATCTAACTCAAAAGTTGTGCGTGTGGTCTCTTCCCACAAATCTAGAGTCCACCTGCAACCCTGAACTGGGTAACATTGAACAAATTACTTACCTTTTGTTCTTTAATCTTAATTTTTGAAACTGTAATAAAATATATATAAATTCATCATAACTGTTTCAATTAGTACAGTTCAGTGGTATTAAGTACATTTGCATTGTGCTACCATCACCACTCTCCATCTGCAGAACCCTTTTTCATCTTGTAAAATTGAAACCCTGTACCCATTATACAGTAATTCTTCATCTCCTCTGCTACCATCATTTTACTTTCTGTTTTGATTAATCTGACTACTCTAGGTACCTTATATTAAGTGGAATCACACCGTACTTGTCCTTTTGTGACTGGCTTATTTCACTTAGCACCGTGCCCTCAAGGTTCATCCATGTTATAGGATGTGTTGAACTTTTTTCCTTTTTTAGGGCTGAACAATATCCCATTGCATGTATATACCACATTTTATGTATCAACCCATCCATTGATAGACACTTGGGTAGTTTCCACTTTTTCACTATTGTGAATAATGCTGCTATGAACATAGGTATACAAATATCTCTTTGAGACCCTACTTTCAATTCCTTGGATACACATCCAGAAGTAGAATTGCTGGATCACATGGTAATTTTGTCTTTAGTTTTTTGAGAATCCACCCTACTGTTTTCCATAGTGGTTGCACCATTTTACATTCACACTAATGGTGTACAAAAAGCTTCCACTTTCTCCACACCCTTGCCAACACTTACTACTTTCTGTTTTTCTGATAGTAGCACCCTACTGGATTTGAGGAGCTTTTTATTTGCATTTCCCTAAAATTGGTGATGTTCAACATCTTTTCACATACTCACTGGCCATCTGTATGTCTTCTTTGGAAAAATGTCTGTTTAAGTCCTTTGTCCATTTTAAAATTGAATTTTGTGTTGTTGTTGAGTTGTAGGAGTTCTTTTTATGTTCTAGATATCAATCTCTCATCAGATATATAATTTACAAATATTTTCCCCCATTCCATGGGTTGCCCTTTCACTCTGCTGACTGTATCCTTTGATAACTACCTAATTTTTTTCTCACCTGAAGTCTGGGCATCACAGCAGCTCTATTGGGATGATTAGAAGATAACATACAGAAAATACAGTGTCAAACAAAGTTCCTCTCTCTTTGTAGAGGAGAAAGTCCCTCCCACCATTACAGGAGTGGGATGAAGAGTAGGGGCAACTAGCAAGGATTCCACCAGTCAGTAGAGTTTGAGATCAATAGACTTAGGTTTGAAGATGACCTTTGCCACTTCCTAGAGAGACATTTTGTTCTCTGGGCCTGAATTTTTTACTGGAGGTGCCACCACAAATGGTGTTGTTAAGAACTGAGAATGGGTGTCGTTAAGGACTGAAAGTGCCAAGCACTGAGCAGCTAGCTCCTCTATCCATCTATTCATACACTCAACAAATACCCAGAGTGCTCACTGTGTGCCAGACAGTGTTAAGTGCTAAGGAAACAGACAAGAACTGCTATGCTTACAGGCCTTACATTCTATTGGAGGAACGGGAACAGACACAAAATGTATAGTCTGTTAGACGGCAGAAAGGGCTATGACGAAAAATAATGCAGGGAAAGGGAAGAGCAGAGTAGGCAAGTGGTCCTAGAAGCCCACTAAGGAGGAACTTGGGCAAAGGCTGAAGGAGTTGAGGGAGCAGGCCATACAGTCACCTGGGCAGAGGGTTTTACAGGAGGAAGAAGCAGGGAGTGCAAAGGTCCTGAGGTGGATGTGTGCCCGTGGTGCTCTGGATGCAGCAAGGAGGTCAGGGTAGCCAGAATAGAGGTGAGATCAGAGAGGTAACAGGAGACTGAAATGACCCCTCCAGGCCATTTGTAAAGACTTGGTTTTTACTCTGAGTGAGATGGGAAGCTATTAGAACCTGGCACAATAAAAGGTGGCAGTATTATTGAAATGTCTCAACTCTAAACTTGTTTGAAAACTCCACAATTATCTTTTTAAAAATTCAGGCAACTTAAAACACTTCTGCTTTTGGATGAAATCGTATCCACTTATGGCAGTGATGATATAATTGGAATTTCTGGGCTAGCACACTGTTACCAATGATACCAGAGCTGTGGCTCAGGAGTTTATTCATCCATTTATTCAGACTTGAGGATAAAAGACAAGAGTGACACATATAAGAAGCTCAAGGATAGTGGAGGAAGACAAATATACATAAGCACAAAAAGTCACTAAAGCACCATGACAGACAACTGTATCATGTGCAAAATGACCTCACAAAACAAGGGAGGTGAACTGAGCTTTCAGGTGTGTATGTTGGGTAGGGGACAGAGGGAAGTACCTCCTTTTGGCTGAAAGGACACTGCATGCAGAGGGAATAGCTTAAAGAAAGGCCCAGATGTTGAAATATGATGGCGGTTTCTGGAATATGCAGGTGGTTTAATAGGGCTGAAGAAGGGATGATGTTATAGCTAAAATCAGCATTGGTCTGATCATGGGAGACTTTGCAGGCTATGCTAAGAAAATATACTTTATCTGAGGGAAATGGAGAACATTTGGAGGGTTTTAAGGGTGACAGTAGCATGACTACATTTGCACTTTGCAAGAATAATTTTGACAGCAGTGTGGAGCATGCACTTGAGAGGTGTAAGGGGAGGGTGGAAGGAAAAGACAATTCAAATATGAGATAAGGGCCAGAGGCAACACAGTAGCAATTGGGAGAAAAAGGAGACTAAGAACAAATAGACATGTAGGTGACACAAAGTAAGAGCCCAATAAATAAGTTATATGTCAGGAGAGATCTAGAATAATTTTCCAGTTTCTAGTGACTATTTTGCACTACGTACACCATTTTGGAGGGGTAAGTAACCCCTCCCTTTGAAGAGGGATGCCGTGTTGAGTTTTTTTTTTTTTTTTTTTGAGACA
Organism: Homo sapiens; assembly: GCF_000001405.40. Taxonomy (NCBI): domain Eukaryota; kingdom Metazoa; phylum Chordata; class Mammalia; order Primates; family Hominidae; genus Homo; species Homo sapiens. The sequence continues at coordinate 86,104,473 of NC_000002.12, forward strand.
GAGTATTGCTCTGTCGCCAGGCTGGAGTGCAGTGGCACAATCTCGGCTCACTGCAACCTCCGCCTCCTGGGTTCAAGCGATTCTCCTGCCTCAGCCTCCCGAGTAACTGGGACTACAGGTGCCCGCCACCACGCCCAGCTAATTTTTGTATTTTTAGTAGAGACGGGGTTTCACCATGTTGGCCAGGGATGGTCTCGATCTCCCGACCTCGTGATCCGCCGGCCTCGGCCTCCCAAAGTGCTGGGATTACAGGCGTGAGCCACCGTGCCCGGCCATGTTGAGTTTCTGATATGCATTTAGGCCATGTTGAGTTTTTGATATGCATTTAAGATCTCTGTGTGAAATTCAATTAAAGATGTACAGACAGCTGAACAAATGGGTCTGAAAATCAGGGAAATAAATTTGCGTTGGGGATTTAAATTTGAGACTATAAATCATGAAAGTGGTGAGATTGTCTAGGGACAATATTTACCATGAAGAAAACATTACTAGAATAGAATCTTGAAGAACATCAACATTTAAGGAGTAAAATGAGGTACAGACCTTGCTCACCAATGTGTCATTAACGCCTAGCTTGGTGCCTGGAAAAAACTGGATGCTCAATAAATGTTTGTGAGGTTATAGATCGATAGAGGAAGAGAGGGAGGTAGAAGTATTTGTCATAAAAATAGGAGAACTTGAAGACAAATAAGGTTCTGGAAGAAAGGAAAGTTTCAAGAGAGTGCATTGGAGAATGTCAAATGCTACCTTGATCAAAATGAAGACTAAAGAGAGTTCCCTTGATTTAACAACCAGACCGAGAATATAGCAGGGTCCTAGCAAAGAGAAGTTAACGCCTGAACTGACACTTGAAGGACAATCATTTTACAAACAAGAGGAAACTTACTACGTGCCTAATTAACCATGTCAGGTACACTATGGTTAATTCCACAAATGCTTGTTAGTTAACGAGGAGACTGGCAGATGATAACGCTGCAGACCAGGACCCTCCCCACCCTTATATTCCCCTACCTCAGCGCAAACTCTTTCCCCCAGCACCACCGGCCTCTTATCCAGGCAGTCCACGCCGGCCCAGGAACGTTCCCAGAACTACGGCTCCCAGCAGGACAAGCGCCAGACAAGCCTGGACTCAAGAGGATAGACTGGGCAAAAGCGCTTCTGGGAATCGTAGTTTAGGGCGCCGACCTCAAGATCCAGGCTGGGCACGCTACCCGACCAACTCCTTACTTGAGCTCTTCAGCCGAATACATCCCGAAGGAAATGCCCTGCAGCCGCCGCCAGGGCATGTTCTTGGAGATCAACATCCTCCAGGTCCGTTTTGAATTCCGACACCCCAAGAGACGTTCCACTCACCACCTGACTATTCTTAATTCAACCTCAAGCCCGGAGTCACCACGCGATTCAACGTGCGCTTGCGCGCGGAAGCGGTCGCAGGAACGACATTTACGTGGATGAGATCACTTCTACATGGGGGGGGAACAAATAGTTGTACGACTCTCTGCTCGCTCTTTTGTTTTGAAAACAATCAAAGATATATAAGACATCAAAATAATCATTTAGGAAAATTCCTCCGAGGCAAATCGGGTGTATAGAGCTTTTAGCTTCCGTGACGAAGTCTTTCAAACCATGAGCTTGCAACCTCCCATTTTATGATTGCTTTCGTCTTCTTCCGCTTCAGCCAATAGCGGAGCTGTTCCCTGCTCCCCGCCCACTGCGCCCCACCTTCCTGAAGGTCGAGGCACGCTTTCCCAACATGCTCTGCAGAGAAATCAAAGATGGCGGTTGTATCTGCTGTTCGCTGGCTGGGCCTCCGCAGCAGGCTTGGCCAGCCGCTGACGGGTCGGCGGGCGGGTTTGTGTGAACAGGCACGCAGCTGCAGGTAAGAGACGCTTAGGGTATCCGCGAAGAAGACCGCGGAGTCACCTTAGTCCTATGTTTCCCAGCTGGCTGTGGAAGTAGGCACGATGAAATGGTTTGCTCATGCGCGCCCTTAACGGTCGCGTGCCCTTAAGACCAGGTACGCGGAGGTGGCCCTTTGAAATAGGATTCGCAACGCATTTATTCATTAGAGAAATACTTATTGGTTGCTTGCAATATTCTGTAGTTAACACCATCCGCAAAGCTAGGACCCTGCTCTCATGAAGCTTGCGTTCCAGTGAGTGTGGCTATTAGCAACACTACCCCAAATTAAAAATTATCCGCCATTACTCATTTTAACCCAATCAGGAGGAGCGAGGAGAACGTACAAGATCTTCCCAAATAAAAGGCAGTCTCTGGTCGCCACCGTGGGGACTTTGGCTAAAGAAGTTATCAGGTTTTCGTAAAAGCAGAAAAGTCTAAAAGATCTGACTATGCCCTTTTGATCTGTGATAGTTATAGCTTGGAACATGTATGACCTATCTGTGTAATTTTTTTTTCACTCAGTACAAACAGTGGCATTGTGGGAATATGAGAGGCAGTAATTTGTAGTGAAAACTTGCTAAAAGCCTAATTTTAGGTTTAGTGTTTGCCATTCACTTAATTGGATGATAATAGACAGATTTCCTCATCTGCAGACTAGAGTTGGTAATAACCATCCGAAAAGTTTGTGAGGTATAAGTGGGGTATGTAATTTACAATATGTTTTTATATGTACTCTCCCTTAGTTCCCCTCAAGAAAGAGAAACCACTCCATCTGATACTGCAGAAACCTTTGTGCTGCCATTCAATGCCAGTCCTCCGTTTCCTGGTAGCCATCGTTAGCATTTTTCTACTCATTTTCTTTGCCTGAAGCAGAATCTCTTCCTCAGCATCCGTTCTCAAAATAACTGTGATCTCTGTTTTAAGGTCATGAGAAACAAATAGTGTGACTTGAAAGAGTTGATCTCAGAAACTTGAAAGAGTTGATCTCTTTCTGAAATGTCCTTAACGTAGAGGGGTATTCTTGTTTTAAATGATACCTGAAACCAGATACTACTGGAGGAAGTATCTGTCTGTGCAATCACATCTTGACAATTTTCTGAATGTTACTGATGCCATTTAGTAAGGGGAAACACAAGATAATACTAACCGTCACATTATCTGTGGTGTGTTGACTGTGTTTTTAGTGTGATCAGAACACTTAAACAGAACACTTAAAAACTCAGTCATGGGCCAATGATTCTATATTTTGGTTTAAAAAGGATTTCATATTGAACCTCTGAAAATAGAAAATATCAGCAATTCCAAGTCTAAATCAGGCCTTATGTATTTGGTACATTCTTGATTGTTGAAAGAAGTGGAATGAGAAGCCATGGGTCATCTTCCCTATGTTGTAATTGCTTTAAGTGAGGTAGTCCTTTCTGATCAGGGCAGTATCTGTATAGAAGCAAGAGCTCACTGAATTGTTCTTTTAAACATCATAGTGTTTTGGGTTCCTGAAGTTGAAAGTTCTTCATTTCAAACCAGATTGTTCAAGTGCTATTAAAAACTTTCCTCCCTCTCTGCCATTTATGTAATGAGATTGCTTGCTTCCAAAACTTTTGTCTAGCCGGGCATGGTGGCATATGCCTGTAGTCCTAGTTACTCAGGAGGCTGAAGCAGGAGGGTCACTTGAGCCCAGGAGTTCAAGGGTTCAGTGAGCTATAATTGCACTACTTCACTAAAGGCTAGGCAATGGAGCAAGACCCTGTCTCTAAAAAAAAAAAAAAAAAAGTTTTGACAGTCTTGTCCATATCTTGTATCCATTCCTTAATGATATTGAACATGTGTACAGACTGTCTTCTCAGCGTTCATTGACATGAGTTATCCAGTTTAATCCGTGATAATTGGAGAATTTGGGCTCAAAGTACACATAGGTGGAGGTGAGCTGGGTACTTCATTAATGACTATTAGATTTAAGGCTTTTGTTTTTTTGCAGATTTTATTCTGGTAGTGCAACCCTCTCAAAGGTTGAAGGAACTGATGTAACAGGTATATTTTAAAATATATTGAATTCTATTTTTATATCAACACGTTGGATTCCATTGTAGTACTAGGAAACTGATTCATGTTTTCTTTTTTACATTAGGGATTGAAGAAGTAGTAATTCCAAAAAAGAAAACTTGGTAAGTATTCTATCAGTGTTCATTCAGCAAATGGTTGAGTGCTTACTATGAGAGAAGTGTAAGGGTTAGGTAAGGAGACAGTGACAGGAAGAGCAATAGGAGAGCATTCTTGAAGAGAGTAGCTGAGCGGGGAGAAGCTAGGAGTTTAAAGGACAAAAAATGGAAAGGTGGAGAATAGTGAGTGAATGAGCAATGAGATTTACTTAAAAGAACAATTGAAAGAGATTTTGAATTAGTGTGGGTTACTATTTACGTGGTTAATAATACATGGTTATACATGAACATCATCATTAGAATAATTTTTTTCAAGGAAGTTCTCTCATATGATTCAAGAGCAGACAGTTACTGTCTTTATTATCTCTAATGAGGTAAAAATAAAGTAAATGGTGTGGACAGCAAAATTTAGCTTTTTTATTCACTGGATATATCCTTGAACAAATTGCCTCATCTCATTTATTCAACATTTGTTGAATATGCAGGAATTAAAACTTCACAAAAGTGCTTGTTACAGTGTAGTCCTATTGAACGCATTTAGTGGCCCCTCAAAAAGCTAGGTCTTAAAATTATGTGACCTAAAGACTCGGGTTCGCCAGGCGCGGTGGCTTACGCCTGTAATCCCAGCACTTTGGGAGGCCGAGGCGGGCGGATGATGAGGTCAGGAGATTGAGACCATCCTGGCTAACACGGTGAAACCCCGTCTCTACTAAAAATACAAAAAAATTAGCCGGATGTGGTGGGGGGTCGCCTGTAGTCCCAGCTACTCGGGAGGCTGAGGCAGGAGAATGGCGTGAACCCGGGAGACGGAGCTTGCAGTGAGCCGAGGTCGCGCCACTGCACTCCAGCCTGGGCGACAGAGCAAGACTCCATCTCAAAAAAAAAAAAAGACTTGGGTTCATTTAAAAAGACTTTTTTAAGAACTTTATTAATCTGAACTGTGTGATTATTTTAGGGAGGCCAGGGAGCCCAGTGATGTCAATGCATAGGTAACTGGGATCATAAAAGAAGTGCAAATTAAAACTTACCGTATTGGCAGAGAGAGGATTTGAAGAAATACGTTTGTTTATGGGACAGTAAATTGGAACAGCTCTTTGGAGGGAAATTTGGCAGAATCAGAATTGGAAATGTGCGTACCTTACTGGTTAGCCACTTTGGAGGAACATTTGCATATATACATGGACAAGACTGTTCTTTATTACTTGGGAATAGTAACAGGTTGAAACAGCCTGAATGCCCATTGAAAAGTGAATGGATAATTTTAAAAGGTTATCATACAATAACTTTTTACATTGAAAGGAATTAATTAGCTCTATATTTAATAACATGGATAGTGCAGCCAAACTTATGTAGACACATGCAGAATGACAGTGTGTATACGTTTTTTAGGGAGATGTTTATGTGTGAAAATACCTTTAAAAGTTCTGGAAATACAAATACCAAATTCATCGTGGAGAGGGGTCACAAGATGACACCAGACACTTTAGGTTAACGTGTAATGTTCTAGTTTATTTTTTTAAGATAATGTATGATACCTTTTAAAGTAACCCTTTAAAGAAAGAGAATTAGTGAGTAATCTGAATGTCATCATTTTTTCACTGCCATTTGTTCAATATGTTAGGAAAGTTTGCTAACTTGATAAGACTTAAATAGGGCAATAAAAGATCTGCTGAAGGAATGCTGACAGATGAGAGAATGTGTCGTTATCACACTTGCTGAAATTACATAAATGTGACTTCTAAACGTGGATAGAAAATTTAGTGGATATTATGTACATCAGGGAATTAGTTTTGATGAAATATAAAATTTCCTGTACTTTTGTTTTTCTCAGATGACTTATAGTCTTAAGAATGTTATGTTAAACTTTATTTAGAAAAATACTCTTGGTATAATTCCCTTTTGGAAAGGAAACACATTAAATCTAACATAGGAGCACAAATATATTTGAGATCAAATTATCTTGTCTGTCATTTATTCCAGTGAAGCCTTTTCTAATAGTTCAGTAAAGGTCTCTACTCAGAGGTGCAGTGGACAGCTGGCCTGCAATTCTTACCATAACGTTATATATGGTTGAGAGGTTCTAAACCAGGAGGTTGCATCAGAATTATCTGGGAATTCAGTAAGAGTGTGTGTGACAGTCCTCCATGGATCTTGGGAGGCTTTGATGCAATAGGTCCAGAGTGAAGCCTGTGGTTTATTCTCCTATAACTGAATCAAGAGCTACCAATTAGGATAGTAAAGGCAACAGTAGTCCCGAAAGCTGCAGTAAGAATCCATAGGAAAGTGGGTAGAGGAAGTAGGCCAGATAGTTTTATGAGGGCGGGATGGAAATCACTAGCCCTGGGTTATGGCATTATGCACCAGGCCAGAGAGGACAGGCAAAGAGAGGAACATGTACCAACTAGGGGAAAGAACCAGCAGTTTTCTTAATTTCTAATTTATTCTAGTGACCTTGTGACATAACCAGCTTCAGATGAGATCTGCACTATGTTATTGGCCAGTACACTGAGAGTAGAATCACTTGTTCGGTTTGTGGCTATGAAGAGCCCTGATGAGGATTAACTTGTGGTTCTTATTTTTAGGGATAAAGTAGCCGTTCTTCAGGCACTTGCATCCACAGTAAACAGGGTAAGTAGGATTTTGTGTTTTTTTTTAACCTAAAACTTGGCTAATAACACACTTTTTAACTCGGCTAATAACACATTTAATACTCATACCTCGTCATTACTCAGAATTAAACTGTTGTGCGTCTAGAAAGTTTCTTTAAAATTGTCTAGGCCGGGCGCGGTGGCTCACGCCTGTAATCCCAGCACTTTGGGAGGCCGAGGCAGGTGGATCACAAGGTCAGGAGATCGAGACCATCCTGGCTAACACAGTGAAACCCCGTCTCTACTGAAAATATAAAAAATTAGCCAGGCGTGGTGGCAGGCACCTGTAATCCCAGCTACTTGGGAGGCTGAGGCAGGAGAATGGCGTGAACCCAGGAGGCAGAGCTTGCAGTGAGGAGAGATCGCGCCACTGCACTCCAGCCTGGGCGAAAGAGCGAGACTCTGTCTCAAAAAAAAAAAAATTGTCTAATCCAGCTGAGCCAGGTGGCTCATGAATGTGATCCCAACACTTTTGGAGGCCAAAGTAGGAAGACCACTTGACATCAGGAGTTCAAAACCAGCTTGGGCAATGTAGCAAGACCCCCATCTGTTTTTTGTTTGTTTGTTTGTTTTGTTTTGTTTGAGACAGAGTTTTGCTCTTGTTGCCTTAGGCTGCAGTGCAATGGCGCGATCTCGGCTCACCGCAACCTCCACCTCCTGGGTTCAAGCAATTCTTCTGCCTCAGCCTCCTGAGTAGCTGGGATTACAGGCATGTGCCACCACGCCCAACTAATTTTGTATTTTAAGTAGAGACGGGGTTTCTCCATGTTGGTCAGGCTGGTCTCGAACTCCTGACCTCAGGTGATCCACTTGCCTTGGCCTCCCAAAGTGCTGGGATTACAGGTGTGAGCCACTGCGCCAAACTTTTTTTTTTTTTTTTTTTTAATTTATTTTTTGAGACGGAGTCTTGCTGTGTCGCCCAGGCTGAAGTGCAGTGGCACAGTCCCGGCTCACTGCAAGCTCTGCCTCCCAGGTTCATGCCATTCTCCTGTCTCAGCCTCCCGAGTAGCTGGGACTACAGGCGCCCGCCGCCACGCCTGGCTATTTTTTTGTATTTTTAGTAGAGACGGGGTTTCGCTGTGCTCACCAGGATGGTCTCCATCTCCTGACCTCCTGATCCACCCGCCTTGGCCTCCCAAAGTGCTGGGATTACAGATGTGAGCCACAGTGCCCGGCCTTTTTTTTTTTTTTTTAAGAATAAAATTATTGGCCAGGAGCAGTGGCTCACATCTGTAATCCCATCACTAATCCCATCACTTTGGGAGACCGAGGGAGGCTGATTGCTTGAGGTCAGGAGTTCGATACCAGCATGGTGAACATGGTGAAACCCTGTCTCTACCAAAACAACAAAAACAAAAATTACGAGGCATGGTGGCACCTGTAGTCCTACCTATTCAGGAGGCTGAGGCAAGAGAATCTCTTGAACCTGGGAGGCAGAAGTTGCAGTGAGCCAAGGTCCTGCCACTGCATTCCAGCCTGGGTGAGTTAGTGAGACTCTGTCTCAAAAAAAAAAAAAAAAAAAAAAATTTAAAATAAAATTATCAAATCCCTTTATTTGGCAAAGGAGGAAGCTAAGGTTTTGAAAGTGGCCAGTGGCTGGTTAGGATGTTAAAACCTTAATTAAAGGCTTAATTTCACGCCTTTTATCTCGAAATGCAGTGTTTTTCTACCATACCAGTGATCTTTAATCCCTGGAAGGGCTTGTTGAAATGTATGTTCTTAGGGGACGATTTGGCTGTAGTATACCAACTTGGAGAAATAATGTACCTGTCATGCTGACAATCATGTAATGATTAATAATCTGGGTCCTGGAGCCTACTGGTTTGTTTTAATAGCCAAGCAACTAGCTTTATGATCTTAGGGAAGTTACTTTACCTCTTGATACTTCTGTTTCCTGACTTATAAATTGGGGGTTAATTATAGCACCAAACCTCAAGGTTGCAGTGGAATTATTAACAAATGAATTAAGTATACGTAAGATTTAGGATAGAGTCTGGGACAAAGGAAATTCTTGGTACATTGTATTTTGTTACTGCTACTACTGTATTGTTGATTTCATTGACATGAAATTTTCTCTGTTGGCAACTCAAGAGTAGAGTTTGTAGTCTGGTAGATACACTGAAACTTTGGTAAATGCATCAGAAATGGAACTTTCTGCTTGGTTGTATTTTTTATTAACCAAAAACTTTTAATTTCGTCTGTGGGGAAAAGTCTAAAATAATTAAGTCTTTTTTTCTGCCACAGTATCTGTATGGATATTGATCCTCCTTAAGTCGATTATTACAAGTACGCAGAATTGTTCTTCTATTGTGGATATTAAACTACATCTAAAAATGGAACTACTAGGCTGGACATAGTGGCTCATGCCTGTAATCCCAGCAGTTTGGGAGGTCAAGGCGGGTGGATCCTGTGAGCTCGGGACTTTGAGATCAGTCTGGGCAACATGGTGAAACCCTGTCTCTACAAAAAAACACAAAAATTAGCTGAGCGTGGTAGTATGCGCCTGTAGTCCCAGCTACTTGGGAGGCTGAGGTGAGGCTCACTTGATCCTGGGAGGTGGAGGTGGAGGTTGCGGTGAGCCAGGATCGCACCACTGTACTCCACAGAGTGAGACCCTGTCCCCCCCGCCACACACAAAAAAATTAAATATAAAATAAAGATGGAGCTACTAAAGATAGTGTTGGGTCTAATGTGCACTGGTGTACTCTACCAGTTTCTGAAAAAGGACTTTACTACATCTCCCTACTTGCAAAGCATTGAGATTTTCAGTAGCTCACTTATCCATAAATAGGCACCTGAAATGTAAACATAGAAATGGACCTCCGAGATATTCTCAACATTTCAATGAGAATGGCCCAGGGCCACTTTCAAATCAAAGAAGTTATAGAATTGTGTGTAGAATTGTGACTTATCTGGCCCTTAAAATCCAAGAGTTATTCGTTTATCCATTCATTCAGCAACAATATTTTGTGCCCTTATGATGCTTATCAAGCACTGTGCTGGATATAGAATTAGACACAGATATTGTGTAGTTCTAGAGGGGAAGACTGAGGTAGCACTGAGAAGGGGTTGTATCGCCAAGACTGAGAAAGGAATTCTTTTTTTTCTTTCTTTTTTTTTTTTTAAAGAGACGGAGTCTCCCTCTGTCACCCAGGCTGGAGTGCAGTGGCGCAATCTCAGCTCACTGCAAGCTCTGCCTCCTGGGCTCACGCCATTCTCCTGCCTCAGCCTCCTGAGTAGCTGGGACTACAGGCGCCCCCACCCCCACGCCCGGCTAATTTTTGTATTTTTAGTAGAGACGGAGTTTCACTGTGTTAGCCAGGATGGGGGTAAAGGAATTCTAAGCAGACATTTTAGAAAAGAGAGCTATGTGGAGAATGGGAAAGCTTTCCACTTGAGAGTGTGATAAAGAGCTTAGCATATCCAAAACCAAACCCCATTCCCTCCAAACATTCCTCACATATTTCTTTGCCATCTCATTAATGGCAACTCCATTCTTATAGCTGCTCAGGCCAAAATCCTGGGAATTGTTAGCAAAGCCTTTGTTTATCCCTTCAAAAGATACGTGTGTGTGAGGTCTCCGTGACCACTCCCAGGCTAAGAGTTATGACAGCAAGAAGATACAAAGCAAAGTCAGCAAAGAGAAAAGGCTCATTGGATAAAGACCAAAAGAAATCAGTCACAAGCTTCCAAAAGACCTCTCCAGAAGATTCAACACAGGACATGCTTAATTCCTCCATCAGTGACTTGTGACAACACATGCAAAGTGTCTACCAAAGCTCATTAGAGACCCAGTGCCCAGAGTTTTTAGGGGAGGCTGGCCATGTAGACCACCCACTGGCTGGCATATATTATACCAAGTTTCCATACTCCCAGAAGGGAAGCAGGTGTTTGGCACAAAACACGTTGTACAAACAGGTTAGGCACAGTGAACCATTCTTAGCAGTTCTAGGAATGGTGAGAACCCTTCCAATATCCAGGTTCCCAGATGGCAGCCAAGGGCCAGCCTTGGACGCAGACCTTCCTAAGGATAATGGTTTCAGGTCTGTTAACTCTTTTCTGCAAAATATCAAAATTTTAGATGCCTGATATCACTACCAGTCACCTTGGTTATTGTCGTCTTACAAGTCTGGATTAATTGCAGCAGTCTCTGTCGTCTCCCACTGCACCTCCCTGCACACTGCTCTCAGTTCAGCAGCTGTAGTGACCCTGGATCATATCACTCTTAAGAATTCAACATTGGCTTTCCATTAGTATAATTCAAATAAAAACTGAAGTTCACAACAGGGCTGCTAAGGTGAGGCTCAAGGGAAAGGGGTTTTTGAAAGGGGTAGCAGAAAGCTAGGTCCAAAATAAAACACTGCCTCCAGGTTCCAGGTATGAGCAGCTTTCCGTTGAGAGCTGCAGGGAAGCTTCTGTGCCCCCTCCCTGAGGAGTCCAGGTCAGTAAAACAGCATTAAGGATATAGGATAAGTTTTTGCTTTGGAATAAAGGCCCAAGTAAGGCACTCAGACACAGAAGAGAATAAAGAAAGCAATTCTGGGGCATTTCTCAGTGGGGCCCCTGGTGGTATTGGAGAGTTGATTATGCTCAGGTTTAGGGAGCAATTTTAATGGGTAACAGGACGTGGGAGAAGGTTCTGTTGTTCATTCCTCAGAGGGCACGGTGATATCTTCCATTTGGAGGAGGGACTCTTGGTGAAGTTGAGCGTGGGTGGATAGTGACCTTGCTTTGGAGGAAATCCTATTCTGGGATTCTGCTGTTAGGACTAGTTAATTCAGATGATTCTTACCTAGAGTTTAAAACAGTCCCCAGTGGTAGCAAACTTAAATATTAAAATCAGCCATGGGGAGGGAGGCTTAAGCCATTGCTTGCCTTGCATAATTAAAGGCAAGTCTTGTAGAGCTGAGAGTACAGTGCAGGTGTTTGTCTTTTGTCTTTTTTCTCTATATATACATGTATATATGCCCACACACGTTTGCGCATTTAGGTTACATACATAATTACAACTTACGGAATTTTTGTTTATCAAAACTCACAAGGTCCTCTTAAAAATTTAGCTAGAAAGACTTGTGGGCTGGATACAGTGGCTCACGTCTATAATCCTAGCCCTTTGTAAGGCAGAAGTGAGAGAACTGCTTGAGGCCAGGAGTTTGAGACCAGCTTGGGTGACACAGCAAGACACCCTCTCTGCAAAAAATTTTGTGAAATGGCCAGCTGTGGTGGCACACACCTGTAGCCTAGGCTACTTGGGAGGCTGAGGCAGGAGAATCCCTTGAGTCCAGGAGCTAAAAGTTACAGTGAGCTGTCTTCAAAATAAATATAGAAATTGTATTATGTCTTTTCCACAGGATACCACAGCTGTGCCTTATGTGTTTCAAGATGATCCTTACCTTATGCCAGCATCATCTTTGGAATCTGTGAGTATTTTCATATAATTTTCTAGTGTTTTATCTCTCTGGTTTGCGTACAACAGTACATAAATAATTTAGTTGTAATAACCTGGGAAAGGTTTACAAATGCTGAGAAATTGATAGACTATGTGAATCCTTTACTACTTTCTTCAAAAAGATGTACATATCGTCAATGGGGAAAGGATTTTTGGTTTTGGTTTCTAATACTTAGGGCTTTTTCACACTGGAGTGACCCACTCAGTTTAAATGGCTTGCTTTTTATATATTTCAAGCTGTGTATAAGATGCTAACTGAAATTATATCACAGTAGAAAAGGTGGGATAGTCTATAATTTCTAATTGGGATTCTGCGTGTTGTTGCATTTGTTTTTTTTTGTGAGGGGGGAGAAATTCTTGCTGAGAGTGTAACTATAATCTTGCTTGAGTTTAAATTACATGTATTTAAATCTTTTTCTTTATATAGCGTTCATTTTTACTGGCAAAGAAATCCGGGGAGAATGTGGCCAAGTTTATTATTAATTCATACCCCAAATATTTTCAGAAGGACATAGCTGAACCTCATATACCGGTAAGGAGAGGTAGTTACATTATTTACATAATACTATTTTAAATGTAAATTAAACCAGGCTTTCATGGCTAATATTTCAGTAGCTATTTGAATACCCTCAATATTTGGATGATAAGCCTTTTAAAGTGTGGAGTTAGCTTTGATCACAAGACTAACTTTAAAATTCTTTCTGTATTTATTTGCTCTTCATCTTAATATTTTCCCCATTTGATTTTTGTGACACCATGCTCTTAGGTCTTTAATTCTATGACTGAAGTTTCCTTCACTACCTCTCTATACACATCTTTCTCTTCCTTTTTTTTTTTTTTGAAACGGCATCATGCTGTCACCCAGGCTGGAGTGCAATGGTACAATCATAGCTCATTGCAGCCTGGAACCCCTGGGCTCAAGTGATCCTCTTGCCTCAGCCTCACAAGTAGCTTGGACTACAGGGGTGTGCCACCATGCCTGGCTGATTTTTTTTAATTTTTAGTTTTTGTAGAGAACAGGGTCTTGTCTCACTGCACTGCCCAGGCTGGTCTCAAATTTCTGGGCTCAAGCAAACACCCTTCTCAGCCTCTGCAATCTCTGGGATTGCAGGTGTAAGCCACTGCTGCTTGCTCTTGATCCGCTTCTTTTTTTGTTTGTTTTTGTTTGAGATGGAGTCTCACTCTGTTGCCCAGGCTGGAGTGCAGTGGCACGATCTTGGCTCACTGCAGCCTCTGCCGCCCGGGTTCAAGCAATTCTCCTGCCTCAGCCTCCTGAGCAGCTGGGATTACAGGTGCCTGCCACCGCACCTGGCTAATTTTTATAGTTTTAGTAGAGACGGGGTTTTACCATCTTGGCCAGGCTGGTCTTGAACTCCTGACCTCGTGATCCACCCGACTTGGCCTCCCAAAGTCCTGGGATTACAGGTGTGAGCCACCGTGTCCGGCCTTGATCCACTTCTTAAGCATGGGTATCTTTCTTAGATTTTTATGCTCATTTTCTCTTTTTATTGTGTATACTCTTCTGTTTCAGTGACGCTTATAATCCATTTGGTACTCTTTTGTATATCTAGCCTAGATCCCTTTACTTTGAACTCCACATTGTATTTCCAGCTCCCTCTTTGTTCTGTAGTTTTGGAGTGAGGATTTATGCAGTGTGGTGGGTATTGTGCTTAGTGCTTGTCCATACAGTGGTGAGCAAAACAGATGCGCCTCTGCCCTCCTGAGTTTGTTGGTGGAAGTACTAATCTCAGACTCATCATATCTAAACTGCTCCCATATCCCTACATCTCTCTGCTTCCCAAAGCTCACAGGGAAACACACACTTCTTGTTTTCATAGTAGAACTTGCACATAGATGAGGAAGCCAGTGTGATTGTGTAAGTCAAAATATTAAAATCCTAAACTAAGACAGTGTCTTTCTCCATTAGATTGTGAGCACCCTGAAGGTAGAGAATGCCTTTCGTCTCTGTATCCCCAGTGCCAAGCTTAATGTCTGGGGTAAAATAGTAGGCATTCAGAAAGTATTTGAATAAGTTAGTGAATGAGGTAAAATCAGCATACCTTGGGTAGTATTAAATGTTTAGATGATACACAGCATTAGAGATGAAAGGTTTAGTTCAATTCCCTGTGAAGACAGTGATGTTAAAATGATCAGTAGTATCTGGTGCAGGAAACATGAATTGGAGCAGTGAAGTTTTACTTTGGTATGTTGGTGATAAAAGTTTTGTCCTACTCAGTTATCCTTCCCTCACCTTTACCTGTTTGTAGTAACTTTAGTCATCTTGTTTTCCTAGTGTTTAATGCCTGAGTACTTTGAACCTCAGATCAAAGACATAAGTGAAGCCGCCCTGAAGGAACGAATTGAGCTCAGAAAAGTCAAAGCCTCTGTGGACATGTTTGATCAGCTTTTGCAAGCAGGTGACTGAGTTCGATTAAAGCCCCTCTAATAACATGGGCTTTGAAGTGGGCCCAAGTTATATGATTCATATATTTTGAGTAAGAGTTACAGGTCCTGCTGTACTTACTCTGCTTTGATGGCTGCGTGCTTTATATTTTTAGTAGTTTATTTCATTTTTAGCTTTAGTGTTACTTAAGAATTACAGGCGAAGTAGAATTGCAGCTTTGTTGGTTTATTGTAGCACTGGTAGAGAAATTGTATCACCCTTCTACCTTAGCTTCTGTTTTTAATGTTAGGTAGGTATGCAGTGCTCCCAGATTTCCTGTACCCTTTTCCTTTTTTTTTTTTTTGAGATGGAGTCTTGCTCTGTCGCCCAGGCTGGAGTGCAGTGGCGCAATCTCGGCTGACTGCAAGCTCCGCCTCCCAGGTTCATGCCATTCTCCCTCCTCAGCCTCCTGAGTAGCTGGGACTACATGCACCCACCACCACGCCCAGCTAACTTTTTTGTGTTTTTAATAGAGGCGGGGTTTCACCATGTAGCCAGGATGGTCTCGATCTCCTGACCTCGTGATCCACCCACCTCGGCCTCCGTAAGTACTGTGATTACAGGCGTGAGCCACCGCGCCCAGCTTTCCTAGACTCTTTAAGGATGTTTGGAAGATTGGGCCACAACACACAAGAAAGAAATACGTGAAAAGGAAAGCACACTCAACTAGGATCAGGGGCTTTGATGCTGGTGCCATCTGTGTCACTAATTGTTCTTAGCATTCAAAAAGTTACTTAATTTCTCAAAACTTCTAGCTCTAAAATTGTGTGGTTCTCTGAATTGGAGCTGGATGTAAACTTGCGGAGCTACACACGTAAATAGCACAGCTGATAAGTCAACATGAAAATCTACATATAGCAACATCAGAAGCAGCTGGCATTAAGTTTTTAGAATCTAGAGTGCTATTTGGTGATTTAGAATAAACATGGAAGTGGTGGAAACTGGACTGAATCATTATACACTTGAACACAAGAAACATTTGCAGAAAGCTATGTTTGAGAATTTTGGTGTGTGGCTTGGTACAGCATCAGATGTATGGCTGAGTGATGGCAATAGATTGTAATTTAGTGAGGCGCTTCCCTCTGCTTGTTAATATGATCGGCATCTGGTGTGAGTCTGCATTGAAGTTCTTAGTGCTAAGGCTTGTCTTTTTCTAGTTTTACCCCCTTTATTGGATAGGTGTGTGCAGTCCTTCAGTAAAGACAGGTGTCAGACCCATAGCTCAGTAACAAAGTGAGCTAACATACCAGGGAAAGGATCCTAGAACATTTCATTGTCAGGCCCCTAATAAGTGCAAAACACTGTGCTAGCCATTTCACATACTTAATTCTACAATACCTTATTCATTGGTGTGTTTTATAATAATCTTATGAAGGTAATTATTAGGTAATTTTTCCAGGGTCTCATAGCTTTGAGATAGTGTGAACCAGTTGCTTCTCCATAGCCTGTACCCTCTGCCCTGCTTTCTCTTCTGGACTTTTTACATTTCCTGATGGGCATTTTAAATTTATCAATGTATTTTGTTTAGAAAGATAATTTATTGGCTAGGCATGGTGGCTCACACCTGTAATCCCAGCACTTTGGGAGGCCAAAACAGGAGGATTGCTTGAGCCCAGGAGTTCAAGACCAGCCTGGGCAACATAGCGAGACCTCATCTCTACAAAAAATTTAAAAATTAGCCAGGTGCAGTGGCACATACCTGTAGTCACAGCTGCTCGGAAGGCTGAGGTGAGAGGATCACTTGAGCCCAGAAGTTCAAGGTTGTAGTAAGCTGTGATGTCCTTGCACTCCAGCCTGGGCGACAGAATGAGACCCTATCTCAAAACAAAAAGATACATTTACTTTTCTTATAAGATAGCAGATTATATCTCATACTTGTCTTCCTCCTATTCCCTTTTTAGCCTTTTTAATGAGTGTCAAGATGGGGACATAATGTTTTGAACAATTTTTAAGAGACTACTATAGTTCGACAATTATGCTAGTATTTCTAGGCAAGTTTTCAGTGAGTATCTGGATCCAAATGGAATAATTCTACTTGCATTTGTTCAAATGCACCTGGGCTGGGGGAACTAAGTGGGGATAGTTTGCAGTGTGTTCAGTTTGGTGATGATAATTAAAACCATGAAGTAGTTTGAGGATAATGAGTACATAAAATAAGTGAGCACAGGCCCAAACTTCATCTTGTGTTCCAATCTTCTACGTCAAATTACATGGTTAATAGGGGTTATGTCCCTGTCTACGTCACTTCAGGTGTTTAAGTTGACGTTGAGTGCATAAAGTAGTGGACAACATTAAGTGTGTAGCCCTGAAGACCACCGCTAATATAAAAAAATGACACATTTTAACCTAACAGGCTTTAGTTCTTCATTGTTTCAAGGTTTCTTTATCTTTCTGTCTCTTACCCACAGGAACCACTGTGTCTCTTGAAACAACAAATAGTCTCTTGGATTTATTGTGTTACTATGGTGACCAGGAGCCCTCAACTGATTACCATTTTCAACAAACTGGACAGTCAGAAGCATTGGTAATAACTGTTGGCCTTGATTTTTTTTTTTCCTTAAGCTTCTTTTTGAAGAAATTGCTTTTAAAAATAAGATGGGTTGTTTTGCCATGTGTCAGGGTAGTAGAGATTTGTACTGAGATGTGTGGTACGATAGCCTTGATAAAAAGTGGTATAGGAGGAAGAGAGATTTTAAACAGTTACTTCTGTCCTAGTTTACTTTTTAACAATATGTTGTCCTCACCTACTTCATATTAAGGCAAAGCGTTGATCAGAAATGTTTGGGCTGGCCTGTGCCACTTAGAGTAATGACATGATGTATTCTGGCCAGGGAAAGACTCCGTGGCCTGGGCCCCCTCAAAAATTCATACGTGGACTTAGAGGAGAGAACACACTAGGCTGGAGACAGAACAGTAGTGTGCCGGGGCCCGCCTGTAAGTTGAGTCATAGCCTCTCTCTCGACTCGCGAATTTTACTTCTAGAACTAGGTCTCAAGAAATCCTTTGGATCAGTCAAATAGAGATGCTCATGTGACATTTTTCATGAGGAGGTATTTATACTTGCAAAAATGTTGAAAACAATCTAGATGTCCAACAGTAGATGATCAAATGATGATAAAAGTTGTGTGGCCATTGAGCACATTAGAGTAGATGTGTTTGGGTATGGAAACATTCATCCAATAAGTGGGAAGCAGGCTATCAGCAGTATATATTCCATTTTTGTAAAAATGTTTTTACAAATGCATACAAAAAAATCATTTAAAAAGTGTTTCTGGGTGATGGGATTATTGGTGTTTTTCTTCGTTTCTATCTTTTCTACTCTTTGCCCAACTAAATGTGGATTTCTTGTTTCCCCCTCAGAGACAGGGTCTCACTCTGTCACCTAGGGTGGAGTGCAGTGATGCTATCATAGCTTACTGCAGCCTTTAACTCCTGAGCTCAAGTGTTCCTCCTTCCTCATTCTCCCAAATAGCTGGGACCACAAGTGTGGGCCACCATGTCTGGCTAGTTTTTTTTGGGGTGGGGAGGGCGGGTAGACATAGGGTCTTGCTGTAGTGCCCAGGATGGTGTCTTCAACTCTGGGGCTCAGGTGATCCTTCAGTCTCCTAAAGTTTTGGGATTACTGACCACTGCACCTGGCCAAATGTGGATTATTTATGTAGAGAACTTTACATTTTTAAAAGTGCATAGGCAGTAGGTTGCAGTTAAACCTTGCTTTCCAGAGTATCACTTCCTGAAGCCCTGCTCTGGTTGGCCCTCTGCCTCTCCAGCCCCAGCTCTTGAGGCAGCAGGCTACAGAGCCAACACTGACCTCTGCAATGCCAACCAAGCCTGTATTGCTCTACGTCAGCCTCATCCCAGACCTTGGTTTATAAATAAAGACAAGATTTATTCTTGTAAGAAGTCTTGCCAGGTGCAGTGGCTCATACTTGTAATCCCAGCACTTTGGGAGGCCGAGGCGGGTGGATCATGAGGTCAGGAGATCGAGACCATCCTGGCTAACATGGTGAAATCCCGTCCCTACTAAAAAAAATACAAAAAATTAGCTGGGCGTGGTGGCACGCGCCTGTAGTCCCAGCTACTCCGGAGGCTGAGGCAGGAGAATTCCTTGAACCCAGGAGGTGGAGGTTGCAGTGAGCCAAGACCACGCCACTGCATTCCAACCTGGGCGAGAGAGCGAGACTCTGTCTTAAAAAAAAAAAAAAAAAGAAGTCTTAGTTTGCTTGGGTGAGTGTTAGGCATTAACTATATGTTGTTTATCTTGCTTT
The DNA here is from genome assembly GCF_000001405.40 of Homo sapiens. Lineage (NCBI taxonomy): Eukaryota > Metazoa > Chordata > Mammalia > Primates > Hominidae > Homo > Homo sapiens. The sequence goes on from NC_000002.12 coordinate 86,123,339, forward strand.
CACCCTAATTATGACAGTTTATCTGTATGGATCAAGCCAGATGTAGTCTCTGAGCAAATAGGCTGTGTTGTTTGGTTTTCCTCTTTCTGTCTGAGGACCAGGCCATACAGGGAACTGGCTTCATCTTGTCTCCACGCTGTCACTTGTTGCTTTGAGAGTCAACTTGGCCTTTCATCTGATTTGCACTTAAGAAATTAACTGTATAGGTGTAAGCGTAACTGGGCTTCCTCTTTGCCTTCTGCTGGATCTATGTTTCCTTTATTTTTCTGAGTTCCCTTTGCCTTTCTGATTTTGAGTAGTCTGACTGGGAAATGCATTCCATTGCCTTAACTTTTATTTCTTTTGATGATTATTCATTTCAGGAAGAGGAAAATGATGAGACATCTAGGAGGAAAGCTGGTCATCAGTTTGGAGTTACATGGCGGTATGTCACACGTAATTAGAACCTTGAATTACAGTGTCTTACAGTGCATGGAATATGCCCCATCACCCTGTGAAGATGTTTTCTTGTGATGTTCTAAAATAATTGATTTTTATTGTGCAATATAAATTTCACTATTTGTATTCATACACATTTAGACCGTTTTTCAATAAGGTCTTTATCTCCATTCAACAACACAAGAATCTGTTGAGACTTTGACCCTTTTTTTTCCCTCATCTGTTTAACTCAGCATAACTTTCATATGGTATGGTTCCTTTGGTAGTTTCATTAACAGTGCTACCTTGGAATATATACCTCTAATTCTGAAAGATTTAATACTTTTGTTTACTAAAAATATCATGGACACTAGAGTGTACTGCTAAATTAAGACCACTGACAACATGTAGACATACACAGCAGTTTGAATGAAAGGTAATAACTTAATTATATTGGAGAATTAGCTGGGTGTCTAAAAGGAAGACACTTCATGTGAATGTCTGGAGAGGGAAAGCTACCATGATTATCTAAAATTGTTATTGAAGTGATGAATTTGATAGGATGAAAGATTAAATTCCTTGGGGTAGGCTGGACGCAGTGCCTCACACCTGTAATCCTGGTGCCGTGGGAGGCCGAGGCAGGTGGATCACTTGAGGTCAGGGGTTTGAGACCAGCCTGGCCAACATGGTGAAACCTCATCTCTACTAAAAATACAACAATTAGCTAGGCGTGGTGGCACGTGCCTGTAATTCCAGCTACTCGAGAGGTGGAGGCAGGAGAATCACTTAAACCCAGGAGGTGGAGGTTATGGAATGAGAGAAGAGTTAAAAGTACATATGCTAGAATATGACCAGAAGGATCCAAAAGAAACCGTTTTGCCTCTGGGAAGTAGTATCTGAAGATTGAAGAAAGGTGAGGAAACTTTACTAGGGACTTTGTCATACAGTTGCTTCTTGTTTTTAATAGCACAGATATTTATATACTTGTTTATAAACTTTTCATTTTCAATTGTAATTCTGCCACTTAACCTGCGAAGCCCTGACAACACATTAAGATCGTTAAGTCTTGATTTTCCCCATTTTCAAAATGATAATAACCATAATACCCTGTAAGAATTGAGATAATGTATAGAAAGTACTTGGCACATTGCCTAGAACATAATAAACCGTCAGTAAATGGTGGTAGCTCTCATTGGTATTTCTTATTGCCTGGGTTCACATTTACTCTCTTGTGTCTAGAGCAAAAAACAACGCTGAGAGAATCTTTTCTCTAATGCCAGAGAAAAATGAACATTCCTATTGCACAATGATCCGAGGAATGGTGAAGGTACATTTGTTTTATTTATTTTTGTCTTTCATTTCCACCGATCAGGGTGTTTCAGCCTCAGAACTACTAACATTTTGGGTCAGGTAATTTGTTGTGGGGTCTGTCCTGTGCATTGTAGGATGTTAGTAGCTCCCTGGCTTCTACCCACTGGATGTGAGTAGTGTACTCCTCCCCCACTTTCAGTTGTGACAAATAAAAATATGTTTAGGCATTACCAGTGGATAGAAAATCCCACTGCACTAGAGTATGAGCTTCATGAGAACAGGAGCCTGATCTATTGAGCCTGAGCTATATTACCAAACTCTAGGACAGAAATGTGCAAGGACTTCTTAAGTAAATGAATTTGATGATGCTTAATTTTTCCTTTTCCAGCACCGAGCTTATGAGCAGGCATTAAACTTGTACACTGAGTTACTAAACAACAGACTCCATGGTGAGTTTGAGAACTCCCCTCTGTCCCTTTCTCCATTTCCTTCTTTTAATTGTCTGTGTGAAGGCTTTGGATCGTGCCTCAGTCATTGGCCTACACTTTACCTTTTCCTGAGGCGTAGATGATTGAAGCAAGAGTAGAGATCCAGAGAGGAGAGTAGTTTTCCAGTTTTGTGGACATGTGATTAGTCAAGGGACACATAGGAATGACTGCTTTGCCTTAAACTCAGCCATTTAGGGATTAATCTTCAACCCCAAATTTTATCATTTTATTATTTTACAGCTGATGTATACACATTTAATGCATTGATTGAAGCAACAGTATGTGCGATAAATGAGAAATTTGAGGAAAAATGGAGTAAAATACTGGTAAGGAGGAATCCTCAGTTTATTTTTTAATAGGGCTTAAATACTCTTTACCAGAAATACATGGGCTGGCCAGGTGTGGTGGCTCAAACCTGTAATACCAGCACTTTGGGAGGCCGAGGCGGGCAGATCACCTGAGGCCAGGAGTTGGAGACCAGCCTGGCCAACATGGTGAAACCCGTCTCTACTAAAAGTACAAACAATTAGCTGGGCGTGGTGGTGCACGCCTGTAATCCCAGCTACTTGGGAAGCTGAGGCAAGAGAATCTATTGAACCCGGGAGGCGGAGGTTGCTGTGAGCAGAGATCGCACCACTGCACTCCAGCCTGGGCAACAGAGCAAGACTCCGTCTCAAAAAAAAAAAAAAGAAAAAGAAACAGAAGTACATGGGCTGGAGACAGCATTTATGAGCATGTGTATGGCAGTCACTGTGTAGCAGTTACCTGTTCACTACCCTTTCCGCAGCCCTGGGACTCAGCTGTGTCTGGCACATAAGAAGAAAAAGTTGCTTGACCGAGAGTATAGAGCTAGAATTCTGGACCATTTTATTCATTTATTTTTCATAATAGTTTTTCTGTTACAAAGTAATGCATATTTGCTGTCAAATCCTATCAGGTGTAATTTCAAAAAGTTGAAATCACTGGATTGATTCTCGCCTAGTAACTTAAGAATAGAAACGGCTGGGCACGGTGGCTCATGCCTATAATCCCAGCACTTTGAGGCTGAGGCGGGTGGATTACCTTAGGTCAGGAGTTTGTGACCAGCCTGACTAACATGGTGAAACCCCGTCTCTACTACAAAAATACAAAAATTAGCCGGGCATAGTGGTGCTCGCCTGTAGTCGCAGCTACTCAGGAGGCTGAGGCAGGAGAATCACCTCAGCCCACGAGGCAGAGGTTGCAGTGAGCCAAGATCGCACCACTGCACTCCAGCCTGGGCAAGAAGAGCGAAACTTTGTCTCAAAAAAAAAAAAAAACCAACCACTTTTTTATATCATACTAGTCTATTATTTTTGCGTCTTTTCTTGGAAAACTCTCCTAGGTAGAAGACTGAAGACAGTTGACCACCTCTATCAAGTGGGGTGGGTGTTTGAATTAGCAGGCTTCTTTAAAAGGCAGAATCATGGAACCTGCTAATTAATAAACAGTTCTTAAAAGAGGGATATAGTTACTAACCTGCTTTAAACATAAGCAAGAAAGCTAAATTCTTTACTTTGTATGAAACATAGATTATTGGACAGATTACCCAGGCATGAAAGATACTTCTTGTTTTTTATTCACCTAGGAGCTGCTAAGACACATGGTTGCACAGAAGGTGAAACCAAATCTTCAGACTTTTAATACCATTCTGAAATGTCTCCGAAGATTTCATGTGTTTGCAAGATCGCCAGCCTTACAGGTTTTACGTGAAATGAAAGCCATTGGAATAGGTGAGGATGCGCCCTTGAGTTCTCTGAGGACAGAGACTGTGCCAGCCAGAGGTTTCAGGGCTACATAAGCAAAGAGCTTTAAATTATTCTTGTGCTTACATAATATGTTGGAAATTTTCTTTCCATGTTTGGCACATTTACTTACATGTACTTATTATAGTGGGAGTGCCTTTATCATCTTAGTGTTCATTAGTATTTTAGGTACTTTGTTTATGGATCTGTTGAATCTGAGGAGAAGTGATTGCTTTGAGTTAGCTAGTTTTAAATTCATGACATTTTCCCAACATAATTAGGTATTTGAACCTAAGTGTGTGCTAGTGTATTGTATATTTTTCATTAATTACTTTATTGAAAGTTGCTTTGGGAATCAATTCACTTCAATATATTTTACTGTTCTCAGTGAAGAATGTGACTAATAAGTATTTGGACTTTCAAAAAGTGATACAGTCTTTGTGATAGTTTTTTACCTTTACATTAATGAGTTGGAAAATAACTTTGTTCAAAGGAATAGAAATGCATATTTTGCTTAAATATTAACAATATGTTTTTAATTCAGTGTGTCTCAGTAAACTATGTTTTGGATTGCTGTGTTTTTACCTCATTGTTTATTTTTTCTGTCTACCTGGTAATTTGAGAACCCTCGCTTGCAACATATCACCATATTATTCGCCTGTTTGATCAACCTGGTATGTATGGCCTTAAATTGTGTTAATTTATATAGAAAATTGACCAGCTTTCTTGAGTTTATGTGATTAATTGTTGTAGTTATCTTCTCTGCATATGAATTAAGAAGAGAGAATTTGTAAATTAACCTGTACAGCCTGAGCAGAAAGTTGTGGTTTTTTTAGATACAGGATCTTGCCCATTGCAGCCTTGAACTCCTGGGCTCAAACAGTCCTCCCTCCTCAGCCTCCTGAGTAGTTAGGATTACAGATGCCCACCAGCATGCCTAGCTGATTTTTTTTTTTTTTTTTTGGACAGGGTCTTACTACCTAAAATTATTCTTGAGGGTAGCAATCTTGTTTGTGGTCTAAAACTTGAGCTGGAGGGGAGAGGGTTATGGATTGTACTGGCAGTGATGTTGTACAAACAGGAATTGGGTAGAATATATTTTGGTTGAAATTCCTTTTGTTCTCTGGAGCTGTGCTATTTAACACCATAGCCACTAGCCACATGTGGCCAGTTAATTAAAATTAAGTAAAATAATAAATTATTTTGTCACATTGGTGCTCAGTAGCCATGTGTCTAGTGGCTACCATGTGTCGTGATGCAGATTCAGAACATTTCCATCTTTGCCAAAAGTTTGTGGACGTTTCTGCTCCAGAGGAAAGGTAAACTTATTGTGAAGCGTTTTGGGAGGACCTCAAGGCTCCATGCGTTGTCCACTTTTAGGTCAGTTCCAGTGGGAGCTCTGCTCTGTAGTAGATGGACTTTGAAGAGAGACACACCTGAGCTGAGATGTCCACTCTACCATTTATTTACCAGCTATGTCAAAGCGACTAGATACCTACCTGAGGAATAGCAGCAGGGTGTGGTAGTTAAATGAGTTCCACACTGTGTCTGCTACTGTGCTTGGAGGGCACATATGAGGCACTCAAAATCTTTTGGTTCTTGTCCATTATCCCCAGCCTGAGAAATAACCCTTGAGTTCAGAATTGACAGTTCTAGTCATTCTTTCTTGTGGATAGACTATAAAAATTACAGAAGGGAAGTTGTTTCTCTCTGGTTTGGAGGACTAATTTTGTAAAATCCATATCCTCACCTGTATAGGCAAATTTTATCTTTAGGAAAAGGAACCAGTTAATTGACTATACCTTGGAAACAGGTAAACAGTTTCCATAATTGTGTCCCCTAAAATTTTACTCAACCTTGGTGAGATTGTGATGGAGCTAGTATTTCTGACTCCAAAGTATATTCCTTTCCTCTGTAACTCTCATCACTGGTTCAATTGCTAATCAAAGTCAGATGTACTTACATTTCCTAAGTAACAGCCAGGACTGGGGGATGGGGGTTCTGGGGGAGCTGTGTTGGTTTGTCTTATGTATATAAATTTGCCTGTCTGCAGCAGTAGTTTTGGCTTACGCCTGTAATCCCAGCAATTTAGGAAGCCAAGGCAGGAGGATTGCTTGAGCCCAGGAGTTTGAAACCAACATAGAGAGACCTCCATGTCTACTAAACATGAAAAAAGTAGCTGGGCATGGTGGCGCACCCCTGTAGTCCCAGCTACTCAGGAGTGTGAGGCAGGAGGATTGCTTGTGGCCAGGAGGTTGAAGCTGCAGTAAGCTGCGTTTGCCCCACTGCACTCCAGCCTAGGTGACAGAGCAAGACCCTGTCTCAATAGTAATAATAATTTCTAGGAATTTACCCAAAAGAGAGAGCCTAAAATAACCTAGAAACAATACATTGAAAAGAGAATATTATGTAACTAATAAAATTAAGAATATTAGCAAAGGGAAGCATGCTTGAGTAAATTGTGAAACTCTATCTGTACTGTCATTACAGCTTTACTACCACAAACATACAAAACAGGTAGGGAAAGGAGTGTAGAGAAATATTTGACTGGGAATATTGCAGATGATTTTCTGACCTATTAGTGCTCAGTTCATGTTATATTTAAGAACTGCCCTGTCCATTAATTCTAGTTTACTTTTTCTTGACCTCATTCTGATTATATTTAAAGGGAACACAAATGATTACTAGCAAAAAACATTTTTAGCCGGGTGCAGTGGCTCATGCCTGTAGTCCCAGCACTTTGGGAGGCCGAGGCGGGCAGATCACGAGGTCAGGAGTTCAAGACCAGCCTGACCAACATGGGGAAACCCCTCCTCTACTAAAAATACAAAAAATTAGCCAGGCGTGGTGGCGAGGGCGTTAGTCCCAGCTGCTCGGAAGGCTGAGGCAGGAGAATCGCTTGAACCCGGGAGGCGGAGGTTGCAGTGAGCCGAGATTGTGCCATCGCACTCCAGCCAGGGCAATAATGCAAGACTCCATCTCAAAAAAAAAAAAATTTTGTTTTTCTAAGTATGCTGGTTTGGTGAGGGAGTGTGTGTTACTGTCTGCCGCCTACTTCAGTAAGTCAGGCTTCATGTGAAGAGACTAAAGGAAGGAGAAAGTCTCAGTGGAGCACATGAACAGAGACCTGTGATTATTCCAGATTTTACAGAGAATTGCTCTCTGCAGGGTATAGTGGTTCCTTTAGCAAGCATTGGCCTCCACCCAGATCTATGCGAGGACTTAGGCTGGAGGTGGAGGAAGGAGAAATGTGTCCCTTTGTATTAGGTACAGTGAGTTTGGTGGTGGTAAAGGAAGTGGATTAAACACATTTGCTTTCTTGTTCTGCAGGAGACCCTTTAAAGAGATCATCCTTCATCATTTATGATATAATGAATGAATTAATGGGAAAGAGATTTTCTCCAAAGGACCCGGATGATGGCATGTATAGAAATCACTTGTGTTTTCCTCCTCTAAAGACAGAGGGCCGGTTTACCTGAGTACCAGTTAGAGGCCTTGTGATCCCTATAGCTTAGAAGTATTTTTTTTTTTTTTTAAATAAATTTGAGTACATAGTAGGTGTATATAGCTTAGTAATATTTGCCATGGTCTTTCTGAGAAAGCCAAAATTGTGGTACATTCCTGCCTCTCTTAAGTTTTTATGTTCTTAGCTTTATCTTGCATGTTACCAGTTTTGTTGGCAGGATTTTTGTTAATGTTACTGACTTGAAAATATATTTTATCCATTGTAACCAAAGCTCTTGTGAACTTTGATTTTCAGATAAGTTTTTTCAGTCAGCCATGAGCATAGTAAGTATCATTTCTTTATTAATTTGCTATCCATTTCCTAAATTTATCTGTAACTGGAGGGTTCTCCCTGGTTCTTTTCACTTTCTAACTCTTCTGTTCATGTCTTTGCTTCTGTTTTTTCTTCTTTCTCTAAAATCTATAATTTTTTTTTTCTTTGAGATGGAGGTTCACTGTGTCCCCCATGCTGGAGTGCAGTGGCTCACCGCAACCTCTGCCTCCTGGGTTCAAGCGATTCTCCTGCCTCAGCCTCCCGAATAGCTGGGACTACAGGTGTGCGCCACCACACCTGGCTAATTTTTGTATTTTTTGTGGTAGAGATGTAGTTTCACCATGTTGACCAGACTGGTCTTGAACTCCTGACCACCTCCCAAAGTGCTGGGATTACAGGCCTGAGCCAACGCGCCTGGCCTAAAATCTGTACTTTTCAATCACATACTATCCCTACCCTTTGTTTATTGTTTACATTGACATTTTTCATGCCCCTGAACAGATAAGCTTCCATAATATTTCAGATTTGCCTATTAGTAAGTTAAAATTGATAATGGTTTTTATTTTAGTTTATGTAATCATGCTTATCATAGGAAAAATTTCAGGCAGTTTTAGGATGAACCTTGTTCCCTAAGGGTAATTTAATTGCTTTACTATTAGATTGGTGCAAAAGTAATTGTGGCCTTTGCCATTACTTTCCATGGCAAAAACCGCAATTACAAAAGCCGCTACTTTCAATAGCAAAAACCACAATTACTTTTGCACCAACCTAGTATTTAGTATGGATCCTCACAAGGTTTTTACTCTGGGTACTCAAGCGTATGTATATCCAGGCATACTTTCAGGGTGTTTTATTTGTTGGCAGCAACCAGTATTTCATAGTAAGAACCATAACTTAACTTTCCTGTGGGTAGATTTTGGAGTTATTTCATGGAGATTTTTACTAGTCCAGACTCTGCAGTGCAGGTGTCTTTTGTGCACTTGACCAGGTGTTGTTACAGGATTAATTTTTAATGGTATAATTGCTTAATTAAAATAATATTGTAATAAATTTCACAGAACTTGGGATTTGTCTCCCCCCCATTTCTTATAACTTACTTGCTGTCAACCAATAATATGTTGAATCAACATTATTTTCACAAGACACTCTACTGTTGTTATTTATTTGTGAACCACTGGCTGACAGGGTATCAGAGTGATACTTACTACTTGCATATTTTCAGTGCTCATCTCTCAGAGATCTAGAACTTGCCTACCAAGTACATGGCCTTTTAAAAACCGGAGACAACTGGAAATTCATTGGACCTGATCAACATCGTAATTTCTATTAGTAAGTGTGTTGGAAACATATCCTTTTGCATGAGTTACCAGATTCTGCAAGTGGGAGGCTGTTGATGTCCCTTCATACCTCACCTCTGGTTTCAGGCAACATGCCAATGATCTAATAGGACATGTTAATTGAGCACTTAGGAATTAAAGCAGTGGTAAAACTGCCAGATTTGAAAGACTAGTTTGTGTCCTTTAAGGGTTTTTTTTTTTTTTTTTTTGCAACACTGTAAAATCCACATATCTTTTTCCTCTACCCCCTCTCATTTTACATTTTCAAATTGTTATAGCAGGGTGAGCCCTGAAGATTTCCTTTCACCTCCCTTGCTTTTGTATTCAAAGATGAAGATACTGGAACCTAGAGATACTCCCTAAATGGGTTTGCTTTTAGGCAGATAAGAACATGAATTTAAGAAGGCAGCATGTTAACAGATGTGTGAGAATTGTTTTCTGTGTATCCAAATCCTTGTTTCACATTGAATGTTTTTAAAATGAATTTGAAATTCAGTATCTATTCACCATGACCTAAGAGTATACAGAGGAAACAGTTAGAAATGACCAGTTGAGGGTAGGGTGTTTAATTGAGAAGTCAGCACACACTGGCAGCTCTTAAACCAAATATTGGCTCGTTTAACTTGAAACTGTAAGTATTTTGAAATTCTTTGTAACATATAATATGCTATAATTTCAACCCTTATTTCCCCTGTTGTTAGACATAGGGACTTTAGACTAAACATACTTTTTGCCTTCATCACAGTTCCAAGTTCTTCGATTTGATTTGTCTAATGGAACAAATTGATGTTACCTTGAAGTGGTATGAGGACCTGATACCTTCAGTAAGATGGTTCATTACTTGTTATTTATCATTCTAGATGAATTGGGTTTCTGCAGATTAATGCTTTAAAAATGTGTTTCTCTTAATCAGGCCTACTTTCCCCACTCCCAAACAATGATACATCTTCTCCAAGCATTGGATGTGGCCAATCGGCTAGAAGTGATTCCTAAAATTTGGAAAGGTCAGTTTTACTTTTTATGTGTCCAGGTGCATCTCACCTCAATATCCTCTACTTTGATAATGAATGTGCTAACATTACTGTTAGGGATGAAAACTTCCATTTTGACTGAACCAAATGTGTTAGTTGAGATGTACTTCAAGGTCATGTGCTCATGTTGCATGTTGGCTATCAGGAGAAAATTTTGTTGAAAATGACTTAAGTCAGTCCCTTCGTGACATAGGAATGAGCTGAGTTTTGTGCACCTGTTGCGGGATATGACCCAAAGAAAATAAATGCTAATGGCGTGGCAGACCCTAAATCTGAATAAAGGTCTTTGACCCGGAAGCCTGTGTAATTCCTCTGTGCCAGTGTTGCCTCACTTCACTAACCACAGTCAGTGATGATTCTGTTTCCAAGTAATAGCCATGAGCATCACGCATCACGGGTGTGTGTGTCTTATGTGTATAACTTGGCTGCAAAATGAAATAGATATTCTGTATCTTTCACTAGGTGACTACTGTATCATAAAGTCAGTAGGCTCTAGTCCCGCCCTCCTGCTTCACACGACTGCTCTAATGAGTGATAAAAGTATATCAAATTCCCAAGTGCTATAAAACAACGTCTTAACCACGTGGAGCTGGTGGCTGCTCCCATGTAGTGCACATGCCGTGATGAACACGTCACTGGAGCAAGGCCCAGGCATTGGCTTTTACATTTGTTCCACTGTGAATCCTGGTGGGTTTCTGGAATCCTGGGATAAGCCTAGAATAAATAACAGCAACTTATTTTTACCTACCAAAAAATAGGTTGACAGTGAACAAAAGTGTGTTGGTTTTACATAACAATGATCACTCCTTGTTCCTTTCTTGTTTCAAGATAGTAAAGAATATGGTCATACTTTCCGCAGTGACCTGAGAGAAGAGATCCTGATGCTCATGGCAAGGGACAAGCACCCACCAGAGGTAGGCCTGAAACTCACCAGCCAGTATATCCTCCCATACTGAGGTCTTCTTAAGGCTAGCTTCCCTGGTTTTATCTGCCATTTTGGAGAGTTCTGCTACCCAAACCCATATTTGAGTGATGATACATCTAAACATATCTTGCCCTTAGCAGAAATCTGTTCTTAAAGTTACCCTCTTTCCTGTAGTCCAAAGCAAGCAACATGAAATTAGCTTCTGTCTTCAGCTTGCTTTTTTAAAAATCTCCATCTACAAAGGAAATGCATAGCTGAATTTGAAAGTTGTGGCTAATCAAAATACTTAGGACAGGGTCCTTTTTTTATTAAATTACTTGTGTGCTATACACATAATATATTCAAATGGTAAAATGCATTGCTCAGATTTTAAGGATCCTGTGTTAGTCTCCTGAACTGAAATTCTCATAAAATCAGTTAGGCAGTTCTGCTGACTCCTAAGCTTCTCAGCTTCAGGTGGCATTTGCTGACTGTGCTGCTGATATCAAATCTGCGTATGAAAGCCAACCCATCAGACAGACTGCTCAGGATTGGCCAGCCACCTCTCTCAACTGTATAGCTATCCTCTTTTTAAGGGCTGGGAGAACTCAGGAAGCCTGGTGAGTACAGTACCACAAGTATACACTTTAGAAGCTTTTGTATTTGAATCTAAAACATTGGCCCACGCTGGTAGAGGTTCTTTCATTTGGCCACATAACACGTATTTGATTCGGGAACTTGCAAATACCAACTAAAAAGCAAACTTTTGGAAGAAGACAGTATGCATGATGTAGTTGAGATAAGGCATAGTTCTCTCAAACCATACGCTGAGAATTATCTTTCTACTTTCTGTGTCTATGGACAAGTAAGTCACTTAACCTCATTATTCCACTTAAATGAACTAAAGATCAAAGAAATATATGATCAAAGAAACGTAGTTTTGAAAATGGTTTGGTCATTTGGGTTATTGAAGTATTTTTGGATGCTTCTCCCATCCCACTCTCCAGCTTAAAATGTGGGCTGTGTACTTAGACTTCTGGAAGCTGGCATTTACGCACATTAACTAAACTTGGCCTTGACCACAACCCGTCCTTGATTGGTGCCACTGTGTTCTGGTTATGTTTTTATCAGCACTTCATTCACATACTAATTTTTAGTGTTTGTGAATGGGAACCTTATGCATATTCATGTTTCCAAAAATGAGCAAAAGGATCTTTTGTAGGGGTAGTGACAGGTGGTTTTCCTGTATTTTGTTTTGTATATAAATGTGTGTTCTAAAAGTCATTAGTGGGGGGTGCTTGTGCATGGCTCCTTGTACAAGAAAGTAGCTTTATTTGAACATCTGATTGCTAGTCAGCTATCTCCAGGAAAAGATGATGAAGGCTTGTCTTTGAGGTGTGGCTCACACGTGTCTCTCTAGCAACTATGCTGCTAGTGACAGAGACGTATGACATTTGCATTTGGTTGTTAGCGCAGGCAGTTTGGCACACACTTGATACAACCAGGCTGTGATGATTGGCGCAGGGGTACGGACCTCAGCTGAGTCATGGGAGCTGAATGTATGTGTTTCTCCTTTGTCCTGCATGTGGCAGGCTGATGGGGAGCACTTACATGAGACTGTTGCCTCAATCTGAGCCTGCACTTCATAACAGAATTCTAAGACAGACTGAACCCCTGCTGTACTTTAAGAGAGGGAAACAGCAGGTTCTGTTCTATGCCTCTTTTCCAGCTGTGCACAGGATGGATTCCCTCCTTAGAAGGACAGTGGTGATCCTCTACAAGAGGACAAATACAGTTGGAGTATCCCTTTTCCAAAATGCTTAAGACCAGAAGTGTATGGGGTTTTAGATTTTGGAGCATTTTTGGATTAGGAATATTCAACCTGTACCAGCAAATCTTGACATTGGCAGCATATCAGATTTACCTGTGAAAACTGCAGTGTAGATTCGTTTGGGGAGTTTAAGCACCTGCGGTGATTCTCATGTACACACAGGGCTGGGAGCTAGTAGAGCCCACAGATGTGTGTCTTTGGGAGCTTACAGTATAGTTAAGAAAAGGGCATTTAGTCTCTGATTTCAGAGAGAAGACAGCTATAGTGTCTGATTGCCTTGTTTTTCTAATAGTATTCATAATCTTTTTCCTTTCTTGAGCAGGAAAATGTTGGGGCTTTTCAGGAAGCATAATAAGATTCCTAGGTAAGTTGAAATCAGCCAGCTCTCTTTGGGTACAGCCTGGAAGTAGCCACATTTGGAATTTCTTCACCAGCCTTAGCCACCACATTTGGGCACTCTTCTGTTAGGCAAGCATACCGTCAACTCCCTACTATCCAGGGCATCCTGAGGCAAGCAGTTTTTTATCTGTGTTGACGGATCATCATACATTGGGGCTACATTGAATAGATCATCATGAAGTCATACTGAATGAATGTTGATAATCCATTTGGCCCTTTAGACTTTCTAACCTCACTGGAAACAAGTAAAAATAAATGTTAGACTTCATCTTTGTCTCCAGAAATACTGTTGGGAATTCTGTTACTGAACTTACACTGGATCTTGCCTATAAATGTTTTACTGAAGGGGCTGGAGAAAGTTCACACTTTGCCTTTCTTTTACAGAAGTGAGTTGCTGAATGAGCTTATGGACAGTGCAAAAGTGTCTAACAGCCCTTCCCAGGCCATTGAAGTAGTAGAGCTGGCAAGTGCCTTCAGCTTACCTATTTGTGAGGGCCTCACCCAGAGAGTAATGAGTGATTTTGCAATCAACCAGGAACAAAAGTAAGTGGTCACCATGAAGCATAGTTTGTAAAATGGAGACCTTTCATCCATCTGCCCATTCAAAATGTTCATAGCTTTCTATCCCTTCTATTTCCTTTCAAAAAGTCAGAATGTAGTAATTTAATGACTATTTCATTTGTCATGCAAGTCAGGAAAGCCTATAGATTTGACTGTTAGAAGCTTTTTGTTTCTAATATAGTTTAATGCAACTGCAGGGTCCCTTTTTCTGATTTCAAAACTGACAGGCTATAGGTGAGTGTCAGAGACACCGAGAACCCCAGCACCCAGTTGAATTGCAGTGTAATCCTCCATTTTCTTTTCTTAACAGGGAAGCCCTAAGTAATCTAACTGCATTGACCAGTGACAGTGATACTGACAGCAGCAGTGACAGCGACAGTGACACCAGTGAAGGCAAATGAAAGTGGAGATTCAGGAGCAGCAATGGGTCTCACCATAGCTGCTGGAATCACACCTGAGAACTGAGATATACCAATATTTAACATTGTTACAAAGAAGAAAAGATACAGATTTGGTGAATTTGTTACTGTGAGGTACAGTCAGTACACAGCTGACTTATGTAGATTTAAGCTGCTAATATGCTACTTAACCATCTATTAATGCACCATTAAAGGCTTAGCATTTAAGTAGCAACATTGCGGTTTTCAGACACATGGTGAGGTCCATGGCTCTTGTCATCAGGATAAGCCTGCACACCTAGAGTGTCGGTGAGCTGACCTCACGATGCTGTCCTCGTGCGATTGCCCTCTCCTGCTGCTGGACTTCTGCCTTTGTTGGCCTGATGTGCTGCTGTGATGCTGGTCCTTCATCTTAGGTGTTCATGCAGTTCTAACACAGTTGGGGTTGGGTCAATAGTTTCCCAATTTCAGGATATTTCGATGTCAGAAATAACGCATCTTAGGAATGACTAAACAAGATAATGGCAGTTTAGGCTGCACAACTGGTAAAATGACTGTAGATAAATGTTGTAATTAGTGTACACGTTTGTATTTTTGTTAATATAGCCGCTGCCATAGTTTTCTAACTTGAACAGCCATGAATGTTTCATGTCTCCCTTTTTTTTTGTCTATAGCTGTTACCTATTTTAGTGGTTGAAATGAGAGCTAGTGATGACAGAAGGATGTGGAATGTCTTCTTGACATCATTGTGTATTGCTGGTAATCAAGTTGGTAACGACTACTTCTAGCAGCTCTTACCACTATGACTTAAGTGGTCCTGGAAGGCAGTAAGTGGAGGTTTGCAGCATTCCTGCCTTCATGAGGGCTTCTACCACTGACCACTTTGCACGTACCTGGCTCCCAGATTTACTTAGGTACCCCACGAGTTGTCCACATAAGCAGCTTCATCTTTACCTTGCCAGAGTTGACAATTATGGGATACTCTAGTCTACTTATACTTGTGTTCCCATCTGTCTGCCATCCTCTGAAGGCCGGGACCCAGTCATACATCCTTAGAAACCAAAGTATGGTTTTTGTTTTCTCTTGGAATGTCAGGTCTTAAGGCATTTAATTGAGGGACAAAAAAAAAAAAAGCCGATATAGTAGCTAGCTACTTAAGCATCCATGGGTATTGCTCCATATCAAAGCAGATTTGCAGGACAGAGAGAGTAAATTAGCCTTCAGTCTTGGTTTACAGCTTCCAAGGAGAGCCTTGGCCACCTGAAATGTTAACTCGGTCCCTTCCTGTCTCTAGTTCATCAGCACCTGCAGATGCCTGACTCTTGTTAGCCTTACTATTCAATACAGTCCTTAGATTCACGGTATGCCTCTTCCTATCCAGGCACCTATTCTGAATCACCATGTTGCTCTGCAGCTAGAGTTGATAGGAGAAAATCCATTTGGGTAGATGGCCTATGAATTTGTAGTAGACTTTCAAAATGAGTGATTTGTTAGCTTGGTACTTTTAAGTTTGTGGTACAGATCCTCCAAACCCATACTCTGAGCAATTAACTGCCTTGAACATAGAGAAAAATTAAGGCCTCACAGGATGAGTCTCCATTCTCTGTAAATGCTTATTTTATCATAGTCTTTAGCCTCTACTATGAGTAAAATGTTCTCTTCGGCCGGGTGTGGTGACTCACACCTGTAACCTCAGCACTTTGGGAGGCAGAGGTGGGAGGATCACTTAGGTCCAGGAGTTCGAGACTAGCCTGGGCAACATAGTGAGACACCGGATCTACAAAAAAATAAAAAGCCAGACTGGTGGTATGTATCTGTGTCCCAGCTAATTGGGAGGGTGAGTTGGGAGGATTGTTTGAGCCTAGGAGAGGGAGGTTGCAGTGAGCCGTGATTGCACCACTGCACTCCAGCCTGGGCAACAGAGCAAGACCCTGTCTTGGAGAAACCAGAATTTTGGAAGAGCAAATGGGGCTGAGTGCAGTGGCTCATGCCTGTAATCCCAGCACTTAGGGTGCCAATGTGGATTACCTGAGCCCAGGAGTTTGAGACCAGCCTGGGTAACAGTGAGACCCCCCTCCCTACAAAAGATTTTAATAATTAGTTGGGCGTAGTGGTGCATGCCTGTAATCCCAGCTACTCTGGAGACAGGTGGAGGGGATTGCTTGAGCCTGGGAAGCTGAGGCTGCAGTAGCCATGACTGCACCACTGCATTCCAGCCTGGTTGACAGAGTGACCCTTGTCTCCAAGAAAAAAAAAAAGCAAATGGGATTAAGGACTCATGGAATGGGAAGGGGAAGGGGAGTCTTACTATATGTGGAATAAACTTGCTCAGTGTTGCCACAGAGTTACATTACCAATGTGTAGAAGTCAGAAACTAGACTTCTAGTTTGGTTCAACATTTGAGGGTTGTTTTATAGCCATCAAAGTATTCAAGAGGTTGGATGGCACTCAAAAGATTCTACATGTCTAGAATCAAACTCAAATCTGGCACGTAGGTGCTTCTTAGTAAATGCTTAATGAATGCCACCAACTCTGCAAAGTATTCATTGATTTTGAGACCTTAGTCATGTTGCTACTAAAAGTAGGGCATATGACCGCCTAAGAAACAGAACTTCGAGAAGTCCTAACGTAACCACAGTAAAGCAGACTCCCCTTTCAGCAACCTCAAAGCAAAAAAAAAAAAAAAAAAACCAGTTAGCTGCTATATAAACACTATACCAAGCACTAGGCTTAGAGGAAAAGATGTCAGATTGTACTGTCACTGGCTATGTACCCATATTCTCTAAGACAGGGTAGCATTTGTCTTTCAAACTGCAGGGTTTGAAATCAGTTTTTGTGGGTGATTGCAATTTTTTAATGAAATGCATTAGAACATCTAAGCACGTCACCTACAGTTTTGTGATGGTGCATTTTTGCATTGCAGTATAGATCTGTGCATAGATATATGCATTAAGTGTAGCAAATCGTGATGTAAATTTTTTACTGCTGGTCATGGTCAAAAAGTAAGATACGCTAGGAAATTGAGTCACTAGGAGCATGGATGTATAAGGCAGGTTTTATACAACCATTTAGATTCAACATTAATGGTAGAGTGGCATTTTACCAAAAAAATGGGTGTATTTGATTTGGGTGCTGTAAGGCAATTTGCTAGGACATGGGATAATCAGATTACACAAAATCTAGGCAGTGAACAAGTCTTCATCCTGGCCCAGGAAATAGCCTATTAAAAAATGCTGTCCAGGCCAGGCACAGTGGCTCACACCTGTAATCCCAGGACTTCGGGAGGCTGAGGCTGGAGGATTGCTTGAGTTCAAGACCAGCCTGAGCAACACAGTGAAAACCCATCTCAAAAAAAAAAAAAAAAAACCAAAAAAACTGTCCAGCTGTGGACTTTCAGGATTCAGGACTGCTGGGGATCAAGCCCAAGGATGTTTTTCAGAGCTCTGTGATTTAAGATGCTCGAAAAGAGTGTCCAAGAGGAGTAAAGGTCATGACAGAATTTACTCCCAGGACAATCTAAGTTCTGCCACAAGTACCCGTGGTGTCTGTTCCCACAACAATGGCCCTTTCACAAGCTCTTGCCTCACAACCCCTGCAGAAGTCCTTCAACAAAACTAATAATAGACTAGTGAAACCTACTCCTCACATGGGTAAGAGTTGCAGTGGGCAGGTGACCCTCCTCCCTGCCCCCATCCTTTGCTTCCTCAAGCTCCCTGCCAACCTCTGGATACATCAATGGGAAGGAAACCAGGGAAGCATAGACCTATAGTACAACAGGGGTGTAGTGACCACTGGACCTGATGAAGCGAATCTGCCTGAAATTTAATACGCCTTTTTATTTCCCTTCTGTGTTAAATCAAATGATCTGTTCTGCACTGAGCCAAGCAAGTTACTTTTAAAACTGGTGGCACCACTCATTTGGGACTTGGAGACTGCTTTTATCCAGAACCTGTTAAGAGAACAGGGGATTTAAATACAAAGGAATATGAAGGTGGTGTGCCTTAAAGACAGTCTAAAATTAGGTTTTAGTTTGTTACATTATTTTGAAATATTAAACATGAAAATGTTAAATCAGGATGTGTGAGTTTTAAGATGTTGAACACTGTCCTACATCAGTGAGGAGGGAGGCAATAAAGTAATTTCAGAGTAAAACAGATTGAGGATGAAACCAAGACAGAAGTGATGATTTGGCTTTTTATGATTTTTGCTGTGGAAATGGCAGTCGTGTGACTTTTCACTTGCAGTTTAAATGAAAGGGTGAAGAGAAGCCTACCTGCCCTAATGGCTCAGGGCTATATCCACCTCCCGGATAACCCTGGCCCTTGGGACTCCATCATCTCCTTGAAGTAGCACTGAGAATCCAAGAAGAGGCTCCGCTGCTTTTTGCACATGTTACTGAGTTACATCTCAGGAAGATTTTTAAGCACGAGGAAGGAAAATACAGGCCTGGCCAAGCAGGGTCCCCTTTTCGGTATCATCTTTGTTCCTAATAAGCAATCAAGGGGGGTGGGTGTGTTGGCTGGTAAAGGAACTACTAAGATTCAGAAGCTTGTAGTCTTCATTATTTTGTTTTACAGGTTAAAATAAACCACTTGACTGGGCACGGTGGCTCACACCTGTAATCCCAGCACTTTGGGAGGCCGGGGTGGGCAGATCACAAAGTCGGGAGTTCGAGACGAGCCTGGCCAACACAGTGAAACCCCATCTCTACTAAAAATACAAAAAAATTAGCCGGGCATGGTGGTGGGCACCTGTAATCCCAGCTACTCGGGAGGCTGAGGCAGGAGAATGGCTTGAACCTGGGAGGCAGAGGTTGCAGTGGGCAGAGATTGCGCCACTGCACTCCAGCCCAGGCGACAGTGCGAGACTCTGTCTCAAAAAAGAATAATAATAATAAATAAACCACTCAGTATTGCTGCTTCTAAGTTCAGACAGATAATCACATCTGAAGGAAGTTATTTCAGGGCTCCAAGAGAAACTTAGATTTTCTTATAACCTATAATATTTTACATATACAAGTCGAATGGAAATTATAAGCATTTCTAATATGACAAATAGGGAAGTTTAGCTTTACAAGTAATGTATTTTGCAATTTTGTGCCATTCGAAAAAGGAAGACTGAATTTAGAACAGTCCTATTATCTCCTAATAAAAACTTAGTATCCTCTAGGTAGGTGCACAGAGTGCCTCTGCCTTTGAGATGACGGGCATTAATCTCAGGAAGGAACACAAAGCATGTGTTCCAATCAGAAACTAAATATATTTTGTTGAATTAAGTAAATCCACTTAGGAGGGAATATAAGGACTATTGACAACATTAACACAAGCCAAAGGTGGACCAATATATCCCAAAATCAAAGGACAAGGCCAGTGCCATACACCTACAGATGCAGAAGCTGCCCCTTTTGTGATTCCAGATGTGTTGCCCAGATAAAAGTGCCTCCTCAATTTCTTTGTGAACACACAATCCCCAACAAACAGTTGTAATTTTGAAGAAAGTTGACATTTTTATGTAGAGATGGTGGTCTTCATGGAGTAAAAGAATTTGTTAGTGCTTATGCAATATGACAGTTGTACTAATCTTTAGAAAGATGAACTGAGAAAGTTCTCTGGGTTTTATAGCAATCTACATCAAATACACAACAAAACTATTTAATCTCTTCATTAAGATTCCAGGCTCCCCATCCCCCCACTTTGAAGGGATTCACAGCCCAGGTACTAGAAAGAACTAAGCTCCATTACCAGTGTTTTAGAACTGTCAGCTGTGACCCATAGAGGGCTGCTGAATTAACTTGTGGGTAGAGACCAACATTTTAACAAGTCACTAGAACGATATATCCCCAATTATAAATACATGTGGCACTTTGGCTTGTATATTACTCTTTTGAGTCTGAGCAGCAGGAATCAATTCACCAAAACCTTCAAAGGCAAAAAGCAGGCTGTGGACTTCTGGTGACGCAATTCACAGCCTGGAAACTGTGAGCTAGAAGTTCCTACTTCTGCTGTTGTTGTTTCTCAAGGATATTTTCTGTACATACAACAAACTAGAATTTTTTTTTTTTGAGACGGAGTTTTGCTCTTGTTGCCCAGGCTGGAGTGCGATGGTGCGATCCTGACTCACTGCAACCTCCACCTCCCAGGTTCAAGCGATTCTCCTGCCTCAGCCTCCCGAGTAGCTGGGATTACAGGCATTCGCCACCACGCCCAGCTTAATTTTGTATTTTTAGTAGAGATGGGTTTCTCCATGTTGGTCAGGCTGGTCTCGAACTCCCAACCTCAGGTGATCCACCCGCCTCAGCCTCCCAAAGTGCTGGGATTACAGGCGTGAGCTACTGCACCTGGCCAGAACTGTACTTTTTGAAAAGGGATAAGATACTCAGTTTTCATCTTGTTGCTTTATTCAGTTTGCTCCGAGGGCAAAATCAACAGTAGTAGAGATCACAAACATTATTTTGATTGGCCTCACAAGCCTCATCAGTAAAACCTGAAAAAACAGAAAATGTTACACAAGTTGCAAAGAAAGCACTCCTGGCGTTCACTGACATGATAGCAAATGGAAAGAATATAAATGCAACAGGTGTTAACATTTAGAACAGTACTTGTAAACCTGCTCATTTCTAGACAAGTCCGGGACTCTCGCTGCGAACCCTTCATCTATCACTGCTGATTTCCTTTGACATGAAATATGACTTTATGAAAATCTTCCTAAACCTCACTCTGGCTGCACCTGAGTGGTTCCTATTCCTACGGCGCTGGCATATGCTGTCAGGATTTCCACTATCTGTTTCGTTTCTAGGGTCATTCGGGCTTCCTTCAGCCAGTCCTGTGCCACTCGTCTGGATTCCCCCTTCAGCTGATTGACAAACTTTGCTGCTAGCTCCAGATCACCATGCTCAATGCAATAGGAAGCATATGACAGTAATTTAAATGTGTTTATATCCTCAGGGCAGAGCTCTGGGGGCGGCTTCAGTTGCTGAGGTGGGAATAGGAGCAGGGACTGTAGGTAGGAGAGGAAGTACTGGTACAAGCTATTTCTGGTTTCATCAATCATTGCTACCCTTCGGGCCAGTTTTTGAACAGCATAGAAACGGGCTCTAAGGGTCTCTTCACTGTACACCCCACGGGTCAGGGACTCTGGAGGGATAGCTGCGGTTAAAGCTTGGGTGAATTCATTATCAGAACAGTTGGCTTTGATGGCCTCAACTGCACTACCCAGCGGGATAGTAGGTGTTTCTGCAGATGAGGTCTTCATGCTGTACTTTAATGCCTCCACTGAAAGCCAGAGTTGGTGGGCTTTTCTGGCTTCCTCTTCAGCAACTGCATGGCCTACAAAGAAAAAAAGGCAAAGCCAAACATTTTTCTCTCCATCTGACAACATACATCCACAGAACTGATGCACATTCAACAAGCTACATCTACACATGTGCAAGATGAGGCCAGAGAGACTTTCTTACAACCCCACCCCCACCACTTATTTCTGGTGTATTTTCCTAGCTGGCCTCTTCATATCAAAGTCAGAAGTCATTCACATCTGCATGATATCTAATCCACATATTTTTACCTTTACTAGTTGAGAAAGAAACATATTATTTAAATTAGGCTAAGACTTAACGCTAAGGCCATGAGAAATTTTCTGCAAAGAAATGGGAGACTTCAGGGCCAGGCACAATGGCTCATGCCTGTAATCCCAGCAATTTGGGAGGCCGAGGTGGGTGGATCACTTGTGGTCAGGAGTTCAGGACTAGCCTGGCCAACATGGTGAAACCCTGTGTCTACTAAAAATACAAAACCTAGCCAGGCGTGGTGGCACGCACCTGTATTCCCAGCTACTCAGGAGTCTGAGGCAGGAGAATCGCTTGAACCCAGGAGGCGGAGGCTGCAGTGAGTCGATATCACACCACTGCACTCTACCCTGGGCGACAGAGCAAGACTCTGTCTCAAAAAAAAAAAAAAAAAAAAAAAAGAAATGGGAGACTTCAAACGAACTTAACAGACTACTGGATCTTGAAATTCCATGAGTATTGAATTTATTTTTATTGTTATGTGACAAAAAAAGATTCCATAACATCCTAAAAAAACCCATTTTATTAATACCCTCATTGTCATGACATTTCTCTTTCAATGTGGCACATGGAGGCCTCAGCATAAATACTGTCCATTTGGTAGTTGGACTCGGCAAATCACCACCTCCAGATAACCCACCAAGTCTGTGGAAGGCAAGCATGGGACCACACTGACCCCTAGCCCTTACCACCCAGGCACATGCGACATAGCCAAAGGATACTGGGTAAATAGCCTTGTAAATGGTGATTTTGTGTTTGTCATACAAGGTATAAATTTCTAGTTATATAGATTTTGCCATTACTTTTAATGGCAAAAACTGCAATTAAGTAGAGTGATTAGTATTTTTATGTCCTGATGTCAGTACATGTACCCCATTTTCCCTATAAAATTATTTTGATAAATTATGCTGAGGAAAATTATCTGTAAGATAAACATAGCTTATGCTTACTCTGAACAGCCTGTTCGATTCCTCTGAGTCTGGCATAGGCAGTATTTATATCCAGAGTAAAGTTGTCAACTTGCTCTTGACTGAGACGACGAAATTGTAATTCTTGTTCAGAGAGTTTCTCAGACAGGTTCTGAAATAAAACAGAAATAGTTCCAGAAAAAAGTGATACTCAATGCATGTCATGTAACTGTGTAATCTTCCAGCAACTACTTGCTGAAGCAAAGAGGGCCTTAGAGTTGTCACGAAATTCCTACATTTTGTGTAAAGTTTCAAAAATGTCCTGACTCATATTTGATGTATATAATATATTTTTTTTTTTTTTGAGATGGAATCTTGCTTTATTGCCAGGTTGGAGTGCAGTGGCACAATCTTGGCTCACTGCAACCTCCGCCTCCCAGATTCAAGTGATTCTCCTGCCTCAGCCTCCCAAGTAGCTGGGATTACAGGCATGCATCACCATGCCAATTATTGTATTTTTAGTAGAGATGGGTTTCACCATGTTGGCCAGGATGGTCTCGATCTCTTAACCTCGTGATCCGCCCACCTCGGCCTCCCAAAGTGCTGGGATTACAGGCGTGAGCCACCGTGCCCGGCCGATGTATATAATTCTTTACAGGTTTACTGATGGAACCTAATATTAGAGGAGGCATACCAAGAGAAGAGAGAAGGCTGTTAAAGTCAGAAACAAACTGCCAACTGTATTTTATTTTTGAGACAGAATCTTGCTCTGTCATCCAGGCTGGAGTGCAGTGGCACAACCTCAGCTCACTGCAACCTCCACCTCCCAGATTCAAACGATTCTCATGCCTCAGCCTCCGGAGTGGCTGGGATTACATGCATGCACCACCATGCCCAGGTAATTTTTGTATTTTTAATAGAGACAGGGTTTCGCCATGTTGGGCAGGCTGGTCTTGAACTCTTGTCCTCAAGCGATCCACCCGCCTCAGCCTCCCAAATTGCTGGGATTATAGGTGTTAGCCACTGTGCTCAGCCACAAATTGTCAGCTTTAGAAAGTAAATTATCTGTACTGCAAACCTAAACATAATAATTAGATTAAATTATATTCTAATATCTTGTATTTAAGAGCTTATACATTAATTTTTCTCAGAAAAATATCCAAATAGAATTTAAAATACCTTTTCATACTGACATACATCGCGATTCTCTGGAAGATTTTACTTAGAAAACCTCAATATCTTCTTGCAAGACAAAGTAACAAGTTAATATTACTGTAAATGATTTCTTGAATAGAAACTATGATTACAGGCATCCTGATAATTTACTGGGATTTCAAAACTTCTCTGGGAAATTACCTCAGTTATAAAAATCTAAGCAGTACCATGCCATCTATAGGAGGAAGATACACATGTCAAATATTACTGTCTGCATTCCTGAAATCCCCTTTACCAACTCTCCTTAAAGCTCTGAAGATTCCAAATGACTAGAATATATATTTTAAAAACACATCTGATCATGAACACACAGGTACACCATTATGTAAAAAGAAGCAGTTTTGTAGACATACAAGGAGATTTCCAAATCTTCGACATCCTCAGAGTACATTAAAAGGAAAGGAGAGTCTCTTAATCCTGTCAGGAAGAGGGGTGTGGCTGAAGGGAGTCCAGGTCCTCACCTGCTCAAATTCAGACTTCAATTCCTGTTCTTGTACCCTAAGGACATCTCGCAAGTGATCAGTGTGGGCAGCTGCCTGTCGGCGAAGCTGGGTTCTCATTTCATTTTCCATGGCATCTCTGACTTCTTCTATCTGTGAAACCAAACATAGTAGTTATTAGTTTTCAATTCTCCACATATACTTTTAGGAAAACAGAAAGACCACTATCAACCATGACAACAGCAGCTTCCATATCCTGAACGCCTCTAATGTGCCAGGCATGTGTACACTTCTACTTCTCATGTGAAACGGAAAACTAAACCCTGGAAGGTGATTCAAACAAGATCACACAGCTGTGGCAAAAACCAGATTTCAAACAAAGGTCTCTCTCACCCCCAAACTTGTGGTTTTTCCACATCACCAGGCTGCCTCTCATATAAAACACTGCCATTTCCTGAATCACATGCTCCTCTGAGAAATAACTAAATCCAGGATATGAAAAAAAGTAACTATATACTTGGAATCAAGCGTAGCTTTACTACAACCATCTGTGTGACCTTGGGGAAATGATTTATCTTCTCAAATCTCCACTTTCTCATTTGTGAGTAATAATGCCTACTTTGAAGAATCATTAAGAAAATTAGTTGGCCGGGCGTGGTGGCTCACACCTGTAATCCCAGCACTTTGGGAGGCTGAGGCAGGTGGCTCATGAGGTCAGGAGATTGAGACTATCCTGACTAAAATGGTGAAACCCCATCTCTACTAAAAATACAAAAAAAAAATTAGCCGGGTGTGGTGGCGGGTGCCTGTAGTCCCAGCTACTCGGGAGGCTGAGGCAGGAGAATGGCGTGAACCGAGGAGGCAGAGCTTGCCGTGAGCCAAGATTGCGCTGCTGCACTCCAGCCTGGGCGACAGAGCAAGACTCCATCTCAAAAAGAAAAAAGAAAAGAAAATTAGTAAGTATCTGGTAGTTATTGACATAGACTTGACATAGACTTCTAAACAAAGAAAACTGCTTATTTTTAAATGAATTTAAATTCAACATGGGCCAAAAAAAACCAAAAAATATACCTTGCCTAACAAATAGCCATAGGTCACTTTACAAATTACTTAACACTGATTACCTGAAATCCAGAACTTATTTTTTCTCAGAAACAATATAATAAATCAATGAATCCATTCAGTCAGTGCATAAGTATTTATGAAGTGCTACTAGCCCTGTGTGCCAGGCAGTGCCTACTATCTGTACGGATCCAATGGTGCTTAGGGCAGACGAA
Source organism: Homo sapiens (assembly GCF_000001405.40). Taxonomy (NCBI): domain Eukaryota; kingdom Metazoa; phylum Chordata; class Mammalia; order Primates; family Hominidae; genus Homo; species Homo sapiens. The sequence continues at coordinate 86,148,958 of NC_000002.12, forward strand.
CTTCTTGCTCTCACAGTGTATATCTCAATGGAGGCAGCAGACAGTAAACAAAAAAGACATCTGAGATTGTGATACATATTTCTACATATGACTGAGCAGGCAAGGACCTGTTGTGAAGCATCAACACCCCTTCAACCTCCTTTTCCCCCACCTTACATTTAAAATAAACAGGGCAACATAACAGAAAGTAATACAGAGACTCTACTTTGGACTGAAGGGATAGGAAATCTCAGTCTTGCTAACAAAGTGACATCTAGGCTTAAAACTTAAGCTTAGAGCTCAAGGTTTAAACAGAGAGGATAGAACAATGTACTAGGCAGAGAAAACATAAAGGTCCCAAGACAAAAGATATAGTCAAGGTACAGACAAAAAATACCAGGGTGCCTGGAGCAGTGAAATGGCTCATGGCATGCAGTGATCAAGAAGCCTTTTGGGTACTGGTTAAGAATTTGGAATTATATTAAATGAAATGGGTAGTCCATGGAGGATTTCCAGCAGTGTAGTGTCTGATTCGACTATGTTTTATTTGCCTGCGTAAATAGACACAGAAAGAAGGGTATGAAGAAAGGGCAAATTGGCTGGGCATGGTGGCTCACACCTGTAATCCCAGCACTTTGGTGTTTAAATTCCTTGGGGAAGGCCGGGCATGGTACCTCATGCCTGTAATTCTGGCGCCGTGGGAGGCCAAGGCAGGTGGATCACTTGAGGTCAGGAGTTCGAGACCAGCCTGGCCAACATGGCAAAACCCCGTCTCTACTAAAAATACAAAAATTAGCCACATGTGGTGGCATGCACCTGTAAGTCTAGCTACTCAGGAGGCTGAGAGGCACAAGAATCACTTGAACCTGGGAGGCAGAGGTTGCAATGAGCCAAGATTGCACTACTGCACTCTACCCTGGGCCACAAAGACAGACTCTGTCTCAAAAAAAAAAAAAAAAAAAGAAAGAAAAAGAAAAAATAGTGGAAGCTGTTAAGATGACAGCTTGGGCTAAGGTGGTAGTAATGGAGTGGACAGATTTGGGATTTATGTTGGATGCAAAACTGGTAGGATCTGTGGGGCAACTGAATATGAGTTGATGGAGGAACAACAAAGCATGATTTGGGCTGGAATAGCTGAGCAGATTGTTCAACTCAGTTTATTTAGAGAGAAACAAGTTGAGGGGCTGGAAGACAGGTTGGAGAGAATAAATAAATCTGTTTGGAGCATGATAAGCATGAAATGACTACTGAAAATCAAGCTGGAGATACCAGGTAGGCTGCTGGATAGGAACCTGAAGCCAAGGCAGAGGTCAGAGCTGGAGATAGACATTTATCAGGTATAGATGGTATTTAAACTTCCAAGTCACGGGACTCAACAAGAACACTTAGAGACAGTTCAGATGGAGAAAACGTTTCAGAACTAATGCCAGGTATGCCACCATTTGAGAGGCTGAGCAGAAAAGGAGGTTAAGGAGTGGCCAGCAAGGTAAGAGAAAGGCCAGAAGAGTATGGTGTCAGGGAGCCTAGGGAAGAAATAGTTTCAAGAAGGAAGGAGTGGCCAGTAGTACTGCTAAGAAGACACAAAGGTGGGATGAGTAGTTAGGTTCCCAAATCAGCCTGTGGACACCTATTTAATAAATGGTGTGCCCAGACAGAGGGCTAAAGAAGCTATTTCACCTGTTTTTTAACCACCAACCACTTAACAACAATAGCAGAGAAAAATATACTCAGACTCCAACAAAGATTCGTTCAGCACTGCTTTAAGGGACAGAGGCTCAGCTCCACTGGAAAGATGAGCTAGATAATCCTGGATACCAGTAGCTTATTCCTTTCTTACACTTCTGCATCTGCTCAACATAAAGGAACTCTGCTCGATCACTCCTTTCCTAGAAGTTCTGATGAGGGGAATGAGGACCTAAGCTCCATTCTAAAGGTCAGCTGGCATGACTTATATTCAATATCCTAAAGCCAATGACTGTCAGTATTTTTTTTTTTTTTTTGAGACAGTCTTGCTCCATCGCCCAAGCTGGAATGCAGTGGCACGATCTTAGCTCACTGCAACCTCTGCCTCCCTGGTTCAAGTGGTTCTCCTGCCTCAGCCTTCCGAGTAGCTGGGATTACAGGTGCGAGCCACCACACCCAGCTAATTTTTGTATTTTTAGAAGAGACGGGGGTTTCGCCATATTGGCCAGGCTGGTCTCGAACTCCTGACCACAAGGGATCCACCCACCTTGGCCTCCCAAAGTGCCGCGATTACAGGCATGAACCACTGCACCCGGCTGAGCCAGTATTATTTCTACAAGTAAACAATCAAGTTAGAGTCACTTTAAATGTTAGGCAACAATTCTCATTTCTCTTACCTTTCTGTCCTGTTCAGCCTGTATTTCACTTCTGTGATGTTCTAATGCTTTTGCTACTGCAGAGTCAAATGCCCGCTTTTCTTCCAGCTTTTGTTTCTCCAAGGCTAACGTGATGTGCTGCTTTTCGGTGGCCTTCTGTTCTGCCAGCTCTCTGTTCAGCTGATCAATACGACGATGTGCATGAGCAATGAGGGAGTTCAGATCATCAGTAGAGAGCTTGTCAGCTAAGCAAAAGAGCATGTTAAAATATTAATGATGTCACTGAAATTATACCTCATTACAAGGTAATCTGCATCAACTGATTATAATTTAAGAGCAGTAAACGAAAGTAAAACTTAGCTAACATGAAAAGAGATTTAGATTCCCCAGTTCAATCAGAAATTGGCTAGTGTCCAATAAGGTATTTTCAACCCCTGGCAAAATTCAGGTAGGCCTTCAGATAATCAGTTGTTTTCCAGGAACCCTCTTTTAATCTGAACTAATTATAAATGGACTTTCTCATTTACTGTAACTTTGCCTTTAAAGACAAAACTTATATATACAATCACTTCTATATTTTCTTTCAGGCATAACTCTGATTAGTTATAACAGGCATCCAATTGAAGATTCTTTTCTGCTAAAACTAAAAATCAAATTCAAATTCTCTCAGACTTTTCCTTAATAAGTTTTTTTACTTTTCTTAAACACATATGATCTAGATTAAATCCCAACACAGCAACCAGAGCTGTCCATCAGAATCACTGCAAAGCTTTTTAAAATACACCCAAAGATTCTCATCTAGGCTTAAACCAATGTTTGTTTTTTTTTAAAATCTCAATCCAAAAATGTAGCAACACATACACAGATTAAGAATTATGGCTCCAGCCAGGCACAGTGGCTCACACCTGTAATCCCAGCACTTTGGGAGGCCAAGGCAGGCAGATCACCTGAGGTCAGGAGTTCGAGACCAGCTTGGCCAACCTGGTGAAACTCCGTCTCTACTAAAAATGCAAAAATTAGCTGGGCATGATGGTGGACACCTGTAATCCCAGCTACTCGGGAGGCTGAGGTAGGAGAATTACTTGAACCCAGGAGACAGAGGTTGCAGTGAGCCGAAATTGCGCCACTGTATTCCAGCCTGGGCAACAGAGCAAGACTCCATCTCAAAAAAAAAAAAAAAAAAGAGAGAATTATGGCTCCACCGGCCAGACACAGTAGCTGATGCCAATAATCCCAGCACTTTAAGAGGCCGAGACGGGTGGATCACTTTAGGCCAGGAGTTTGAGACTAGTTTGGCCATCATGGTGAAACCCTGACTCTACTAAAAATACAAAAATTAGCCAGGCATGGGGGCACATGCCTGTAATCCCAGCTACTCAGGAGGCTGAGGCACGAGAATTGCCTGAACCCAGGAGGCGAAGATTGCAGTGAACTGAAATTGTGCCACTGCACTCCAGCCTGGTGACAGAGCAAGACCTTGTCTCAAAAAAAAAAGAATTATGACTCCATCACTTCTTAGTCTTTTGGCTAAGATGAAGTGAAGAATTATGGCTCCAACAGCAAAATATGGAATGTAGGAAATTCTATATGACTAATGACTCAATTTCTTAATAAATACATTGAAAAGCAAAAAACAAAAAGGGGCAAGAGATTTATTGACTAAACTCAACATGTGGAACGTCTATGGGTTATCGATTCAAATAAAAACTGTAAAGACTCATTCTATGAAATAATAGGGGATATTTTAACACTGAATGGACATTTGGTGACTAGGGAATTGTTACTAAGTTTTAGGTGTGATAATAGTATGGTGATGTTTTTGAAACATACTGAAAGTATTTACAAGTGAAAGAATGTGATATTTGAGTCTGCTTTCTATATAAGCTGAGGAGGAGTGGGAATAGATGAGACAAAACTGGTCATGTGCTGATGGCTACAAAACTGAGTGATGGGTCCTGGAAGTTCTTTAGTTTTCTTCTTACTTTTTAATGTTTGAAATTCTCCAAAGTAATCAGTTACAATCCATATTACACACACACACACACACACACACACACACACACACACTTCACATCTATAGGATTCCAATCACTTGATGAAACATTTTCATTCCTGAGAGCATTCGGATGCCAAAAATATCCAATTCAGATTTATCATGTGACATAATTCTACTTTATATCTATTTAGATGGCTTTGTGTAAGAATCATAGGCACAACAAAAAGACTTTAGTCTCTTAATACCCAAAACAAAAGACTTTAAACATGAAATATACATAACACTCACCTAAGTCTGAAACACCTACAAAGGAAAAAATAGAACAGTTTGAAAAAAAAGAATGCACATACTTTAGTTATTGATCATTAAACAGAAATATCTAAAAGGAAACAAGAAGGAATCGGAGACTAGTACCAGGAAAAGCTATTTTAATACTGGAAAATGAAATGATACGGCTATTTTCTAAAATTTAAACTGTAAAACAAGACAAATCAAGGTAAATAACATTTTAGAAAATAAAAGAATCATTGATATTAATTGTGGTTTTGGTTTCAAAGGACTTATCTCTGTTTCACAGTAATCAACTTAAATTTTTTGTTTTTTTGTTTTGAGACAGAGCCTTCCTCTGTTGCCTAGCCTGGAGTGCAGTGGTACAATCTCAGGTCACCACAACCTCCACCTGCTGGGCTCAAGCAATCCTCCCACCTCAGCCTCCCAAGTAACTTGGACTAGAGGTGTATGCCACCATACCCGGCTAATTTTTGTACTTTTTTGTAGAGAAGGGGTTTTGCCATGTTGCCCAGGCTGGTCTCAAACTCCCGGGCTCAAGCGATCTGCCTTCCTCAGCCTCCCAAAGTGCTGGGATTACAGGCATGAGCCACTGCACCCAGCAACCTAAACATTTCTTTTTTTTTTTTTTGAGACAGAGTCTCGCTCTGTCGCCCAGGCTGGAGTGCAGTGGCGCAATCTCAGCTCACTGCAACCTCTGCCTCTTGGGCTCAAGGGATTCTCCTGCCTCAGCCTCCCAAGTAGCTGGGACTACATGCGCCTCCCACCACGCCTGGCTAATTTTTATATTTTTAGTAGACGGGGTTTCACTATGTTGGCCAGGCTGGTCTCAAACTCCTGACCTCAAATGATCTGCCTGCCTCGGCCTCCCAAAGTGCTGGGATTACAGGCGTGAGCCACCATGCCCAGCCTCAACTTAAGCATTTCATAGAAACTATAATTTTCTTTTATCCCTCGCATTTTCATTAGTTCATACAGTATTTTACTAAATCACAGTTTTGACTCTCTGTTCACAGTACCAGGCCTCTCTTAACATTTCAGATACTTAATACATTCAGTTCTTCTTTGAAATTTTTAAAACAATGAATTCAAACTAAATTTTCATTTAACCTGTGCAAATTAAAGAACTACAATGGCCTGATTTGAGAGTAAAGGGAAAAAATGGCATTCTGTATAGTTTGAATGATGTCCCCCACCACAATCACAAGTATCACAAGTACCCAGTGTGAACACGTGACAGGAGAAGGGGAATGCAGCCAGTCGCAGCTACTGCCTCTCAGGATGAGCTGCTGAACATCCTGGTATGAACGTCCTTTTTTTTTTTGAGACGGAGTCTCCCGTTGCCCAGGCTGGAGTGTAGCAGCACGATCTCGGCTCACTGTAACCTCCACTGCCCGGGTTCAAGTGATTCTCTTGCCTCAGCCTCCCGAGTAGCTAGGACCACAGGCGCATGCCACCATGCTCGACTGATTTTTGTATTTTTAGTAGAGATGGGGTTTCACCATATCGGCCAGGCCGGTCTTGAACGCCTAACCTCAGGCAATCCACCCACCTCAGCCTCCCAAAGTGCTAGGATTATAGGCATAAGCCACTGCACCTGGCCAGTCCTGACCTTCTTAATAACCTTTGCATTCAACAAGTCCAAAGACAGGTATTTTTCATCCAAGGGGCTCTGAACATCAACTGACTAAACATCACTCCCTCCTACACCGTCAATCTCATAAAAATAAAATTTCCTCCTTATTATGGTTATATCATTCCTCTTCTCAAAAGGCCAAAAGGGAGTCCCGTGCTGCTGATACAAATCATTTAGGCAGAGAATAGTGCTAGTGGGGGAGAATGAAATCCTGGCTCTTACCCCAACCTTGCACAAATTACTTTTCTGTCTCACTTTTTTCATCTATGTAATTGGGATAATAACCAAATTTGCCTTGTAAGGCTGTTATGAATTTCAAATAAGTTAATATATGTGAAGCACTTAGAACTCAGTGCCCGGTACAAAATAATGCTCAATACCACTAGCTATTATTGCGTTTGGAAACTTGCTCAGCTACAGATAACACAGAAAGAGTACTGGATGTAGTGAACATCATCAGGACATTTGTCGTTTAGGGAAATAATAAGAGCAATCCCAGAACTTAAAGTATAATAAAGAAATAATGACAATAAGAGCAAAATGCCTCATAACACAAACCAGTACTAACAAATTTGGTTTAGGTCTTAGTGCGTTCTGATTTCAGAGGTGAGGACATCCACGGAGGGCTAGGGTAATCATGGAATAATTACTATCTCTAGAAATACATAAGAAATCAGTAATACCGGTTGTCCCTGAGGAGGAAAACTGTGAGAGGGAAACTTCAAATGCCATTTGTACCTTTCAAATTTTGTATTGTGAATATATACTCTATTTTATAAATTAATAAAGATTTAAATGGAGGTCACTCAAAAAAGAAACAATATAGATTGCTTCACAAGGGACCTTCATTTTCTACATGGCCCTTTCTTTAGCACAGGCTTCTCAACCTTGGTGCTACTGGCCTTCTGGTCCGGACAGTTCTCTGCTGTAAGGGGGCTATTCTGTGTACTGCATGATGTTTAGCAGCACGTCTGGCCTCCACCCACTACATGCCAGTAGCTCCCTACAGTTGCGGCAAACAAAAATGTCTCCCGGTGTTGCCAAATGTCATGTGAGGGACAAAATGCCCTCAGTTGAGAACCACTGTTTAACATTTTCATGTTTTACGATAGGCAGCCGGGCGTGGTGTCTCACGCCTGTAATCCCAGCACTTTGGGAGGCCGAGGTAGATGGATAATTTGAGGTCAGGAGTTTGAGACCAGCCTGACCAACATGGTGAAACCCAGTCTCTACTAAAAATACAAAAAAATTAGCTGGGTGTGGTGGCACACGCCTGTAGTCCCAGCTACTCGGGAGGCTGTGGCAGGAGAATCGCTTGAACCCATGAGGCGGAGGTTGCAGTGAGCCAAGATTGCACCACTGCACTCCAGCCTGGGTGACACAGCAAGACTCCATCTCAAAAAAAAAAAAAAAAAAAAAGTTTTGCGATAGGCACTTTCAAAAGCAGAAAAAAAGCAAAAGTTAAAAACCTGAGAGCTGGCTTGGAAAAATTAGTAGGATTTAGTCTACTGGGAAGACCAAAGACAGAATGCAAATTCTTAGGGTTGATGCTCGTATCTAACTCTCCACAAATAAAATTTGTCCTGCCCTGTCAACCTAATTTCATTTTATTTGAGCCACTGGAGACTCCCTACTACCTACCAATGTCAAATTTATGCCAAGGAGCTTACATATATCTAATGCAAAGAGACAACAAACAAGCCAATGAATAAGAATTTCAAGAAGATAAAATAAGGTAATATGGTACAGTGGTTTGTGGAGGAATATAATCAGGGAAAGTCTCTCAGGTGCTCACATCTGTTTCAATTGTAACCTCAATGAGGCACAGACAACCCCTTGAGAAATTCTGATGAGGGAAGCAGTGCCAACGTGGCTCAAGTTTATCCTTCTCAAGGATAAATTGTCCACAATGCCTTCTTTGCTCGATGGTAGCTATCCAGTGTCTAAACAAAAGTCACTGGTCCCAGACTGAACTTTGTATTTCTCCACATTATTCTCTCTCATAAATCATACTGTCACTTTTTTATTTGACAACAATCTAACTGATATCTGCCTCCTGAGTCAACTGCATTCAAAGAGCTCAATGTCTGAGTTATCTTTTGACAGCCTTAACTCCACTTCTTGACATTCAGTCTCCCTGGGTGGCCATCATGCAGAATGATTATAAATCCCTGCACTGGTATTTATTACCTTCATTCCTTAGACCAGCTGTGGTTCTGTGATGCAACCCTGACACCTTCAGCCCAGAGAGGCCTACAACATGAGAAGTCTGCTTTCTAACAAATGCTAGCATTTAAACAGTGTTTTGAGCCAGGTGTGGTGGCTCACACCTGTAATCCCAGCATTTTGGGAGGCCAAGGTGGGCGAATCACTTGAGGTCAGGAGTTCAAAACCAGCCTGGCCAAAATGGCGAAACCCTGTCTCTACTAAAAGTACAAAAAAATTGGTTGGGCGCAGTGGCTCACACCTGTAATCCCAGCTACTCAGTAGGCTGAGGCAGGAGAATTGCTTGAACGTGGGAGGCGGAGGTTGCAGTGAGCCAAGATCGCGCCATTGCACTCCGGCCTGGGCAACAAGAGTAAAACTTTGTCTCAAAAAAAAAAAAAAAGAAAAAAAAAAAAAGGTACAAAAAATTAGCCTGGTGTGGTGTCGCATGCTTGTAATCCCAGCTATTTGGGAAGCTGAGGCAGGAGGATCGCTTCAACCCGGGAGGTGGAGGACTACACTCCAGCCTGGGCAACGACAAAAAAAATAAAAATAAAAATAAACGGTATTTTAATTTTGCTGAGACAGGTGATCTCTGTGATTCTTAGTACTCTCACAGAACTTCAGGGAAATGTGACTATAGCTACACCATGTAACGACTTCAGCATCAAAGTTCTCTGTAGTTTCAGCTTGAGGAAGTGGATAGCCAGACAGCTGGTTCCTTTCTCAATGCAGGGTCCCTAGGTAAATTCTCAACAAAGTGTTGTTTTGTCACAGAGCAGACATAAAGTGTGCTTTAAATAATTCACTACAAATACTTTTAAAGTAATAAGGTTTTTTAATACTTATACATATACAATAATATTTCAGTAGTGTCAAGGTTATAATGTCACTTTTGTTCACTCAAATTCCAAACTTTTTTTTTTTGAGTAGCAAATATCAGAACAGAACCAATCACGGATTATGGAATTAAACACTAGCTGGAACTCATGTTCACCACAGCTAAAACTACAAGAGTAGTGTTGCAGCTGTGTCATCTGTAATGACTGTGGTTAAAATAAAACGCTGTAACAAAAAGAGATATGCATGCATGCCAGAGGGATGTGGACTACAATGGAGATGAAGCAAGTTTAGATTCATTGATTAGTGGTTAAAACATCAAAAAAAAAACATTACTTCAGTTGTACTCACTCATTCCTTTCCACCCAGGAAGGACTTCTGGAGTAATACTGTCCAGCTCTCGTTTAAAGTCATCCCGAGCTTGGACCACCAGCTCATGATACTGAGATACAACCTTAGCCTCAGACTGAGCTGCTTGGACCTGAGCAAATACACAGGGTATGTGATTAAATTGAACAAAAAATACCATAAACATTCCAAGAAACAGAAGTAGTATTCCTTCATTTGTTTACATTTTGTTGGAAATGTGTAAGGAAATCTGAAGCTCAGAAATAGAATATAAGCCTTATTTGTTTCCTTCTAATTCCTATTCAAATACCATGGACAGGCCCTTTCCCATCTTACTATGCCCCCTCCCTCCATACATATCATATAAGTGCAGGCAGAAGATCTGCTACAAAATGGACATTTTCATAAGTGACAATAATCATAACCAAAAATGTTATCTATTATAGAAAGTATCAACAATATGGAACAATCCACTTGGTTGGTGTCCAAGGCAAAAAAAAAAAATTTTTTTTTTTTTGACAGGGTCTCACTCTGTCACCCAGGATAGAGTGCAGTGGCACCATCTCAGCTCACTGCAGCCTCAACCTCCCAGGCCCAAGTCATCCTCTCACCTCAGTCTCCTGAGTAGCTAGGACTACAGGCGCACACCACCACATCCACTTATTTTTGTATTTTTTGTAGAAACAGAGTTTCACCATGTTGCCCAGGCTGGTCTCAAACTCCTGGGCTCAAGTTATCTGCCCACCTCGGCCTGCCAAAGTGCTGGGATTACAGGTGTGAACCACCACACCCAGCCAAGGCAAATTTTTTAAAACAGTAACAACGAATACACTTTGCAGGAGAAAAGACGGGGAGATGGTAGGAATTTGCTGTTTTCCTAAATCCTTAAAATCCTTTAAGAGATTATATTTTAAAATATAAAATACTATAAGACTTAGGAAACATACCTTTTTGACCACATTATCCAGATCAACTATCATGTTGTGAAGTTTACCCTCTGCAGCAGTTATATGAGGCTTGGCCCCAGCAACCTCTTTTTTCTTTGCATTTTCAATCACACTTTTCATCTTCTCTAACTCTTCTCTGGAAACCAACAAAACAAAGATTTAATATAACTTCTTGTCAACTGTATTAAAAAGTTTTGATGTCAGCACAGTATATAATTGTTAAAAGTCTATGAAACAGGCTGGGAGCAGTGGCTGATACCTGTAATCCCAGCACTTTGGAGGCCAAGGCAGGAGGATCACTTGAGCCCAGGAGTTCAAGACCAGCCTGGACAACATAGGGAAACCATGCCTCTATTTTATTAAAAAAACTAAAAGAAAAGTCAATGAAAGAAATGTAATTGCTTTTTTTTTTCTTTTTTTTAAAGACTAGTCAAGTGCAATAGTAAGGGAGGAAAGACTAGAACGAGACTGTTCGATCCGTAACTGACTGTGAACAATCAACTGAGCTAACTCACTACCTTTGGACGAGCATCAATGCTTTTCTGGAGTCAATACACAGAGAGGCTTTTCTCATCAACAACTGAAAACACCTTGGTTAGAAGCTAGATTTACTAGAGTGAACCAGAGAGGTAGCATGGTATATGGAGTGACCCAGACCTCAGAGTAAGACAGCCCCAGATTCAGCTCCCATATCAGCCTCTCATTTCCTACATGCTTTCGTGTAAGGAACAGAAGTAATTCATGAGAAGTACTTAGTGCCTGGCTGAATCATGAGCACACAATAAACAGCAGCTCTTGCAAGGATCAACTTGACTCACCAACCAATGAGAGAGAGCTAAGGCAGGCAAAGGCACAGGAGAAGGCCAAAAACCTCACTGGGCGAATACTTAACTGGGTCTCAGGGAGCCCTCACGATTCAGAATGTTTCATAAGTCCGTCAGACTGTGGTCTACCCACCATAAAACACAGAACTCAAAGTGATATGAGCATAATGCCTTAAATCTCCTAAAAGATATGCTAGTTTTATCAGAAGACTTCCTTCTCTACTAATAATAAATATTTTCTTAAAAAAGACAGCAAAATTTTGAGTGACAAATAACTATTCCATACTGCTGATGAGGATCTTTAGTCAAATGTAGGTTTCCATCAACAGAGGTTGATCTTATATCTGGGCATGCTTGCTCAATCCTAGTTTTAGCCAACTTCCAGGAATCAAGGTCAACGTGGCATACCTATTACATACCCACTATTTTGGTTAAGGCAGACAGATTGTGACATACTTTCTACATTCTGATAAACTGCCCAAACTGTCCCAGTAAAATCTTAAAACTACAGCAGAATCTCAGTACATCTGTAGAGATACATCATCTAAGCAATAATCCAAAGCGAAACTGACTTTTATGTAAGATCCTTTATATGTCTGAGTGTGGTGGCTCATGCCAGTCCCAGCTACTCAGGGGGCTGAGGCAGGAGGATGGCTTGAGCCCGGGAGGTTGAGGCTATAGTGAGCCCTGATCATGCCCCTGCACTACGGCATGGGCAACAGAGCAAGACCATGAATTAAAAAAAAAAAAAAAAAATCCTTTATATAAGTTTCTGCCAAATTTATTCTGGCCTAATTTTATATATATACATTTTGAGATGGAGTCTCGCTCTGTCGCCCAGGCTCAGGCTGGAGTGCAGTGGCACAATCTCAGTTCACTGCAACCTCCACCTCCGGGGTTCAAGTGATTCTCCTACCTCAGCCTCCCGAGTCGCTGGGACTACAGGCGCATGCCACCACGCCTGGCTAACATTTTCATTTTTAGTAGAGACAGGGTCTCACCATGTTGGCCAGGATGGCTCAAACTCTTGGTCTCAAGTGATCTGCCTCCTAGGCCTCCCAAAGTACTGGGATTACAGGCGTGAGCCACTGTACTCAGCCTGGACTAATTATATTTTATTCCTTCTCTCTTTTTACACCTTTGTACAAATTCCTTTTTTTTTTTTTTTTTTTGAGACAGCGTCTCACTCTGTCGCCCAGGCTGGAGTGCAATGGCATCATCTCGGCTCACTGCAACCTCCGCCTCCTGGGTTGAGGTGATTCTCCTGCCTCAGCCTCTCGAGTAGCTGGGACTACAGGCGCCCGCCACCACGCCCAGCTAATTTTTTTGCATTTTTAATAGAGACGGGGTTTCACCATGTTGGCCAGGATGGTCTCGATCTCTTGACCTCGTGATCTGTCCGCCTCGGCCTCCCAAAGTGCTGGGATTACAGGTGTGAGCCACCGTGCCCGGCCTGTACAAATTCCTAATGCCAATTCAGAACAAGCACAGGTGGAAAAGTGAGAGAAGGGTTTCTCTACCTCCTCTTTATTCTATACAGACAATACAAAGAAAACCCGGCCCAAAGAAAGCCACCAGGAGGCCCTAATTACTTGTTAAAGTCCATGAGTAATTACTTGGCTTTGAGAAGGGCATCGGCAGCTTCATCTACTGCCTTTCTGCGTTCCTTCAATGCACCCTCCACTGTGCGCCACTGAGCAGATTTCTTCTCGCCTGCAATCTAAACAAAAAATTTTAATTATATAATAAATAACTGCTATTATTGTCATATGATAGGCCAACAAGATTGAACACAGAAACATGTGACATTAAATTCAAAGGTAAAAATTTATATGCAATGTTTCTCCAGAGTAAGAACTCTTAATTTAAGGCTTATGTTCTTAATTTAAGGCTTATGATCTGCCCACATCGGCCCCTCAAAGTGCTGGGATTACAGGCATGAGCCACTGCCCAGCCATATAAGCATTTTCTAAGGAGAGTTGTTTTTTTTTTTTTTTAAGATTCTCAAAAGGATGTACAAACCAAAATCAGAGTTTAAGGATAAATAGGAGGTTTACATATTTGTAGGGTCCTTATTCCTCCTAAATGTTACTCTAAGGAATTATTCTTCTTAATTTGTTACATATAAGTCAACTATTGTCAAAAACCTCCCTTGAGGTGACTCTTACGGTATGTGAAATGTGTATTAAAAAAAAAAAAGTTTTGGCCGGGCGCAGTGGCTCACGCCTATAATCCCAGCACTTCGGGAGGCTGAGACCAGCGGATCACGAGGTCAAGAGATCAAGACCATCCTGGCTAACATGGTGAAACCCCGTCTCTACTAAAAATACAAAAATTAGCTGGGCGTGGTGGCGGGTGCCTGTAATCCCAGCTACTCGGGAGGCTGAAGCAGGAGAATTGCTTGAATACAGGAGGCGGAGGTTGCAGTGAGCCAAAATTGCGCCACTGCACTCCAGCCTGGCGACAGAGAAAGACTACTTCTCAAAAAAAAGTTTTCCTTGAAAATCTTAGGCAGATCCAACATGTTTTTCTCCAGCTATGGAACTCATTGCCACTTTTTTGAGCAGAGCTGGCTCATATTTAGGGGATATATAATATTAGGAAGAAAACCCTCTAACACTCTAATACCACTAAGTGCAGCAAGAGTCCCACACTATGAGGGGGTGCAAGGTACCCAGAACACTCAGGGCCTAGACAGGGTGCAGTGGCTCATGCCTGTAATCCCAGCACTGTAGCAGGATCGCTTAAGCCCAGTTGTTTGAGACCAGCCTGAACAACATAGTGAGACCCCATTTCAACGAAATAAAAAAAATAGCCAGGCGTAGTGGCTCATGCCTGTGGTCCCAGCTACTTGAGGGGCTGATGTGGGAGGATCATTTGAGCCTGGGATGAGGCCACAGTGAGCTGTAATCACACCACTGCTCTCCAGCCTGGGTGACAGAGCAAGACCCTGTCTCAAAAACAAAAAATTATGTGAAATAATAAACAAGATCTAGTGGTAGAACTAATAAACACCCTATTTAGAAGTAGTGATGAGCACAGATAATATTCAAGAGATCTGCAAGTACTATAATGTGATCTGAAAACATCTGTGCTTTCTATTGGTGACATGGTCACAGTACTGCTAACATTACTGTGGTTTGTTGCCAGTATTCATAGTTGAAGAAAATGGTTTTAAATTTCAATTTGAGGCTAGGGAAAATAAAGATGTTTCCCTCCTTCAAGTTCAATGAGCCCCTGAATTCTATCTACAGACTCAACTCCAGGATAAGAGTCCATACATTTAGAAGAAATATTTGTCTTCATGTATCGCTTTTTAAATGTTCTATGTAGCCAGGTGCAGTGGCTCACAACTGTAATCCCAGCAATTTTGGAGGCTGAGGTGAGCAGATCACCTGAGGTCAGGAGTTCAAGACCAGCATGGCCAATATGGTGAAACCCTGTCTCTACTAAGATGGGTGTGGTGATGGGCGCCTGTAATCCCAGCTACTCTGGAGGCTGAGGTAGGAGAATCGCTGGAACCTGGGAAGCAGAGGTTGCAGTGAGCCGAGATCACGCTATTGCACTCCAGCCTGGGCAACAAAGCAAGACTCCATCTCCAAAAAAAAAGAATGTTCTATGTAAAATTTTGCAAAGTATATCTTATGATGCGAAAAATAAAGTTGATGTTTCAGTGAATTCCCACTTTAGTCATTTTTTTTTTTTTTTTTTTTTTGAGATGGAGTTTCATTCTTGTTGCCCAGGCTGGAGTGCAATGGCTCGATCTTGGCTCACCACAACCTCCACCTCCCAGGTTCAAGCGATTCTCCTGCGTCAGTCTCCCGAGTAGCTGGGATTACAGGCATGGGCCACCATGCCCAGCTAATTTTATATTTTTAGTAGAAACGGGGTTTCTCCATGTTGGTCAGGCTGGTCTCGAACTCCTGACCTCAAATGATCCACCAGCCTCAGCCTCCCACAGTGCTGGGATTACAGGTATGAGCCACCACGCCTGGACCGCTTTAGTCATCTTGAAAATAAAATACATCAAGAATGTATACTGATTTGGGGCCAGGCATGGTGGCTTACGCCTATAATCCCAGCACTTTTGGGAGGTGGAGGCAGGTAGATCACTTGAGGTCATGAGTTCGAGACCAGCCTGGCCAACATAGTGAAACCCTCTCTGTACGAAAAATACAAAAATTAGCCAGGTGTGGTGGTGGGCACCTGTAATTTCAGCTACTTGAGAGGCTAAGGCAGGAGAATTGCTTGAACCTGGGAGGCAGAGGTTGCAGTGAGCAGAGATCACGCCACTGCACTACAGCCTGGTGACAGAGCAAGACTCTGTCTCAAAAAAAAAAAAAAAGGAATGGATGCTGAGTTGGGCCACATGAACTGACCCAAATAGAATTACAAAGCATGTAAATGTCAATGACATATCTGGGGGCCAAAATTT
Organism: Homo sapiens; assembly: GCF_000001405.40. Classification (NCBI taxonomy): domain Eukaryota; kingdom Metazoa; phylum Chordata; class Mammalia; order Primates; family Hominidae; genus Homo; species Homo sapiens. Next base: position 86,164,795 of record NC_000002.12, read on the forward strand.
ATCACCCTTGTTGAAGGTACTCCTGCTTACAGAAGTCCAAGGAAAACCTACCCTGTAACAGACACAGATTCCCCTACAACCAAACTAAATCCTAGTATTACCAAATCCAACTCTTCACAAACACTGCTTTGTGAAAGTTATTCAGTATATATTAGAAATTACATGTGCACCTGTAGCTTCTTGTACTAGAAAAAACAAAAGCTGGAATTCATTCTTAACATTCCAAAATGTGTTCATACATTTTTCCAATTATTTTGTACATTAGCTAATACTCTCATCTGTTAACTGCTACCATTAGATTGTAAAATCTTGACTGCAATAGATTTTACACTGTCTAATCACCATGTGCTACACATTATGTGCGTTAGGAAGATGAAATACCACCTTGTGTACCCTTATACCCAAGTAGTAACATGGCATTTAAAGCTTCCAATCCGTGTCCTTCTGAGGGATACTGGTCTACTTGGGTTTGAACCCAACACCCTTACATCACGCAACTTCTAGCCTTCCCATATCGGTAACCAGCAAATTAAATTTCCTGGGTGGTTTCCACTTTGCTGACTGAACTCTGATATTTAAGTATTTTTCTTGGACTTTGAATAAAATGGAATTTTCCTTAAAATTTCAAAGGTTGTAGTTTCTTGCTACTAACATCAGAGGTCTAATTAAACTCTTTTGTAATATAAGTACATACGACTGAAACAATGTAAAGTGTGTGTAAAATTTTTTTTAAAACTACAATTATGATGGCAAAGTAACTTTACTGACCATGTATGATCCTGATCCTTAAGATTAATAATTTATGCATTTTACTTTAATTTACTCCTTAAATGACTTGGAATAGAGATACATTTATACATACTGAATAACTTAATGTAATTATAAAATAATGTATTAAGTCCCAGTATTAAATTTTGAAAAATCAATGTTATTACTTCATTCTTTGAAGTGTTTCGCATAAATAATCATAAACATTTAAAATAGCAGGTGTTTCAGGGAACATGAGAGCTCTCTGTATTATTTCTTAAAACTGCATGTGAAGTTTGAGAAGTATCTTAAAAAGTTTACCTATGGAAATAGCAATTTTAAAGCAAACAACAAAAATATTTAAGTGCTATTAAAATATGAAAGCAAATCTGAACTAATTCTTGCGCTGCATCGGTGTTGTAAGATATAGTAAAGCACAATGTATAAAATTCATTCTAAAAAACTTAAAGGCTTTTTTCAGTTTGTTTTTTAAACATAATTACTCTAAGGCCAAGCACAGTGGCTCACGCCTGTAATCCCAACATTTTGGGAGGCCGAGGCAGGCAAATCACTTGAGGTCAAGAGTTCCAGTCCAGCCTGGCCAAAATGGCAAACCCTGTCTCTACTAAAAGTACAAAAATTAGCCGGGTATGGTGGCGGGAGCCTGTAATCCCAGCTACTCGGGAGGCTGAGGCAGGAGAATCGCTTGAACCTGGGAGGTGGAGGTTGCAATGAGCCGAGATCGCACCACTGGACTCCAGCCCGGGCGACAGAGCAAGACTCCGTCTCAAAACAATAACAAAAAAAGATTAATTATTCCAGACTATCTTCCCCTAGTGAGAGAAAGCCGATATCATACGGAAGAAAGCAGTCTGTTAAATATTACACTTCTCTCCACCCTCGATTTTTCTTTTTGTCCTCCAAGTCATGACAGCCAGAACACTTCTAATCATTCATTGGGCTCACCTCAGAATTGTCCATGGCGGCTTTCAATATGTTGGAGTGTGCATTGACAGCCTGGACCGCAGCATTCTGAGCTGCAATAGCCTGCAGAGTGACACTTGCAGTTTGCCTCAGAGCATCTTCTAAGCTCTTGGCTAGAGCTTAAAAAAAAAAAAGAACAGTTAAAAAACAAATCCTACCCCCATAAATGACTTTAAACTTTTGCTGTTCTCCTATCTAGTCTTCCATTGCATTTCCCAAAAAATTTAAAAAGGAACAAAATACATGAGACTCAAATTTAGGGAATCAAAGTTTCACTTAAAAGTATGGTAAAGGCCGGGCGCAGTGGCTCATGCCTGTAATCCCAGCACTTTGGGAGGCCGAGGCGGGCGTATCACAAGGTCAGGAGTTTGAGACCAACCTGACCAATGTGGTGAAACCCCGTCTCTACTAAAAATACAAAAATTAGCCAGGCATGGTGGCGGGTGCCTGTAGTTCCAGCTACCTGGGAGGCTGAGGCAGGAGAATCGCTTGAACCTGGGAGGTGGAGCTTGCAGTGAGCCGAGATCATGCCACTGCACTCTAGCCTGGGCGACAGAGCGAGACTCTCTCAAAAAAAAAAAAGAAAACATGGTAAAATACTGATAATTTAGTCTGGATGATAAATCTATGAAGCTTTATTACACTTCTTTTTTTTTTTTTTTTTGAGACAGAGTCTCGCTCTGTCGCCCAGGCTGGAGTGCAGTGGCGCGATCTCGGCTCACTGCAAGCTCCGCCTCCCGGGTTCACGCCATTCTCCTACCTCAGCCTCCCGAGTAGCTGGGACTACAGGTGCATACCACCACGCCCAGCTAATTTTTTTGTATTTCTTAGTAGAGACGGGGTTTCACCATGTTAGCCAGGATAGTCTCCATCTACTGACCCCATGATCCGCCCACCCTGGACTCCCAAAGTGCTGGGATTACAGGCGTGAGCCACCGTGCCCGGTTTTTTGTTTTTTGTTTTTTTTTTTTTTTTTGGAGACGGAGTCCCACTCTATCGCCCAGGCTAGAGTGCAGTGGCACCGTCTCAGTTCACTGCAACCTCCGCCTCCTGGGTTCAGGCGATTCTCCTGCCTCAGCCTCCTGAGTAGCTGGGACTACAGGTGCCTGCCACCACGCTCAGCTAATATTTTGTATTTTTAGCAGACAGGGTTTCACCGTGTTAGCCAGGATGGTCTCGATCTCCTGACCTCGTGATCCATCCACCTCAGCCTCTCAAAGTGCTGGGATTACAGGCGTGAGCCACCGTGCCCAGCCTACTTTTTCTTTTCTGTATATCTAAACTTTTTCAAAATAAAAAGTGTTTTTTTTTTTCAAAATTATTTAAAGAAGGGTAATGTATTTCAAATGGGAGAAACAAGGTTTAGGACACTATAGCCCCTTTTACATATTGTGGCTATAAACTCAACAAATCCATCAGCTTTCTTCATTTTAAACAACAATCGTAACAGGGAAAAAGAGGTGCCCATTTCATCCCCTTGGCAAGAAGGAATACTCATAGCAAAACACTTATGTTGACAAGATACAAGAAAACAGACAAGAGAAAGAAAAAGACAAATAAGAAAACAGGTCAAAAAATACAAAACAAAACCCAAAGGCAACTTGAAATGGACAGTGTTCTTCCATAAAAGGACTCAAGAAATAGCAGACACCAATGTTCAAGAGGCTTCCATCTATTAAGATCACATTTCTATATGCTGTTTCGGGAATACCAAAAAGTAAAGCAAATGACAATTTTAGATAATTTACTAAAATGCAAAAATAAATGGTCATTTGAAGAAAGGCGGCTAGTAAGAATACTAATTTAATAATAAATGGGCCGGCGCAGTGGCTCACGCCTGTAATCCCAGCACTTTGGGAGGCCGAGGCAGGTGTATCACCTGAGGTCAGGAGTTCGAGACCAGGCTGGCCAACATTGTGAAACCCCGTCTCTACTAAAAATACAAAAATTATCCAGACATGGTGGTGGGTGCCTATAGTCCCAGCTACTCAGGAGGCTGAGGCAGGAAAATCGCTTGAACCTGGGAGTTGGAGGTTGTAGTGAGCCGATATTGCACCACTGCACTCCAGCCTAGGTGACAGAGTGAGACTCTGTCTCAAAACAAATTAATTAAATAAATGATATCACATGACAAAAAATAAAAAATGTATTTGACAAGCGAGAAAAAAAGATGATTTTGAGGAAAAGAAGCATAAACTAGCAATGAACAAATGGAATCTGAGGAACTACAAATGGTACCTCTGCAAGAAAGATAAGAGGAAAACTAATAAGGAGAAAATAAAAAGAAATTGACAGAAGTGATAGAAGTGAAATGAGAGCAGGGGATACAACAAGAGAAAGGGGCAAGGGAGAGAAACCGTGGTATTTGGATCCCATGACATGCGTGAGTGAACAGTGGACATCAAGTACAGGCAGTTGTGAACCACTTTATGGAGGCCACAGAAAGTGGGCTGCTGGGAGGCACCTGCTGCTTCCAGCCCTCTTCAGAGGTTTAGTCACTGTCCTTTGATCCTTGATAAATATTTCACATGCAAATGCATATGTGTATATTTTTAAAGTCAAGTTTGAGGGGGAATTAAGAGGTGACAGATAAAATTCTGAAAATTTTCACTTTGCCCAAAATGAAAGATGAGAGGAACCAGGCAAGGAAAAGAACAGCTGGAACAGCAGACATCTCCATCTTACGTTTATAACTTAATTTCAAGGTGCCCAAGTGATAAAGAGAGAAAAGTGAAAAGTGAAGAAAAAACAGGACTAAAAGAAAAAAGAAGTAGGAAAAATGAAATATTTCACTTAGTTAGAAGTCATTTATTAAATATTCACAAATATTTGTAACACAATCAGAAGAATACAAAAAATCAAAAACGAAAATCCAAATCCAAGTAGGAAAACTAATGCCATAGGCACAGAATGACACCTATGCTATTCTAAGAAACTTGGTTCCTCAGGGTAGGGCAGAACCAGCACATTACAAGGGAAACAGGAGCAAAACAAATGACAAGGAGATCAAAAAACTATAAACAGCTGCCATGAGTACTGAACTCTCTGTCCAGCAAAAAGCTACATCCCACGACCTCCAGAGACATCAACATATTATAGCACAGTACAAAAAATTATGTTACATGTGCTTTAAGACAGAAAAATAAATTGATAAATATCTATTATCTTTTTTAAACCATCAAAAAATTTAAGAATCCTGACCTACCGAGGACAGCAAAAATAATAATAATGATAAAAAAAACTTGGCCAGGTGTGGTAGCTCATGCCTGTAATCCCAGCACTTTGGGAGGCCAAGGTGGGAGGATTTCTTGAGGCCAAGAGTCCAACACTACCCTGACCAACACAGTAAGAGCCCATCTCTTAAAAACAAACAAACAAAAAAACCATAAAACTGAAACTTAAAAAGGAATATGCTTGTTAGCTGGAAACCAGCGATGTGTAGAACATTCCATGCCCCACCAGTGTCAGATAAAAGCACTACTAGAGAGTCCAGAGGCTAGATGATAAGGCAGTGTAAGCCATTCTGACTCCAACAAATAAATTTACAATTATTAATAAACAATTATTTACAAGTATAAATTAACAATTATTAATAAAAGACTCTTAGGGCTGGGTACAAGGGCTCAGGCCTGTAATCCCAGCACTTTGGGAGTTCAAGGTGGGAGGATCACTTGAGCCCAGGAGTACGAGACCAGTCTAGGCAACATAGTGAGATGCCTGTGTCTATAAAAAATTTTTAAAAAATTAGCTGGGTATGGTGGTACACGCCTGTAGTCCCAGCTACAGAGGAGGCTGAGGTGGGAGGATGGCTTTGGCCTGGGAGGTTGAGGCTGCAGTGAGCCATGACAGTGCCACCGCACTCCAGTCTGGGTGACAGAAAAGAGCCTATCTCAAAAAAATAAATAAAGGACTTTTAGGCAAGCTGCTAAAACATAAATAATCAATTTCTGTTTCCCAGAGTATAAAGAATCTTTAGCGCTAACATAATCTTTAGTATTATTTGGAGTTTTCACCAACTATACACTAAGAATAGCCTTTGTCACTTAGGTAAAAGAAGTTTAGATGAAATGAAGGTGATGAATAAAGCAATGCCACTAAAAAACAACCGCAGCAACAAAAGAAACCACAACTAGGTGATAGATGACAAACTTGTGCTGATAGTTTAAGAAGAGAGCAACTGGGAGATGACCCAAAATCCTTAAGAAGCTGTCTGGTTTACATACACTCAATTTTAACTTGTTCTTGTTTTTCCTGTTGTGCAAGGCGAGCTGCAACTTCTTCAGGTGGTCGCTCCCTTATAGAAGATGAGGATGCTTCTTCTTGCAGCAAAAGTAAATAAGAGGAAATCAAATTTCAGCATAGAATTTTAATAGCTAACAGGGATATAAAAAAAGCATCGTTTGTACTGGCCAGTTATATCAATGCAGGGCATTTTTGTGTTAAGAATTCTAAAACCATATCATTACTCTTAATGATTCCAAAATGAAGAAATAGGAATCAGGCTTTAATCTTCTTGTTTAAAAAGATACATTCGGACATTTAAATTTTAAAAATTTCCTAAGAAACTCTGAAGACCTAAACCTAGTGTAAATGTATACTTAGTGTCTACGTGTTGCCTAGGCATTAAATAGTTCTGATGAGTGTATCATGTATAAAAGAACAAATAGAAATAATTAAATTACCTGAAAGTGCAGGTGTGGGTTTTCCTTCACCAATTTCAGGGTGATCAGTTTTTAAAGATTCCTCAGGCTGAACTGCAGGGGCTGGGACCGACAGGGTATCACCTGCTGCAGAAATAATTTGAGCCGCTTCTGTAGGTGCTATAAATATATGTTACTCATGGTATTTATACTTTCCTGGGTTAACAGAGAAACACACAGAAATTTACTACCACCATCACCACCCACTTCACATCTGACTCCTTAGAGACACAAATATTTGTACTGCCACATGTTTGAATAACACACAAACAGGGGCACTGTCCACTGCATACATAAACTCACACAAAATGGACAATGGTTGGGAACGAACAAAAGAAAGAAGTCTTGTCTGCATCCACCTGCATTTTAACCATCATTATTCCAGGCAAGGCTTATAATAATAATATTAACACACAAGAAGGGGACATTTACACATGGAAAAAGAGTAACAAAGGAAAAAGCCTGTTAATGATGAAGACAGACAAAAGAAAGCAACTAAACAAAGAATATTTTTTAATTGCTTTGAAGAGTGGTAGAAGACGTGTGAGCAGGAAAAAGATTACAGTTTTAAACAAAAAGATGAAAGGTCACAGTGATCAAGAACAGAACTGAGTTAAAATACATATATATATATATATTTTTTGCACACTTTGGGAGGCCAAGACCAACCTGGCCAACACAGCAAGATCCCATCTCTATCAATCACTCAATCAATTTTTTGTGTGTGTAGTATATTTTTTTTTTTTTTTTTTTTTTTTGAGACAAGGTCTCACTCTGTTGCCCAGGCTGGAGAATAGTGGCACTATCATGGCTCACTGCAACCTCGACCTCCCAGGAACAAGCAATACTCCCACCTCAGCCTCTGGCACACAGCTGGGACTATACGTGTATACCACCACACCTGGCTGATTTTTACATTTTTTTGTAGAGACAGGGTCTCCCCTCTCTTGCCCAGGCTGGTCTCAAACTGCTAGGCTCAAGTGATCCTCCCTCCTCGGCCTCCCAAAGTGCTGGGATTACAGGTGTGAGCCACTGTGCCCGGCCTTGGTTTTAAAGTAACAGTCAATTATCAATCCCCTGGCTCAGCATTCTCTTCCCATCCCACCCAGCATATGAAACAATGTTTTTTTTTGTTTGAGACAGAGTCTTGCCCTGTCACCCAGGCTGGAGTGTAGGGGTGCAATCATAGCTCACTGCAGCCTCAACCTCCTGGGCTCAAGTGGTCCTCCCTCCCGAGTGCTGGGACTGCAGGCATGCACCGCCATCCCCAGCTAATTTTTAATTTTTTATAGAAACAGGATCTTGCTAAGTTGCCCAGGCTACTTTCAAACTCCTGGGCTTAGGTGATCCTCCCGCCTTGGTTTCCCAAAGTGCGGGATTACAGGCATGAGCCCATGCACCTGGCCTAAAATAAAATTCTTACAATGGCTTCCAAGGACTGCCACAATAAACTTTTTGCTCCCTCTCTGACCTCATTTGCTCCTGTTCTCCCCTTACTCAATTCACTCTAGCCTCATTTGCCCTTTGTTTGAATATATCAAGCCTCTACACCAGCTAATCCTGCTGCCTGGGATGCTTTTCCCCACCACCCTTTTACATGACTTACCCCCCTTATCTCTTTCTAATCTTTGCTCAGATAACCCCTTCCAGGTAAGGTATTCCTTACACATTCCATTTAAAACTGCAGTATTCCCTCCCACAATGTCTGACATCCTATACGTTTTACTTGTTTATTTCCTCTCCGCACCCAATCAAGAAATATTAGCTGAAAAAATTTTTTAACTGTTTTTGTTCATGGCTGTTTCCCCAGTACTTACAAGAATGTCTAGCACAGAAAAGACAGTAAATTTCTGCTGAATTAAAGAAAGTCAGGTGATTTAATCAAGGACAGACACAACAAAGGAGAAACATAAGAAGTTCAAATGTATACTGAACAGGTTAGAGTTCAACAGGCAAGTGCTGTAAATTAGGGTGGGGTGACTGGTAGTTTCTGAAGTCAAAAAATATCTGCAGGGACTAGAGCAAGACACTTTCATCACTAAGAAAGAAGAGAGGATAAAGAATTGGTGAAGAGGCCGGGCATGGTGGCTCACGCCTGTAATCCCAGCACTTTGGGAGGCCGAGGCGGGCAGATCACCTGAGAGCGGGAGTTTGAGACCAGCCTGACCAACATGGAGAAACTCCGCCTCTACTAAAAATAGAAAATTAGCTGGGCGTGCTGGCACATGCCTGTAATCCCAGCTACTCAGGAGTCTGAGGCAGGAGAATCGCTTGAACCTGGGAGGTGGAGGCTGCGGTGAGCCGAGATTGTGCCACTGCACTCCAGCCTAGGCAACAAGAGCGAAACTCCATCTCAAAAAAAAAAAAAGAATTGGTGAAGAGATTTACCTATAATTTTAAAAAGATGGTTCAAAATATAAGTACCTGTTGCTGAAGCTGGAGTATCTCCCTTTTGTTTTTGGAGTTGTGAGGCAGGCTGTTTAGATTCTTTCATTACTTCTGATACACTAGAGATTTTTAGTGGACCCGACTGAATCTTGGAAATAAAAAACATTTAACATTTCAGATATACTACTGTTTTTTAAAAAGGTACAGTGATTTGCAGTATTTCAAATGCCAAGTCTTTCAGGCTTTTAACATAAAGTTATCAACACTTTGTAACATATGTATTTTATTAAACATAGTTGAGAGAAACCACCATTACTAGAAAAGTGCAGTTCAAAAATTTCATTCCAAATGACCAGCCCATATTTTAATAGTAACAAAGGTTTCTATTAGGGTGACCAATAAAGTCCATGACATATGATCTTCTCATTAAACACCATTGCTTGTACTTACACAGTATTAAGAAGACTATTATCATTTCCTTTCTAAATCAAACTATGATGTCTTCTGTATACATTCAGTTAGAAGCAAATGATTATTAAAGGCTCTGAGTGAAAATACAAATGAATTTTGTTTCTTTGATCTCCAGGATTCATGCAATTGCACAGTAAGATATATGATCAATTTGTAAGCAAGGCTTGCCTTCCCCTTTCCCAATTATTGCCTGCTCTAAGTTTAAGACACTATTCATTTAAGAGGGCTGCCAGATATGTGCCAGAGAAAATTACTTTTATTTTTATTTCCACTTATGTTATTCCACTTTTTGCCCTAACTTGGCAGTAGGACTCAGATATCCCTAACATGACTACTTAAACACAACAGGGTGGTTCTGAACTTAGTCACTACCAGAAACCAGAATTATTTCCATTTTCATTAAAATATTATTTTTGAATGATGAAGACTGTTTACTGTAACAAGCAAAATAATGCCAAGATATATCAGTGGCTTTAACTTGCCTCTTCACTGCTCCTTTCCCTTTCCACTCTCTTAGGTAGCCACTGCTAATAGCCTGGAATCTATCCTTCTACTCCTGAGCAAAAGCTCTCGTATATACACATAAACAATGTTTCACTTCCTTAAACAAACCAAAATAGGGTTATATTATACAAATTACCTTGTAACTTGCTCTTTTTTTATTTAACACTATATCATGGACATTCTCTTTCAGGTCAAGAAATTCTGTTTAGTTGCATAATATCCTCATATAACGATTTCCCATAATTTGGTCAACTTCTCCTCTATAGTCATTCAAATTGTTTCCTGTTTTGTTTTGCTTTGCTGCTACAAACAAAGCAATGAACATCCATCCCTGTCCATTTAAATGAAAAGCACCGTAGTGTAATATCTATGGGATAGTTTTCAGAAGAGGAATTGTTGGGTCAAAGGGGTTGTATATTTTTAACAGATGTTAACAGATCACTTTCACTTAAGGTTCTAGTGATTCACATTCTCATAATTAAAGTTTGTGTGTGATCTATTTCCAAATTCAGTTGTTTTATTCCTCTAATTTCTTTTCCTGTGTCCCAACCTTATTTTATTAAAGTAGCAGTATAAAAAAGTCTATCTAGAAAAGCACCCCTCCTCATCCCTTTTTCAAAATGTTCTTGAGTAGTCTTGTACATCATTAATTCCTCCATATAAATGTTAAAACTGTATTATCTGGTTCCTCACCATCTAGAAAAATTCATTCAAATTCTTACTAGATTTGTGTATATAGACACATCATAAAAACATCATTTCTCTCTAATATATACATATACATTTCTCTCAAATATATATATATGTATGTCATATATATTTGGTACTATCTTAATGTAATTTGGTACTATCTTAATATATATTTGGTACTATCTTGGTACTATCTTTAATGACATACATATATATTTGAGAGAAATGACATTTTTATGATATGAAGTTCTATCCAGGAATGTAACAGTTGTAACCATTTAGGCAGGTGTTATTCCATGTCCATCAAAAAGATTTTATGCATGGACAGTAAATATAGAGACAATGTTATAACAAATCATGTTGCCACTAAAAAGGTTACTATGAAATAAAATGCACAGCAACAAGTTGACACGATGTTTAACAGTAGAGAGTGCTTGAGTAAATGGTAAAAAAAAAAAAAATAGAAACACTAACTGCTATTGTAATTCAGAGGTGAGAAAATTAACTTAGATCTGTACAGTGAAGGATGCAGCCCCTGAAGAGAACATTAATAAGCGAAGGAAAGGAAGTCATTCTGGGTAGGAGACCATCCTGAAAAAAAGCTGTACAAATGGAAGGGATCTTAGATGAGTTCTATCTTTAAGCATGGCCCTTGGAACAGTGCCTGCAGCATAATAATCATTTGATTAACATTGGTTGAATAAATGAATAAATGGAAAGCAAAGACATATTTGTAATGAAGGGCAACTGGTGTACAGCTAAGGGCTTATGTGCAGGACCCAGAGATAAGGCTGCAAAGGTAAACAAGTGCCAGATTGCCAAGGGTATTGAATGTCAACTTAAAAGCTAGCAAAGACCACAAACTACAGAAATAAAGGAGCCCAATGGCCAGTTCCTAGGCTGACATTTAAGCACTCCTGGCTTCATACTTATTCAGAAGGTAAGAAAGATTTCTCTAGTTTTTACATCCTGTGGTCTTCCATCTTTTAAACAATACAAAATATCTGGAAGTACATTAATAGGTGTTATCATGAAAATATCATAGCACTTCTTTTAGAAGATTCTCTGGTATTAATATAAGGATGACCCAGATTCTGTTAGGAGGAGAGATCTAGGTGGGTAGAGACTGGGAGGAAGATGGGAAAGACTGTGTGCGCATGGAGAGCAACAGGCCTAGTTCAGGAGACAATTTGGATATGAAGTGATAAAGGTCAGAATAGGGGTACGGATAGTGGTAATGCAAGAAGATTAAACAAGATAGGATAGCTAACAAAATATGAGCAACCTGTGAAGAATCTACGAATTCTGGCCTAGCTACACCTGACAACTTGGTACTATCTTTAATCCAAAAAAGCAAATAAGGAGCAGTGTAAGTGTGGAGGTGGTTTAGTACAAACATGCTGAGTTATTAACTAGAAATGTTCTCCAAGGTAGCTAAAGTGGAGTGAGGAGAGGCCAAGGCTATTTGGAGAGATAAAGGATTCATCTACAAAGAATGAAATCTGAAGTCACATCAACTGAGAAAAGAACACTTCTCTGAATTTTTCAACCTTACTCCATGCTCCTAGAACAGCTTCCAGCTATTTTTTCCTGGGTCATGCAGCTTAAAATAGATTCAAGATTTTAGAATAAATCCACAGGGTTCTGCTCCTTGACTTATGAAGCTGCAAAATTATCTCCCTCAGCCAATATGGACATTTTAAAGTCCATAGGGAAGAATAAATGATGTAGAAGACTAGTCAAAAACATTGTGAAAAAGTATGGTTGGGGTGGGTTACAGGGAGGAAGTTGGATGACATTTATTTTTCCAAACGTTAACTTTTGCTATAGGATGGGTCTCTAGATCATGTTAGATACTGGACAGTAAGTCCACCCAGTTTCTAAGAATAAACTGATCAGCTATGTCCAGCCTCCTAGCGTAAAGAAATGCCCAATACCAAAGAGCCAAAAATCCATGCTCTTTTACAGACTTTTTTTTTTTTTTACAAGAAGCTGTGTGTGAATGAAGAAACATTTAAGATTAGAGTTTAAAAATTTTTTTAGGCTGGGCGCAGTGGCTCACGCCTGTAATCCCAGCACTTTGGGAGGCTGAGGTGGGCGGATCACCTGAGGTCAGGAGTTTAAGACCAGCCTGGCCAACATGGTGAAACCCCATCTCTACTAAAAAATGCAAAAATTAGCTAGGCATGGTGGTGCACGCCTGTAGTCCCAGCTACTTGGGAGGCTGAAGCAGAATTGCCAGAACCCAGGAGGCAGAAGTTGCAGTGATCCGAGATCGCGCCACTGCAGTCCAGCCTGGGCGACAGAACGAGACTCTGTCTCAAAAGAAAAAAAAAAGAAAAAAATTTTAAGGCTGGTGAGAAAAAAAGGAATACACACAAAGTTACAGGAATAGTACAAGATATCCTGTCAACTAATCAGCATCTAGATGAAAATTCTGTGACTTTGTGTTATGGTCTAAAAGGAACCATTACTAACCATAATACGTGGTTTTATGTCATGACCATTCTGCACTTGTTTTTATAGTGTTCTAAGTAAGAGCTTGATAGCTGCAACAGTATGGGATAATATATAGATGTCCCCCTCAGTCCATAGGGAAACCATGGTTACCTCTACCCAAGTATCTCCTCCATTTACCCTTGTGTGCAGCACAGTTATTTTCTATGTGATATGTACTGAGAGCACTTATGGGACTCCAAAAGAATAATTATCCATCTGTACCAGCTACTATTAGTTCAATTTAAAGGAAACTGGCGGCCAGGAGCGGTGGCTCAAGCCTGTAATCCCAGCACTTTGGGAGGCAGAGGCAGGTGGATCACGAGGTCAGGAGATCGAGATCATCCTGGCTAACACAGTGAAACCCCGTCTCTACTAAAAAAAATACAAAAAATTAGCCAGGCGTGGTGGTGAGCGCCTGTAGGCCCAGCTACTCAGGAGGCTGAGGCAGGAGAATGGCGTGAACCCGGGAGGCGGAACTTGCAGTGAGCTGAGATCAGGCCACTGCATTCCAGCCTGCGTGACACAGCAAGACTCCATCTCAAAAAAAAAAAAAAGAAAAAAAAAAACTGGCCAGGCATGGTATCTCACACCTGTAATCCCAGCACTTTGGGGGGCCGAGGCAGGCGGACCACAGGTCAGGAGTTCAAGACCAGCCTGGACAACATGGTAAAACCCCGTCCCTACTAAAAATACAAAAAATTAGCCGGGTGTGGTGGCGCCCGCCTATAATCCCAGCTACTTGGAAGGCTGAGGCAGGAGAATCGCTTGAACCCAGGAGGCGGAAGTTGCAGTGAGCCGAGATCACATCACTGTGCTCCAGCCTGGGCAACAGAGCAAGACTCCGTCTTGGAAAAAAAAAAAGAAAACTAACATACATACATCTGGCAAGTTGCACTGCATACAGACAAAACACAACTGGCTCTCCATATCTGTAGGTTCTACATCCATAGATTCAACCAACCACAGATTGAAAAAGTATATTTTTTAAAAAATTGCACCTGAGGCCAGGCATGGTGGCTCATGCCTGTAATCCCAACACTTTGGGAGGCTGAGGCGGGCAGATCACCTGAGGTCAGGAGTTTGAGACCAGTCTGGCCAACATGGTGAACCCCATCTCTACTAAAAATACAAACAATTAGCCGGGCATGGTGGCAGTTGCCTGTAATCCCAGCTACTCGGGAGGCTGAGGCAGGAGAATCGCTTGAACCCGGAGGCGGAGGTTGCGGTGAGGCGAGATCATACCACTATACTCCAGCCTGGTTAACAAGGGTGAAACTCTGTCTCAAAACAAAAACAAAAACAAAAACAAACAAAAACAAACTGCATCTGTACTAAACATGGACAGACTTTTCTTTCTTGTCATCATTCCCTAAATAACACAGTATAATGAAAATTTAGACAGCATTTACAATGTATTAGATATTACATCTAATCTAGAGATGATTTAAAGTATATGGGAGGGTATACATAGGTTATATGCAAACACTGTAACATTTTATATCTGAGACTTGAGCATCCATGGGATTTTTGTATCCACAGGAGGTCCTGAACCTCTCCTTCAAGAATACCAAAAGACAACTGTATTTTCAACATGAAAACAACTTGCTTTTAAAGTATTTCATTGGATAAACTGAAATATTGTTTAAAACTCTTACCGATTTCTTTGGCAATGGAACATTATAAGCTGCAGGACCAAGAACCATCTCGAAGAGTTTGTCTGAGTAAGGTATGGTTTTCTCTACACTTTCCCGGAAATGGGAATCCCATTTGGCATATAGGATAGTGCCACCAATACCTCCACCAACAAACAAAAGGCCAGCTCCAGCAATTTTGCCAGTAGTCAACCTAAGTGAAAGAAACAGGAAATACATTTATATTTCTTGGCTCTCCTACACCTATTTTCCTATACCAATGTAACCATCTCGAAGACCTCTAGCCTCTACTTATCTACCACTAATTCAGATCATAGCAGCCAAGTTTACCACCATGTCTGCACATCACCTTTTCCTGATTTGTTTATAACATGTTGCCACCAAAAATAGTATTTATTCATTTTAGGAGGCCTAGGTGGAAGGGTTGCTTGAGCCCAGGAGTTCAAAACCACCCTAGGCACCACAGTAAGGCCCCATCTCTACCCACCACACCCTGCCAAAAAAATTAGCCAGGTGTAGTAGCACGTGCCCCAGCTACTCAAGAGGCCGAGGTAGGAGGAATGCTTAAGACTGGGAGATGAAGGCTGCTGTGAGCCATGATCATGCCATTGCACTCCAGCCTGGAGCAACAGAACAAGACCTTGTCTCAAAAAATAAATAAATAAATAAATAAAAGTATGAATAACTAAAAATTTTTTTTAAATACAATATCTAGAAATCTACCCTTTAACTCAACATGTTCACAATCATGAGATTCTCTCTGAACCCAAACAAGAACTATCACTTTCAAGGCTCCTCTTCCTCAATCAAACATTTCTATAAACACAATAAACTCTTTTTTTTATTTTTTCTTGAGACAAAGTCTTGCTCTTGTCCCTCAGGCTGGAGTGCGATGGCACGATCTTGGCTCACTGCAACCTCCACCTCCCGGGTTCAAGTGATTCTCCTGCCTCAGCCTCCCGAGTAGCTGGGATTACAGGCATGCGCCACTACGCCCGGCTAATTTTTTTATTTTTAGTAGAGACGGGGTTTCACCAAGTTGGCCAGGCTGGTCTCAAACTCCTGACCTCAGGTGATCTGCCCTCCTCGGCCTCCCAAAGTGCTCGGATTACAAGCGTGAGCCACCACGCCCGGCCTAAACACAATAAACTCTTTACAAAAGATAATAAAATACCAGCCAGCCATGGTGGCTCACACCTGTAATGCCAGCACTTCGAGAGGCCGAGGCGGATGGATCACCTGAGGTCAGGAGTTCAAAACCAGCCTGGCCAACATGGTGAAACCCCGTCTCTACTAAAAATACAAAAATTAGTTGGGCATGGTGACATGCACCTGTAGTCCCAGCTACAGGGGAGGCTGAGGCAGAAAAATCGCTTGAACCTGGGAGGTGGAGGTTGCAGTGAGCCAAGATCCAGCCACTGCACTCCAGCCTGGGCAACAGAGCGAGACTCTGTCTTTAAAAAAAAGAAAAAAAAATAGATAATAAAATGCCAAATAAATTTAACACTTGCTTAAGTCACAATATGAAAAGCTAATAAAATGCCAAATAAATTTAACACTTATTTAAGTTACAACATGCTGAGTTCTGGATATAAATCTATTTGCCATAGAATGGAAGATTGCACATACAAGGAGGGCTATGCCTCGGATGCCATCCAATTACCAAAGAGCCAAAAGGTGCATTATTAACAAATTTTTACCTACAAACAATGCTCCAGAAGGTACCCCAATAATGTTACAGCAAAGCTTCGGTGTATGTACCCCTTTTTAAAAAAAGGTTTAGACAGCTATTCCCATATTCAAGGAAAACACACACTCCCTAAGCAGCACACAGTGAAAAGCCTGGTTATAGGGAGACATAATACATACCCAGAGCTGCCTGAAGTAGAGTATCTGCGGCATGGTCGCAATGGACGGAGGACAAACTTCCCACAGAGACAACTCTAAAGAAGGAAAACACATCACAACCAATACAGTTAAAGGAAACTGGTAAGCTTTTAGGGTTGGTAATACAGAAATAATACTTTTATTAAAAATGTCTTCATTAAACAAAAAATTACTTTTTTTCAGAAGTCAATTTATCATGAACCATATTTATAGATTCCTAAAAGCAGTGATGCTTCTTACACCCCAAGGCTCACATAAAATTACTTTTAATATTAAAAAAAAATTATCAGACTATGATCAATTAGCACCTTTAAATAAGTCTTAAGTATGTTAATTATTTCTTGAATACAATTGGTATTTGCTATATGTTTTCTTAATTGGCAAAAAAAAAAATCTATTTTTACTTTAAAAGCTTAGTTTAGACATCTGAAAAATCACCCACAAAGTCTAGCTAAAAACATGGCGTTACAGGATACACACTCAAGGGACAGATCTAACCTCAGCTAACTGATCCAGAAAACCAGGTTTCTCATCTCTAAGCTAACTATGCAGCTGGTCAACTCCTAGAGGCATTCATTTAAAAGCTGATTTTTGGTTTATCTTAGCATATTGTTAGTCTAAAAGCCAACCATTTTAAGAAAAACATTTTAATTAATGTTGTAAATGTTCAAGTACACCTGTCCCCATATAACTAGTCTATCCTTACATAAAAACAAATGATCAGGGCTATATGGCTTGTGATTGGTTTTAATAAGAGTAAAATACACCTAAATATTTCTTAATAATAAATATGTGGATCTCCTAAATTAAGCAAATGAACAAGCATCTAAATACTATTGGGGAAGGTTTTCATAAACTTTAAACCATTCATACCTATTAATTTGAAAATTTACACTTATCAAATCCATAAAAGTATCTTTTTAAAAAATACTAGGAAAAATCAAACTGCAACAAGAGGAAAAATGCTTTTTCTAGGTTCTTTAATGAAATTGTATTTAACGAATATCAGAATAACACAAACTTCCTTTTAAAAGTATCTATAGTTTTAGGAAAATCTATCACATGATCATAGGACACATGAAATTACTCTAGTTATAATTTACACTCTACTGGCCAAAGCCTAGAGGTAAACAGCTAACTAATGCAGTCATACATTTTGAAAAACAAAAAAACAAATCAGATGTTTTAAAATATGTAAAGCAGATACAACTGGTATTAAAAAGTATTTCAATTATTGACATGGTGGCTCATGCCTGTAATCCCAGCACTTTGGGAGGCTGGCGAGGGTGAGCGGCGCAGGCGGGGATTGCTTGAGCCCAGGACGTCAGAACCAGCCTTGGCAACATGGCAAAACTCCATCTCTACTACAAATACAAAAATTAGCCAGGTTTGGTGGCATGTGCCTATAGTCCCAGATACTTGGGAGGCTGAGGCATGAGAATCACTTGAGCTTGAGCCCCGGAGGTGGAGGTTGCAATGAGCCAAGACTGTGTCACTCCACTCCAGCCTGGGCAATAGAATGAGACCCTGTCTCCTCCACTCCCCTTAAAAAAAAAAACAAAAACAAAAACAAAAAATACCAAACAAACAAAAAAAACCCAGTATTTCAATTATTACCTACCCTGTAGAATTCCCAACATTTTTGAACCATTTTTAATAGAAAAGGGTGTTTTCCTTCTATTCTGTAAAGTAGTATGAAATTGTAAACAGAAATGCATCTATTTTTATATGTCAACAATTCCATTTTTGTGACTTAGGGAGAAAATATTAAGAGGCCACTGAAGTTGTATTATATTTAAGGTTGCATTTTTTATCTGTCTAGGTATAAATAGGTATTCAGGTAAAAAGTTAAGGCACTGTCAACAGTGGATAATTAGCTAACTGGAGTATCAAGCAGCAAGCACAATGGATAACTGACTCCAGGAAATCAGGGACAAATTTAATACTAGAGTTTCAGACTACCCAAAGTCACATCAGTTTTTCTTTAAATAATTTTTTTTGTTGTTTGTAGAGACCAGGTCTTGCTATGTTGACCAGGCTGGTCTCGAACTCCTGGTCTCAACCTATTCTCCTGCCACGGCCTCCCAAAGTGTTGGAATTACAGGCATGAACAACCACGCCCAGCATCAGTATTTTTAAATGTTTCTTTATCTACCTTCTATTTTCTTTTATCTTGACTCTCCATCCTCCCTTTGACAGAATGTGTTTTGACTATAAGTTAAAAGCTCCTAATACTAAATAAATTTAAAATCTGAGGTTTTAAATAATAATTTTAAAAGTTTAAATATGCATAGAGTAAAATCTTCCTCATACTTCTTTCCCCAGCCACCCCATGCTTGCCATAGGCAACTGACACTGTCAGTTTCTTATTTATCCAGAGACATTTTATGTATATTTATTCAAATGTGCATATTCTCCTGACTTTCCCCACCTTTACACAAATGATACCATAATATACACGCAATTCTCTATTAAAGTTCAAGGATATATATTTTAAATCACTGTATATCAGTACGTGAAAAGCTTCCCAAGGGATTTCATGATTTGGTATTCCATTGTTACTTAATGTTTAATTGTTAACCAGCCCCTATTGAGGGACACTGAGGTTTTTTCTAAATTTTTGTTAAAATAAATAATGCTACCTGAGTAACACTGTATACACAATTTTGGGTCTATTCTTAAAAGTAAAATTTGCCACGTTGATTAATACTGCCAAATTAGCCAAACTGCCCTCTAGTAATATGAAAGTATGTTTTCCCACATTTTCTCCAACACACTGTATTGTATCATTTTTTTTTCATCATTGACAATCTGAGGGGTGAAAATACAGAAATAGAGTGTTTCAAGCATATAAATAATTTTTTTTTTAAGAGACTGAGTCTTGCTCTGTTGCCAAGGTTGTGGAATGCAGTGGTATGATCATAGCTCACTGTAACCTCTAACTCCTGGGCTCAAGTGATCCTCCAGCCTCAGCCCCCTGAGTAGCTGGGACTACAGGCACATGCCCACCATACCCAGCTAATATTTTTGTTCTTGTTTTTTATAGAGCCAGGTCTGCTATGTTACCCAAGCTAGTTTTGAACTCATGGCCTCAAGCAATCCTCCTACCTTGGCCTCTCAAAGCACTGAGTAATTTTTATTTACATAATTTATATATTAATACGTTTGTTATTGTTAATATAATAATTATAATTACACTGCTATTTAATACCACTAAGTTTAGGGTGGTCTGTTACACAGCTACAGATAACCAAACATATGTTTATACCTAGAAGAGGGGTGCTACTGCAACAAAACATAAACACGAGGTCATGACTTTGGGACTGGTGTTGGGGGCGGCAGAAGCTGAAGAACCTTGAAGAGACTGTGAGCAGAAGCCTAATGGCCTTCCAGAGCCTGTTGGTGAGGGCTTAAAGAAAAGCAAAAAAAAAAAAAAATTTTGGAACCTGGAGGAAAAGATATTCTTGTTATGTAGTGACAGAAGTTTATCAAAACTGTCATCTGTAATGACAGACATGGAAAATAGAAAATTAAGTATAGCTGTAGCTACACCTAATGAACTGACGTACTTGGCTAAAGAGTTCCAAGTAGGCCAGGCGCGATGGCTTACGCCTGTAATCCCAGCACTTTGGGAGGCCGAAGCGGGCGGATCACAAGGTCAGGAGATTGAGACCATCCTGCTGAACATGGTGAAACCCCGTCTCTACTAAAAATACAGAAAATTAGCCGGGCGTGGCAGTGTGCGCCTGTAGTCCCAGCTACTCGGGAGGCTGAGGCAGCATGAACCCGGGAGGCAGAGCTTGCAGTGAGCCGAGATTGCGCCAGCCTGGGTGACAGAGCCAGACTCTGTCTTAAAAAAAAAAAAACAAAAGAGTTCCAAGTATAGTGTTCATCACAAGCGCTAACTGGTTTCTTTTAGCTGAGTATGATAAGGACAGAGATAAGCATTAAAAAACAAAACAAAAACCTGTTTTGCTTTCAAGCAAAATTTAAAGGAAATATAAAAGAGTCAGGATTTGGTGGGTTCAAAAATAAAACTGCTTATTGTTTTCAAATAGATTCTCAAATAGAGAAGGGCTTCAAGCCAAAGATCAAATCTAGTGTGTGACCAAAAGATACTTTGAGATCTCAAAAAGATCTAAGGAGGTGCCCCTCAGAGAGTCTTTTTACCTTGAGGAAAAGGCCCTCTAAGAATCATAAGGATGTGTTTCCCAGATTCTATTGAATCAATAAGGTTACTCAGAACATTAAAGGTGTTACCTACAGCAGCCTCACAGGAAGCCCAAAATGGAGAAGGGCTTATCTTGATAAGATGTGTATCATGCATCTAATGAAGAAAATCCCATTAAGATTCACAGGAAACCCACAAACTTGTTGAGAATTGTGTCAATAAAAAACATGCTGGCTTATATTTAAAGTGAAAAAGAGGACAAAATGAAAAGAAGCTTCTAGACAAACTTCTACAGACAGGAAGTAGGCTGTGAAACAATTCAGCTGTAACAGACAACATATTCTGGAAACGGAAGAATAATTCAAGTGTAAAACCAGGAGCCCAAAGGGTAGAACCAAGAGCTGAGGAGAATCATTCCCAAGCAGTAGGACTGAGCTCTCATCAAGGAATTAGAAACATAGGGCCAGCTGAATTTTACACTTGTTATGGAATGGTGACTGCTGTGTGCCTCTTAGTTTCTGCCTTTTTGAATAGGAGTGTCTAGAGTGATTATCCTGTGTCTGTCATACCACCATATGCTGAATGTATGGGGAGCAGATAATTTGTCTCTTTAGTTTACAGGGCTTTAGATCACCAAAAAAAGTGTTTAAGAAGCTATACCCTAGGGACCACATTCAAGATGTCTTATCCATAGTAGGATCTGATTCAGATGACAAGATCTTGTTCCTAATGCTGATGCTTTGATGGCATTAGACTCTGGAGAGTCTTGGAGAAGGTTGTGAGTGGGAGGGATGTGCATGTGGGAGGGATGTCAGTTGGGTCCAGAAGGCTGAGGATAATATCCAAAATTGACTGCAACAATACTTCCTATACCACATGCTGTTCCAGAAACGTGCCCCTCTCCCAACAATAATAAGTTTTATGTACACTTCCCTTAAACAAGGGCAGGCCTTTGTTACTAATTCACTAATAGAAGGCAGTGAAAGTGATGCTCTGTAACTCCTGAGACTAAGACATAAAAAGGATACAGCTTCTACCTAGCTCTGCCTCTTGTCACACTTGCCCTTGGAACCCAGCCACCAAAGTGTATGGAAGTCCAGACACTTAAAGATGCCACAGATGGGTGATCCAGCCAACAGTCCCTGCTGAGGTGTCAGCTGCAGCCAGTATTTACTGCCACACATGAGAGTAAAGAAGACTTGGGGATGACTGTAGACCTAGTAACTATCTGACTGCAACTTCATGAGGGTCTCTGAGCAAAAATTTTCCAGAACTGAGTAAGGCAATAAATACTGTTATTTTACCCCAAGCTCAAGGTGGCCTGTTATGCAGCTGTAACTCATAAGAACAGATCTTTTTAAATTCATGGATTTAAACACTTTTGATGGATTTCAACCATTTGTAATTACTGTCTTTTTGCTCAAATTTTCCTATCTTGGGCCAATGGAAGCCTCTGCAAGTTTAGGGTGTGTATGTGTGTATCTAGCTCTGGCTCTATACTTCCGGCCATCTGCAAATACCTGGTGGCAGGTATTTTTTTTTTCCTCTATGTGACAAAATCCCCTTAACATAAAATTCACCATTCTAACCATTTTAAAATGTACAATTCCACGGTATTTAGTACATCCACGATGTTGTACAACAACCATCACCACTATCTAATCTTAGAACATTTTCATCACCCTAAAAGGAAATCCTATATCCATTAAGCAGTCATCCCCCATTTTCCTCTCTCTCTGGCCCCTGGCAACCACCATGTACTTTCTGTTTCTATGAATCTGCCTGTTTGAGATATTTTGTATAAATGGAATCACACAATGTACATCTTTTTGTCCAGCTTCTTTCACTTAGTGTAATGTTTTCACGATTCATTCACATTGTAACATGTATCACATATGTAGCTTGTACTTCATTCCTTTTTATGGCTGAATCTAATATTTTATCACGTAAATATACCATATTTTGTTTAACCAGTCATCAGTTAATGGACATTTGGGTTGCCTCACCTTTTGGCTGTGAATTGTGAATAATGTTGCTATGAATATTCATCTAAAAGTTTTTGTTTGAACACCTGTTTTTTATTCTTTTGGCAGGGAACTTCAAGGTCATATGGTAATTCTATGTTTAAATTACTGAGACACAGCCAGGCTCAGTCGCTCACGCCTGTAATCCCAGCACTTTGGGAGGCTGAGGCAGGCAGATCACCTGAGGTTGGGAATTCGAGACCAGCCTGACCAACATGGAGAAGCCCCGCGTCTCCAGTAAAAATACAAAATTAGCTGGGCGTGGTGGCGCATGCCTGTAATCCCAGCTACTCGGGAGGCTGAAGCAGGAGAATCCCTTGAACCCAGGAGGTAGAGGTTGCGGTGAGCCGAGATCGCGCCACTGCACTCCAGCCTGGGCAACAAGAGTGAAACTCTGTCTCCAGAAAAAAAAAAAAAAGTTACTGAGACACCACTAAACTATTTTTTCACAGCAGCTGTACCATTTTACATTCCCACTAGCAATGTATGAGGGTTCCAATTTCTCTATACCCTCACCAACATTTGTTATTTTCCATTTTTGTTTTGAGATGGAGTTTTGCTCTTGTCGCCCAGGCTGGAGTGCAATGGCGCAATCTCAGCTCCCTGCAACCTTCGCCTCCCGGGTTCAAGTGATTCTCCTGCCTCAGCCTCCCAAGTAGCTGGGATTACAGGTGTGTACCACCATGCCCGGCTAATTTGTTATTTTCCATTTTTATTATAACCATCTTAGTGGTTGTGAACTGAGTATCTCACGGTTTTAATTTGCATTTCCCTAGTGTCAAAGGATGTTGAGCATCTTTCCATGTGCTTCTTAGCCATCTGTATATCTGCTTTGGATGAATGGCTATTCAAGTCCTTTGCTCATGCATACACATACACGCACACACGCGCACACACACACGCACACAAATACATATATGTATATATGTGGAGACAGCATCTCACTCTGTCACCGAGACTGGAGTGCTGTGGCACCATCATGGTTCACTGCAGCCTCGACCTCACAGGCTCAAGCAATCCTCCCACCTCTCAGCCTACCGAGTAGCTAACACTACAGGTGCATGCCACCACACCCAGCTAATGTTTGTATTTTTTGTAGAGACAGAGTTTCACCATGTTGTCCAGGCTAGTCTTGAACTCCTGCGCTCAAGCGTTCTGCCTGCCTCAGCTTCCCAAAGTGCTGGGATGACAGGCATGAGCCACAGAGCCTGGGCCCTTTGCCTGTATTTTTATTTGGGTAGTCTTTTTTGTTACTGAGTTGCAGGAGTTCCTTACCTAAAAAGAAACACCTCATCAGATATGAGGGTCTAGTATCCAAAATATCTAGTATCCATTAGAATACTTTCATCCTTTTCACTCTCAAGTATCCCTCTGATGCACAAAAATTTAAAATTTTAATGAAGTCCAATTTATCTTTAGTTTCTCTTGTTGCTTGTGCTTTTGGTGTTATAGTTAAGAAACCATTGCCAAACATAAGGTCTGTCTCCAGAGCTCTCTTAAGTACTAAACTATTAACATAAACTAAATATCCTACATTAACACACAAAATATTGGCTACTTTTTTGTCCTGGAATTCCTTTTTATTAATAAGGACCTATGACATAGAAAGGACAACACTGTTTCAAAGCAATCTGTCTAGACATATGTTATAAGGTTAGCCTTGCTGCTTCTAACCCGCAGAAACGTGATATTAAAAAAAAGAGGAAACATATAATTCCCATGTAATGTTCTTTTTTTTTTTGAGATGGAGTCTCGCTGTGACACCCAGGCTGGAGTGCAATGGTGTGATCTCGGCTCACTGCAACCTCCATCTCCTGGGTTTAAGAGATTCTCCTGCCTCAGCCTCCCGGGCAGCTGGGATTACAGGCACCTGCCACCACACCCGGCTAATTTTTGTATTTTTAGTAGAGACGGGGTTTCACCATATTGGCCAGGCTGGTCTTGAACTCCTGACCTCAAGTGTTCCGCCCCATGATTAATGCTGTTACACAGACCATCTGTTCCTTAGCTCTACCAAACTAAAGTGAAGACATAAAGAAACCACAATCTAGCATGACAACCTGGACATGGAGCCTGTAGTATGAGCTGCCTCATGTGAACTCTAACTAGAGGTTCCAGGTTTCCTCCACAGACTGCTGGTTGCTGTCAACTGATAACGTTTTTGTGGATCTTGTCATACATAAGGACTCCTCCCACACAAACGAAAAAGGCACCCATAAGTTAATGGGCAGTTCTACATTTGAAATATAGATTGATATACAACAAATTAACTTTTTCTACTGTTAATTTAAAATAGTTTATAAGAATCATGCATTAAGGTTAAAAAGTATATCCCACAAAAAAATCCAGTAAGTTTTTACATTGAAATTTTACATTTTACATTACAATTTTACATTGAAGCAGCATTACATTTCAGTATAAACATATTCTATTCTAGGAGAACACGTGCTCTTTAGTTATAGAAATGGCAGATACTTATCAGTATGACAAAAGCAGGAACTTGACACTTTAGTTTTCCCTGCACATATGTGAATATATTTTGTATGTTATCACTTCGGTGTAGTAAGTTACGGCGTAAGATGTATTTCAAAATGGTTTGAAGGCTACTGGTCTAGAGATATGAAAAAAGGAACAATGAAGAGGATTCTAGCATGGGTAGAAGCAAACACCTGGCCGCATGATCTACTAAACTACTTTCTAGCACGTGTGGTTGGCTGCCTATCTCTATCACTGAGTAACATAATGTTTCATAATCCTAACAGAAAGAAGGAATTCTAGAAGATGATAGCTCATGTCCACACACAAGTTCAATCCTAAACTAGCTGGGTTATCAAACTTGGTCTTAAGTAAGCTGGAGCGGTTGATCCTCAAGAATAATAATGTTTCTTCTTCTTCTTTCAAGTTATAAGCAGGAAAGACTACTCCATATGTAAATGACCACTTCCAGGTTTGTAGTTTGAGAGAAGGCTAGGCTAGGCGGAAAGCCCATGTCCTCCAAACTCAATGACCACTTCAAAAAGGCTGGGCCTGGTGATGCAGTATTGGGACTAAGAGAAGAAAGATGGTGTTAGGTCTGAGGAATAAAAGAAGAAAACAAAAACAGAGGGACCAGAGTTCTAAAGCACATTTACTGAATACCCACATCTAAGGAATGCAAGGATGATAAGCCCAAACATAAAGAATAAGGCAGATACTGTGTCGGGTGCAGTGACTTAAGCCTGTAATCCCAGCACTTTGGGAGCCCAAGGCGGGCAGATCACGACGTCAGGAGATCGAGACCATCCCGGCTAATATGGTGAAACCCTGTCTCTACTAAAAATACAAAATATTAGCTGGGCACAGTGGCACGTGCCTGCAGTCCCAGTTACTCGAGAGACTGAGGCAGGAGAATTGCTAGAACCCAGGAGGCGGAGGTTGCAGTGAGCCGAGATTGCACCACTGCATTCCAGCCTGGGCAAAGAATAAGGTAGATACTATCTGTGATGGTTCATTTTATGTGTCAACTTGGACTGTGTTTTTGGATGAGATTAACATTTTAATTGGTGAACTAGTGGCCAGGCATGGTGGCTCACTCCTGTAATCCCATCACTTTGGGAGGCAAAGGCGGGTGGATTGCTTGAGCCCAGGAGTTTGAGACCAGCCTGGGTAATATAGCCTGTCTCTACAGAAAAAAAAATACAAAAGTTAGCTGGGTGTGGTGGTGCATGCCTGCAGTCCTAGCTACTCAGGAGGCTGAGGTGGGAGGATGGCTTGAGTCTGGTGGATGGAGGTTGTAGTGAGCTGAGATTGCACCAATGCACTCCAGCCTGGGTGACAGAGCAAGACCCTATCTCAAAAAAAAAAAAAAAAAAATTTGCCCTATAACATGGGTGGGCTTCATTCAATCAGTTGAGGGCTCAAAAACAACAAAAAGCAAGAGGCAATTCTCTAGCAGACTGCCTCCAGACTGAAACTGCACCATCCACTCTCCTGGGTTTCCAGGCTGCTGGCCAGCAGACTGCAACTGCAATATTGGCTGTCCTAGGTCTCCAGTCTGCCAAACCACACAGCAGATTCTGGACTTGCCAGTCTCCATAACTGTGTGAGTAGAGTCCTTACAATAAATCTTTCAGCCAGGCGCGGTGGCTCACGCCTGTAATCCCAGCACTTTGGGAGGCCAAGGTGGGGGGATCACAAGGTCAGGAGATCGAGACTATCCTGGCTAACACGGTGAAACCCCGTCTCTACTAAAAATACAAAAAAAAAAAAAAAAAAAAAATTAGGCGTGGTGGCAGGCGCCTGTAGTCCCAGCTACTTGGGAGGCTGAGGCAGGAGAATGGCATGAACCCGGGAGGCGGAGCTTGCAGTGTGCTGAAATGGCGCCACTGCACTCCAGCCTGGGTGACAGAGCAAGACTCCATCTCAAAAAAAATTAATAAATAAATAATAAATCTTCCTAGGCTGGGCACTATGGCTCACGCCTGTAATCCCAGCACTTTGGGGAGGAGAAGGTGGGGATATTGCTTGAGCCCAGAAGTTCAAAATGAGCTGGAACAACATTGCGAGATCCCATCTCTACTAAAAGTCCAAAACATTGGCTGGGCATGGTGGCATAAGCCTGTAGTCCCAGCTACTCAGGAGGTGAGGTGGGAGGATCGCTTAAGCCCAGGAGATTGAGACTGCAATGAGTTATGATCACACTGCTGTACTCCAGCCTGGGCAACAGAATGAGACCCTATCTCTACACACACACACACACCCTTATTGTTTCTGTTTCTCTGGAGAATCTGAATATATAATCAGAGGTTTGAAAATCTATGGGATGTTTAAAGGGAGGTCACATCCACTTACACAGATTAAGAAAAATTCCACTTTGGGAGGCCGAGGTGGGCATATCACTTGAGCCCAGAAGCTGAAGACCAGCCTGGGAAACATAATGAGACCCCATCTCTAAAAAATCTTTTTAAATTAAAAAAAAATTCATGAACACATTCATTCTTTCATTTATATATGTCATAAACATTCACTGAGCATCTACTTGGAGCCAGGGACTATTGTTAATACTGGAAATACAGCAGTAAATATGGACACAGTTCCATTGTGGAGCTTACTTTTTAAAGGTGGAAACTGTGTAATAAATACACATTATAACATCAGGTAGTGCTAGGAGCTACAAAGTATAACAAAGTAGGATGGGGTAAAGATATAGTGATACAAGGAAGGCAAGAGTAGTCAGAATTCTATTTTGGATCAGGATGCCCTCTCTGAAGGGAAGGTGACATTTGAGAAATTAACTGAAGGGAATAAGTTAAGCAAACCTGTGAGAAGAGTTCAGGGCAAAAGAAACACCTGATGAAAAGGCAGTGAGGCACATGCTGGAGATTACCAGGAGAATCTGAGTGAGGCAGTAGAAAAATGAAATATGAGAAGAGTCAGATCAAGGGCCCATGGTAAGCAGTTTAGATTTTATTTTGAATGTGATGCGATGTCTCCAAAGAGCATGACCTCATGTTTGCCTTTTAAAAAGCCTTTTACTAAATGTCTTACTGCTTTTACTATTCCCTCCTAGAGTAAAGAATGGACTCTAGGAGGGAACAGTAAAAGCAGTAAGACATTTAAGAAGATGGGGTTGGCTGGGCACGGTGGCTCGTGCCTATATTCCCAGCATTTTGGGAGGCAGAAGTGGGAGGATCATTTGAGCCCAGGAGTTCGAGACCAGCCTGGCCAACACAGAGAGACTCCGTCTCTACAAAAATTTTTTAAAAAATTAGCCAGGGATGGTGGCACATGCCTGTGGTCCCAGCTACTCAGGAGGCTGAGGTAAGAGGATTGCTTGCGCTCAGGAGGTCAAGGCTGCAGTGAGCCATGACTGTGCCACTGCACTCCAGCCTGGGTGACAAAGTGAGACTCCGTATCCAAAAAAAAAAAAAGAAAGATGGGGTTTAATAAAGTGGAAAGGATCTTGACAAGTGAGATATTCTGGATACGTTGATACAATCAAATACGACGAGGCTAGAGAGTCACCTGCTTGGGGATTAAAGTTCTGAGAGTTGATGTAATCTCAAATTAGAGAGTCTATAAAGAGACAGGAAGAGATGAGAAGGTGTATATTTCGAGGTACAAAGCAGAAGCAGACTCAGTAAAGGAAAACAAGAGAGATGGGACCCAAAATATTACTTGAGAGAAGCCAAAAGTACAAAGAGCCTCATAAAGCAGCAATGTCAAATGCTACAGAATTAAGGAGATGGTGAGAATAAACCAAAGAATTTTACAAGACAGCAATTTCAAGAAGCTTAGACATCTTGATTCAGAGCTATAAAAGGGTTCATTTTTTATTACCAAGTTTTAATTAGTTTTCTTAATTCCCAAATGGGATCCCAAAAAGTTGACTCTGAATTAACTGAAAAGGAGGTCATCCAGGTGGGCCTGGTCTAATCACATAAGCCTTTTAAATCTGGGTCTAGAGAGGAAAGACCAAAGTAAAAGAAATTTGGAAGTCAGAGAGGCAAGCTCCTGGTAGCCTGCACGAAAGCAAACATCAATGTTATGAATGGCCTCTAGAGGCCTTGAGGCAAGGAACTGTAGGCAGGCTGTAGAAGCTGGGAGCAGTGGCTGGCAAGAGGCAGCAAGAAAAGAAGTACTTCAGTCCTGTAACTGCAAGGGACTGAATTCTGCCAACAAACTGCATGAGCCTGGAAGAGGACCCTGATCTCCAAATGAGAACCACAGCATGGCTAATACTTTGCAGCCTTATGTGACCTGGAGCGGAGAACACAGATCATCCGTGCCCAGACTTCTATCCTACAGAACCCGTAAGGTCATTCATGGGTGTTGTTTTAAGCTGCTAAATTTGTGGTATTTGTTACGCAGCAATAGAAAACTAACACAGGTTCGTTCCACTTTCCTATGGAAGGGGCTGCTTCTGTTACCTAGCAGCAAATAGGAAGAGAAGCGAACTTGAAAAAACAAAGCTTGACTTTTATGATCTCTAACTCACTATTCCTAGGGATTCTGTTCAATTACTGCTTGAGTCACAGTACTTGGTTTGCTATCTACATTTTGCCAAAATATCAACTTCCTGAAAATCATGAGCAGTGGAAACAGGCTTTTTAATTTTCAATTTTAGAAAGTAACTTTGGCAATTACGCAAAACTAGAAGTAACTGGGTATTTAGGCTCCTTGAATGTCAAAGTAGTCCCAGCGCCTGGAGACACAGATCCCTGCCCTAATCTCAGAAATGAGCCACAAGGTCATGACTCCTGTCTTTCCTTGAAGACCAGGAGTTTCAGCTCCACAAATGAAAATCTTTCGCTTTTGTTTGGATTAAGAATAACTCAGAAGTGTTCTCAGCTGCGAAAAGAAAGGCACTCCCTCCCAGATAATTACAACCTTGACCCCTAAAATGTGGACTCTCGCTAGAAGTCCAGGCACCTCCTTATTAAGGATGCAACAAGCCGCCGCTCCGCTCGTCCTGACGGGAACTGTAGTTCTCGCCCGTCGACCTTCAGCACTGAAAACCTATCGCGCGCCCAACCGGCGACCCAGACGCCAGCAGCCAGGATTGGTCCTGGACGGGGGCAGCGCGGCCCTGATTGGACTACATGCCCACGAAGCCGCGCCTCCCGCTACTCTCCACACCCCACCCCGCTGCTGCAATAACCTCAAGTCATCCCAGTCCGGCGAACTCCCTGGTGGCTGCCTAGCTGCCCGCCCGGGCCTCTCCCGACGAGGGTGGCCCTGAGGCTCGCCTTTGTCCTGGAGGCTAGGCAGCGACCAAGGCTCCCCCGTTTTTCGCTGACGGTTCTAGTTCAGCCTCCTCACGCGCCTCCGGGAGCCCCAGTGCTCACCTGGGCGGCGGCGGTCACACCCGATAACTGACAGGCCCGCAGCATCTCGGTCAAGCGGACGGCGCTGCTGGTGGACTCGAGCTGCCGCGGCGGCGCGAGTTAAGTGGAGGCGTGCTTGCGTGTGTGCGTGCCCGCGTCCGCGCCCGGCGCACCGGAAGCACAGCGGACGCCACTGCGCACGCGCGGCCCCTTCTACCGTCCCCGACTCCGCGGCTCTTAGAGGGTGGGCTGTGTCCCGGCTGCGGAAACGCCAACTCCAGGCGATTGGCGCGAAGGAGGCGAAAAGGGCGGATTCCCTTTCCGGGTCGCGCCCGGGCTGCAGGTCCTTATCCGGAAGGGGTTACTAGGTGAACACTGCCGGAGGGAGAGCGCTCTGAAATCCATTCTTCAGCCGCACGTGGAAAATGGACAGCTGTGACTCTTAAAGAGAATTAAAGCAACAAAGCATCTCAGCCTGCTCTATGAGCTGGATATTTCGTAGGAAGGAGCCGATTTGGCGAAAGTTACGTAAACAATGGAATTGTCTCAGTTTGCGCCTTTGTTTCGTTTGACAGCCCTCCAGGGAGTCATAGTGATTGCTGGAGACGGTGAACTAACACTGTGGGGACCCTTGTGCTAAACGTGTCAAGTGGCACAACAAGGATAGGAACACGGGTCCTTTGGACTCCACAGCTTCTGCTCCTTCCAGATTAAGCCACACTGCTTTCTCCAAGTTGTTACTGTAGTAACATCATTTTGGCTGCAGTTTGTGGATGGGTTGGAAGATGGGAAGTCAATGCAGAAGCACCGTTGAAAGTATTCCACTGGGCAGGGCGCGGTGGCTCACGCTTGTAATCCCAGTACTTCGGGAGGCCGAAGCGGGAGGATCGCTTGAGCCCAGAGGTTCGATACCAGGCTGGGCAACACAGTGAGACCTCGTCTCTATATAGAAAAATAAACAAACAAAAAATTTAAAAAGAAAAGTAGGGCCAGGAGCTATGACTCACGCCTGTAATCCCAGCACTTTGGGAGGCCAAGGCGGGTGGATCGCCTGAGGTCAGGAATTCGAGACCAGCCTGGCCAAAATAGTGAAACCCCGTCTTTACTAAAAATACAAAAAATTAGCTGGGCATGGTGGCGGGTGCCTGTAATCCCAGCTACTCGGGAGGCTGAGGCAGGAGAATTGCTTGAGCCCGGGAGGCGGAGGTTGCAGTGAGCCGAGATCACGCCATTGCACTCCAGCCTGGGCAACAAGAGCGAAACTCTGTCTCAAAAAACAAAAGTATTCCATTGATTCTGTAATCAAAATAAAACACGTTAAATATTAAGCATGGTATTAATACTCCATGTATACTCCAGAATTAATATGTTCGTATTAATACTATTAGCATCTTATTGCAATATCGTGGAAACTAACTTTTCTATCTTCTATTGGATTTGCAAAGTATTCCAAGTCTTAACTGGGTAATTTATTACAATATGTATTCTCTCTAGAGGTAGACTGCGCTATGACTTGTAGCATGGAGAGATGGACTTGAAAATTATCTGAAAGCAATAGTTATGTTTGTATATGTTCTATGTTCTATGGTTTTTAGGGGACTACAGTAATTACATATGTTTCATATCTCTTTCACTTAGCTTCCAGAGCAGTCTCCCGTTTTCTTTAGTAATTTTAGCAATTGAATTGCTGCCTCCCTGCCCACTGCTGTCATGCCCAGTGGTGCCGGTGTGATGACTTTTCTAACACCCTTGTCTTTGAACTTCTTAATGCCAGTGAACGCTTTCATCCTGCTTCAGTCATGTGGTGCCCGTGTGATGACTTTTCTAACACCCTTGGCTTTGAATTTGTCAATGCCAGTGAATGTTTTCATCCTGCTTCAGTCATGTACGTCACAGCCACAACTTGCGCCTGAACATCATTAGCAACCTCTCTAGCTTCAAGATCTCAAACCTCAAAATTAGCCTCCCAACCCCTCATAACCTACGTGGAGAGTCCTCACTCTCCACTTGGAAGTTGTCAATATTTTTGCTTTAAAATGTTATCAGGCAGGCCAGGCGCTGTGGCTCACACCTGTAATCCCAGCACTTTGGGAGGCTGACGCGGGCGGATCACCTGAGGTCAGGAATTCGAGACCAGCCTGGCCAACATGGTGAAACCCCGTCTCTACTAAAAATACAAAAATTAGCTAGGCTTGGTGGTGCGCGCCTGTAATCCCAGCTATGTGGGAAGCTGAAGAAGGAGAATCACTTGAACCTGGGAAGCAGAGGTTGCAGTGAGCCAAGATCACACCACTGCACTCCAGCCTGGGGGACAAAGCGAAACTCCGTCTCAAAAAAAAAAAATTTGTTACCAGGGGCTGGGTGTGGTGGCTCATATCCCGGCATTTTGGCAGACTGAGGTGGGAGGATCACTTGAGCCCAGGAGTTTGAGACCTGCCTGAGCAAAAGAGTGAGACCTCTCCCAGCACTTTGGGAGGCCGAGGCGGGCGGATCATGAGGTCGGGAGATCGAGACCATCCTGGCTAACACGGTGAAACCCCGTCTCTACTAAAAAAAATAATAATAATACAAAAAATTAGCTGGGTGTGGTGGCAGGCACCTGTAGTCCCAGCTACTTGGGAGGCTGAGGCGGAGAATGGTGTGAACCCGGGAGGCGGAGCTTGCAGAGAGCCAAGATCGCACCACTGCACTCCAGCCTGGGCAACAGAGCGAGAGTCTGTCTCCAAAAAAAAAAAAAAAAAAAAAAAAAAAAAAAAAAGTGAAACCTCATCTCTATAAACAATTTTTTTAAATTAGCAGGGGATGATTGTGCATGCCTGTGGTGCCAGCTACTTGGAAGGCTGTGGTGGGAGGATCCCTTGAGCTCAGGAATTCCAGGCTGCAGTGATTGCACCACTGCACTCAGACCCTGTCTCTAAAAAACAAAATTTAAATCAAGTCACTCACTTGTTCAAAAATGTGCAGTGAGGCCAGGCTCAGTGGCTCACACCTGTAATCCCAGCACTTTGGGAGGCCAAGGTGGGAGACCTGTTTGATTCCATACCAAATAATTGAGACCACCCTGGGCAACATAGTGAGACCTAGGTCTCTACAAAAAATTTAAAAATTAGCCAGGTGTGTGCCTGTAGTCTCAGCTACTCAGGAGGCTTAGGTGGGAGGATTGCTTGAGCCTAGGAGGTCGAGGCTGCAGTGAGCTGTGATCGCACCACTGCACTCAAGCCTTCGCAACAGACCAAGACCTAGTCTCAAAAAAAAAAAAAAGTGCGCAATGACTCCCGTTGCCAATTCAAAGAGCTTTTATGAATGTTTCAATATACTTGTCTAGCGTATGTGCCTGTTTTTGGACTCAAAGTGGCCACCATAGGTGGGAGATCAAGTTGGCAACAATAGTGTTCCAAGGTAATACACCCTATATCTTGCTCTGTACCCCAGGCTGGAGTGCGGTGGCTCAATCTTGGCTTGCTGCAACAACCGCCTCCCAAGTTCAAGCGATTCTCCTGCCTCAGCCTCCCGAATAGCTGGAACTACAGGCGCGCGCC
This sequence comes from Homo sapiens, assembly GCF_000001405.40. NCBI lineage: Eukaryota > Metazoa > Chordata > Mammalia > Primates > Hominidae > Homo > Homo sapiens. The sequence goes on from NC_000002.12 coordinate 86,198,856, forward strand.
ACCACGCCCGGCTAATTTTTTGTACCCCTTAGTAGAGACGGGGTTTCACCCTGTTAGCCAGGATGGTCTCAATCTCCTGACCTCGTGATCTGCCCGCCTCGGCCGCCCAAAGTGCTGGGATTACAGGCGTGAGCCACCGCGCCCGGCAAGAATTTTTTTTTTTTTTTTGAGATGGAGTTTCGCTCTTTCGCCCAGACTGGAGTTCAGTGGCACGATCTCTGCTCACTGCAACCTCCGCCTTCCGGTTTCAAGCGATTCTCCTGCCTCAGCCTCCCAAGCCCGGCTACTTTTTGTATTTTTAGTACAGACGGGGGTTTCATCATGTTGGCCAGGCTGGTCTCGAACTCCTGACCTTGTGATCCGCCCGCCGCGGCCTCCCAAAGTGCTGGGATTACAGGCGTGAGCCACCGTGCCCGGCCCCAAGAATTTTTTTTAATAAGAAATTTTGTAGAACCTTCTATAGGCAGTCGTTTTACAGCGGCGAAGAACGGAACCCGGCAGATGACATTGAATAAATGTTGAGTGGACAACTTTGTTCTTTTCCTCTTCCTTGACTCCGCCTCCTTGCTTTCCCTTCATTCTCTTTTGCTCTTGTGCTTTTAAACCCAAAGCGGCCGCCGTAGGCGAAGGTGAAGATGGCTGCCTCTGCCTTTGCTGGTGCAGTGAGAGCAGCTTCAGGTCAGTGGAGAGCGACATACTCCATGCATGCCTTCACAGAAGGGGAAACTGGTGCGGGATGGAATGGGCGTTTAGACTGGAGGTTAACAAGCAAAAAGGGTCATTATTTAAGTTAAGAAGGTTGCGCCCAATTTTCTCTGGGGCGGTGTGACCGGCAGCCCGTACCAAGTCCCCCGACTCGGACTCACGCGGGCCTGTGTGTCACGCATTTGCCGCTTCCTTACCAGCTTTTTTTCCCTAGAAAAGAAGCCAGAGAAACTGGAACGGAGGGGGCGAGGGAAACCAAAAAGTCTCACCTAACTTTCTGATTTAGAGGCTACGACCTGCCATTCACGACCTTTAACCTTGAGAATTAATGTCTCCTAACTTAAGATTCTACACCTCTAAAATGGGGGTCATAACCACCTACCTGGGGATTAAATGAGATAATGCACGTAAAGCGTTTTGGGCAGTGCCTGACACATGGTAAGCTTGAAGGCTAATTTAATTTTTAACTACAGCCCCCGGCACAAGGGCTGGTATGAGGACTTCTTGACTGAGAGATAGCAGAAGTAAAGGCGACTAAATTAAGTTGCCGTGACGTTAAGTACTTTTTGCAAAAAGTTAAAAATCATCCAAATACCATAGGATGCTCAGTAAGTTACTTTCACACAAAATATATTGTTAGGATAACATTTTGTGGGAGAATATACGAGATCAGTCAAGAAAATGCAGCGATGTAAATTTTACCGTTAGAGAAAAGCTTTTTTTATGTGGAGTATTTTTTGTGTTCGCGAAATATAATACATATGAAGAAAATTTTATATAGTATGCATGAATGATTTAACAGTTCTAAAGCAAACACCTGTTTAACACTCAGGTCAAAACAGTGCACTACCAGAAGCCTCCTCTCCCCTATGTATCAAAATTCTCTACTTCCCCCCCAGATATAAACACTGTTCTCATTTTTATAGTTACTATTAGGTTGCCTATTTTTCCTATAGTAGTTTTAGCATCCATATGTGCATCTCAAGAACATAGTTTTGCCTGGTTTTGAACTTCACATGAATTGGTTCATACAGTATATACGCTTTAGTATCTTCTTTTACATTGTGAGATTCATTCATTCATTTTGCGTAGCTGTAATGCTTTCTCATTGCTATATAATTCTTTTTTTTTTTTTGAGACGGAGTTTCTCTCTTGTTGCCCAGGCTGGAGTGCAATGGCACGATCTGGGCTCACTGCAACCTCCTCCTCCCAGGTTTAAGTGATTCCCTTGGAGTAGCTGGGATTACAGGCATGCGCCACCACGCCCAGCTAATTTTGTATTTTTAGTAGAGTTGGGGTTTCTCCATGTTGGTCAGGCTAGTCTGGAACTCCTGACCTCAGGTGATCCGCCCGCCTCGACCTCCCAAAGTGCTGGGATTACGGGTGTGAGCCACCCTGCCCGGCCTGCTGTATAATATTATATGACTGTGCCACAATTCTCCATTTCCAGTTTGGGGCAATTATGTACAAAGCTGATTGATCTCATCCTGGCGCATGAGTCCAATTGTTTCTGAGGATGTGGGTATGTGTGAAAATCGCTGTGGAATTGCCTGGTCAGAGAATATGTATATATTCAGCATTGCCTGATATTGCCAAACTGTTGAGGCCCCACATCCTCACCAACACCTGATATTGATATTGTCAATAGATATTGTCAGACCTACAAATTTTTGTTAATCTGGTGGCTTTGTAATGGTATCTCATTGAGATTTAAATAAGCATTTCTCTGATTAATAACAAGCTATAGTGTGTTTCACATTTTTATTGGCCTTTTGAATTTCCTTTATGAAATATCCACTTAAATATTTTGCCCATTTTCCTATTGGATTGTTTGTCTTATTTATTTAGAGTATTTTTTGTTTTGTTTTTGTTTTTCATTTGTGTGTGTCCTTTAGCTTCTCCCACTCAGGCTTGTCTTTTTTACATTATTTTGGAGTGCCCTTTGACGAAAAGTTGTTTTTCATCTACTTGAATTTATAGTTCTTGTAATTTTTAAATAGATGATGTAGGTAGTTATCAACTTACTATTAATTTAGATTCTACTGAAAACAATTTAAAGAGTGATGTGACAGCTTATTTTAAAATGTCAGTATTTTAAATATGCTGGAAATTATAGCCTTTTTAACAATTTAAACTATTTGATATTTTAGATATTAAGAATTTGTGAAAGGGTAGTTTTTCAAAATTCTTTTAGGAAACATAGGATCAGAAATCTTGAAGACTCCTGGTTTCGATACTGTCACAGTCTCCTCCACTCCCATCCAGTGCAGTTCATGTCCCCCATTCATTCCTTTGATTCATGCCACATAGGGCCATTGTAATTCCCCAAATGTACATCGTCACCTTTGTACGTCCTATTCCCTCTGTCTCTTCGTACTCTGTCAAAACTCTGGTTTTGCGTTACCTCTTTTGTGAAAACATCTGTATTCTCTATACAACAGTGTGTTTAGAGTAGACTAGTCTGTATGAAAATGCCCAGACGGGGCAGAGGACTGAAGGAAATTAGTTACTTTCCTTGATGTACTGCACTTTTGTTAACAAAGCTAGACTGTTAGGTTTCCCTCACAGGCTTAATCACATGATTGATCCACCAGAAGGCGCAGTAGATAGAGCCTCCCCACATATTTTCCCATGAACTGCTCTCAACCAAGATCCCAGTTCCTGTTGTTCCCGTAACCATTTTTTCTAACTTCAGTGTATTTATTCCTGATTTCATCTTGTTGGTTTTGATCTGTTTTTCTCTCTTACTAAGATCACTTGGAGTTCTGATACTCTGTGTCTTCACAAATACATTAACAAGCCATTGTTCCCAGCTTGCTTTTTGGGAAAATTGATAAATATGTCTTATGCAGCCTCAGGATCTTCATAAAAATTGAGAACAAAAGAATTTCATAGGTTTTAATTTTTTAACCAAGAGATACCAAAATCTGATGACGTGTGAAAATTGGAACATTTTCTTGTCTACAGTCCTCCAATGCACTTAATCTTCCAAAGATTACCTCCTGCCTTATTACATCTGCACATCTTTTCAGTTCTTTGCGATTTAACTTATTTGATTTCCAAGGCCCTATGTAAGGGCTCTCTCATCAGTTTTCTGCACCAATGTTTATGCTACCCTTTTCAGTTGCAAATTGTTATCTCTTTTTCTTTTGTGGAGACAGAGTCTCCTTCTGTCTCCTGGAGTGCAGTGGCAAGATCTCGGCTCACTGCAACCTCTGCCTCCTGAGTTCAAGCAGTTCTCCTACCTCAGCCTCCGAGTAGCTGGGACTACAGGCGCGCGTCACTCTGCCCAGCTAATATTTCTATTTTTAGTAGAGACGGGGTTTCACATGTTGGCCAAGCTGGTCGCAAACTCCTGACCTCAGGTGATCCGCCGGGGCCTCCCAAAGTGTTGGGGTTACAGGGGTGAGCTACCACACCTGGCCCTGTTATCACTGATGGCCACATATTAATATACAGGTTAGGTATCTTTAATCTGAAACTTTTTGAGTACCAACATGACACCACAAGTGGGAAATTCTTTTTTTTTTTTTTTTTGAGACGGAGTCCCGCTCTGTCGCTCAAGGTGGAGTGCAGTGGCACAATCTCAGCTCACTGCAAGCTCTGCCTCCCAGGTTCACGCCATTCTCCTGCTTCAGCCTCCCAAGTAGCTGGGACTACAGGCACCTGCCACCATGCCCAGCTAATTTTTTTTTGTATTTTTAGTAGAGACGGGGTTTCACTGTGTTAGCCAAGATGGTCTTGACCTCCTGATCTCCTCGTGATCTGCCTGCCTCGGCCTCCCAAAGTGCTGGGATTACAGGCGTGAGCCACCGCACCCGGCCCACAAATGGAAAATTCTTTACCCGATCTCACGTGATCGGTGGCAGTCAAAACTTTGTTTCATGTACAAAATTATTTAAAATATTGTATAAAATTAACTTTAAGCTATATGTGTAAGATTTATATGAAACAAATGAATTTCATGTTTGGACTTGAGTCCCATCTCCAAGATATCTCCTTTATGCAAAATTTTAAAAAATCTAAAATACTTCTGGTCACAAGCATTTCAGATAATACTCAACCTGTATCATCTTTGCTAAGTATCCCTCTTCTTTATTATCTGCCATTAGCATTCATTAAATGTTTTCTCTGTGCTACCCTTCCAAGCACTATACATGCTTCATCTCATTCAAGTCTCATTACCTCTCCATAATTAACTTCATTTAAATTTGAGGAAACTGGGGCACAGAGAGGTTAAGTAACTTGCCCCTGGTTACACAGCAAGGAAGTCATAGAGCTAGAATATGAGCCCAAATCATCTCATTCAAATCCTAGCACTTCTATATCAACATGGCCCCTCATTTGTTATCTGAAATCAGTGCAGTAGAAAATAGGAGAGTAGTTCTAAGTCCCAGCCAAGCATCAGACTCAGGTGGAGTATTTTTCGCTTTTTTTTTTTGAGATGGAGTTTCACTTTTGTTGCCGAGGCTGGAGTGCAATGTTGCAGTCTCGGCTCACTGCACCCTCTTCCTCCCAGGTTCAAGTGATCTTCCTGCCTCAGCCTCCTGAGTAGCTGGGATTATAGGCGCACACCACCACACCCGGCTAATTTTGTATTTTCAGTAGAGACGGGGTTTCTCCATGTTGGTCAGGCTGGTCTCGAACTCCTGATCTCAGGTGATCCGCCTGCCTCGGCCTCCCAAAGTGCTAGGATTACAGGCATGAGCCACCATGCCTGGCTGGAGTATTTTTCTTAACCAACTTTATTGAGGTAGAATTTACATGCCATAAAATTACCCATTTTATGTGTACAGCTTTATGTTTTTTTATTAATTTAGCAAGCTGTACAACCATTACCACATTCCAGCTTTAGGACTTTTTTTTTTTTTTTTAGTCTTGTATTAGTGCATTTTTTTTTTTATACTTTAAGTTCTGAGGACATTTTCATCATCCTGCGGAACTTTTTTAACACACAATTTTGAGTCCCAAACTGGACTTCAGTCAGAATTTATGGGTGGAGTCGGAGCTCCACGAGTGATTCCGATTTGCAGCCATGAACTATTAGTCTGGCCATAGTGGGAAGGACTGATAAGAGGACTGCATCCGGACCACACATCTAGGCTCTCTGAAATCTGCCTTCTGACCTGTTCCACCCCACTGCCCACTACTTCTCCCCAGGCGTCTCTGATAGTCAGGCGAACAGTCTCAGCCTCTGAGGCAGGTCTGGTCCTCAACCCATACATGTACAGTTGACCCTGGAACAATACAGCAGGTGGGGTGTCAACCCCAAGCAGTTGAAAATCAAGTTGAAAAAAAGTATAACTTTTGGCTCCTCCAAAACTTAATTACTAATAGCCTACTGTTGGCCAGAAGCCTTACCAATAACATAAACCATTGATTAACATATATTCTGAGGCCGGGCACGGTGGCTCACACCTGTAATCCTAACACTTTGGGAGGCTGAGGCAGGTGGATCACTTGAGCCCAGGAGTTCAAGATTGGGCTGGGCAACATGGCAAAATTCTGTCTCTACAAAAATTAGGCATGGTGGCACATGCTGTAGTCCCAGCTACTTAGGAGGCTGAGGTGGGAAGATAGATTGAGCCCAGGAGGTCAAGGCTGCAGTGAGCTATGATTGTGCCACTGCATTCCAGCCTGGGCCACAGAGTAAGACCCTGCCTCAAAAAAAGAATTTTAAAAACATATATCCTGCATGTTATATGTATTATATACTGTATTCTTAACAATAAAACAAGCTAGAGAAAAGAAAGTCATAAGAAAAGAAATAGGTTACTGTTCATTAAGTGGAAGTGGATCATCATAAAGGTCTTCATCATCTTTACATTGAGTAGGCTGAGGAGGAGTTGGTTTTGCTCTCTCTGCGATTGCAGAGAAAGAAGAGGTGGAGGAGTTAGAAGGGGAGGCTGGAAAGGCAGGCATACTCGGTGTAACTTTTTTTGAAAAAAATCTGTGTGTAAGTGGCACTGTGCAGTTCAAACCCATGTTGTTCAAGGGTCACCTGTATTTGTTTCAGTCCCCATGCCTTTGCTTATGTTGTTCGTCCTACCTGAAATGTGCTCCTCCTCTTCTAAGGGCCTGCTCACTTTCTAGAGAACTCAAGTGCCTCTTCTCTTTTCTTCGAGAATCTTTCTGTCGCCACTCTTGTCTCTCCAGGAAGGGTCCATGCTCTTGCATCCCTGACCTGCCATTGTACTGTGTGTGGGAATTCTGTCTCACCAGAGTATAAGATCTGGGAGGTGGGAATAAATGTTACACACATCTCTTTTCTTAGTACTGGACATAGAGCTAGCAGACATCCGACTTGGTTGTGATGATGGTTGCACAGCTCTCTAAATTTTCCAAAAATTGTTGAATTATATACATAAAATCAGTAATTAATTTATGGTTATACCTTAGTAAGGTGGTAAAAGCTTCACAGATGAGTCTGATGCTCAGGGCACGTTAATTATGTTTAATACTTGGTGGCAGTGATACATCTCTTAATTTTTAATATCTGGATGCATATTTTGGAGTATTAAATATATATGCTCCTATCTTTACAGGAATCCTACGGCCCCTGAATATTTTGGCATCTTCAACCTACCGCAACTGTGTCAAGAATGCCTCTCTTATTTCTGCATTGTCCACTGGACGTTTTAGTCATATTCAGACACCAGTTGTTTCCTCCACTCCCAGACTTACCACATCTGAGAGAAACCTGACATGTGGGCATACCTCAGTGATCCTTAATAGGTAGAGTATATTTCTTTGTGGGGTTTTTTTTGTTTTTTGTTTTTTGTTTTTTTTTGAGACGGAGTCTCACTCTGTTGCCCAGGCCAGAGTGCAGTGGTGCATTCTCAGCTCACTGCAACCTCCACCTCCGGGGTTCAAGCAATTCTCCTGCCTCAGCCTCCTAAGTAGCTGGAAAGTTCTGGGATTACAGGCGTGAGCCACTGTGCCTGGCTGGTAGAGTCTATTTCAATAAACATGATGCTTAGACAAACTTTCCAAGATATTCATGCCTGCAGGGGTATCCTAGAAGTAGGTGGTATTCTTTGCCTACCTGCAGTTAATTATGTAGACATCTGCTTGATTGAGTGGGAGACTGTGACTGACATCCATGTATCTAGGCGCCTGCAGCAGGAAAATGCCAAACACAGCATGCTTCTGATGTTGTATGTGTGCTTTCCTGCATGGAGGCTGTCATCCAAAGTGGAGGGTGCACAAGACGCTCAGCTTATAAGGATGGGCTGCATGTGTTGGTCATTCAGTCAGCAAATACTCAGTTAAATACCCCTGGGTGCCTAGCACTGTACTTGGCAAAAAGGACATAAGGGTAAACAAATTGAAGTCCTCAAGGAGTTTGCAATCTGGTGGGAAGATGGATAAGAAATAAAGCGATGATAATAGAATGAATTATTTTACAGGGATTGAGGGGGTAGGTTTTAGAAGATTGCGAGTTGGTGATGGTTGCTATTCTAATTTATGCTTAATGTCATGGGTCATTGGAAGTAATATTGTATATGAAAAGTTAGTTCCAGTCCATTGGAGCAGCTTTACTCATTTCTCAGTATAGATAATGAATTTTAATCCTTTAATCAGTCTGATTACAAGCTAAAAATTTTAAAATATATTTTTAGAATGGCCCCCGTGCTTCCAAGTGTCCTGAAGCTGCCAGTCAGATCTCTAACATACTTCAGTGCAAGAAAAGGCAAGAGAAAGACCGTGAAAGCTGTCATCGATAGGTTTCTTCGACTTCATTGTGGCCTTTGGGTGAGGAGAAAGGTGAGTCTTCACACTGTTACTAAATTGAAAAAGGAATGTGAGGCCGGGCGTGGTGGCTCACGCCTATAATCCCAGCACTTTGGCGGGTGGATCATAAGGTCAGGAGTTCAAGACCAGCTTGGCCAACATGGTGAAACTCCATCTCTACTAAAAATACAAAAATTAGGCGTGGTGGCAGGCACCTGTAATTCCAGCTACTCGGGAGGCTGAGGCACATAATTGCTTGAACCCGGGAGGTGGAGGTTGTAGTGAGCCAAGATCGAACCACTGCACTCCAGCCTGGGCGACAGAGCGAGACTCCGTCTCAAAAAAGAAAAGAAAAAAGGAGTGTGAGCAGATTAAAATCAAACAGAATTCAGAATTCAGCCAGGCACTGTAGCTCATGCCTGTAATCCCAGCACTTTGGGAGGCCAAGGCGGGCAGAACACTTGAGGTCAGGCGTTGTGGCAGGTGCCTATAATCCCAGCTGCTTGGGAAGCTGAGGCAGGAGAGTCGCTTGAACCTGGAAGGCAGAGGCTGCAGTGAGCCAAGATCACGCCACTGCACTCCAGCCTAGGTGACACAGCAAGACTTCATCTCAAAAAATGAAAAGAAAGCAGCTTAAGACCAGTTTTGCAAAACCATTTTTGAGATTTAGTAACTGCCCAAATCCTAATTCCCTTTCATTACTTGGAAATTAAATCTTTAAAAATCAAAATTTGGTTCCCTGTAAAAATAAAATAGTTGGTAGAACTTTCTTGATGTTTGAAAGGTTGAAAGGATTCTCCCGTTTTATAAACAGTACTAAATTAGTAGATAAATGGGTTGGTTGGAACTCTCAGCTCATTTCTCTATTGAAACACTGTGGTGGGTAGTTTCCTACACCAGTCAGCAGAAGCTCATATAATCCATAAAGCAGCTAAACTAAAGGTCTAATGTTCTGAGTTTTGTGAATTTGAGACCACTGGAAACATTTCTTCCCTTTTGTGTGTATGTGTTTTTTTTTTTTTCTTTTTTTGAGACAAAGTGTCACTCTATCGCCCAGGCTAGAGTGCAGTGGCACAATCTTGGCTCACTGTGACCTCTGCCTCACGGGTTCAGGCCATTCTCCTGCCTCAGCCTTCCGAGTAGCTGGGATTACAGGCATGCACCACCATGCCAGGCTAATTTTTGTATTTTTAGTAGAGACGGGTTTTCACCATGTTGGCCAGGCTGGTCTTGAACTCCTGACCTTAAGTGATCCACCTGTCTCGGCCTCCCAAAGTGCTGGGATTACAGGCATGGGCCGTGACGCCTAGCCCCACCCTTTGGTTTTTATACCAGTTATTTCCAGGTCCTCTTCTAGCCCTAGGTAAAATGAAATGGGTGGGTTTCCTTGCCTTCCTTTCCATGTCCCTCTTACTGGGCTCTGGGGCCCTCATGTTACTGTAAAGGACCCGATCATACTCTCCAGTCATAATACCTAGCTTCAGTTCAGGGCTCCCGAAAGTATACCCTGTATAGAATGCCCTGCCTCTTCAAAATCTAATTTTCAGAGAAAAAAAAAATCTGGGTAGATGAATTCAAACTAATGTGTAAAACAAAGTATTTTCCATGACACGGTTTCATCCAGCAGTCCTTGGTATTTATTGTTCATTCCCTCCTTCCATTTTTGAATCTAGAGATTGTCTAAAAAATTTCAAGCATTTTCATAGTGGTTCCATTCTGTGAATAATCTTTAAAGGATACTGGTGGTAATGAGCAGGGCAATAAATTAGGTGTTTGTACGTCAGAGATCCATAGTAACCCAGTTTGGCCTGCAAACTATGAAATTATTACACAAATGTGGAGATTTGGCTTTAAATGTTTGCATTTAAAATTGTAAGCAGTGAGTAGCAAAAATCTAACCTCTAGCATTCTAAAACCAGAACTCTTAAATAACCTTTCCTTATTTCATCACTGTCCTTATAGAAGTTGATGGTCACAGTGATGATACTAAGACATGTCAGAAATGCAAGGCACATTCTCGGCAAAGAGCCATGGTTTTGTTCAGTTGGTATTGTGCCATAAAGAGCCCTTGGCTTGAAAGGACCCAAGGGCTCACCGTGTGGTTTTAGCCAGATGTTAATTAAGCTGGATGGCACCTAAGATCCCTTCTAGTTTAAACAGGCTATGATTATAGTTTTTATAATCAATCAAATTTTCCTTTCCTGTCTTTAAAAATAAATTCTTCAAAATGAATAATACCTGTATGGGTGTATATGAAAGTTCTGGGTTAAATATGTGGGTTAACCATTCCTTCACCACTCCTAATAATAGTCTTACCATATTCATAATTCCTTAGAAAAGTACTTCCTATAAAAATTGGTCCCTTGTGTGTGAAAATAATAAATGAAGCAATATATTTGAGAACTGTGCTTCTCAGCTCTTGTAATACTCAGCCTCCTTAATAAATATTAATGTTGTTACCTCGCCTGCACTCCATCCTCCTCTACATTAGGAAAGACAGTGGTTAAGAACTCTTATTAGCCTGGGCAAGATGGTGAGACCTTATCTCTACAAAAATTTAAAAAGTAGCTGGGTATGGTGGTGCACACTTGTGGTCCCAGCTATACGAGAGGCTGAGGCAGGAGGATCACTTGAGCCCAGGAGGTAGAGGCTGCAGTGACCGTGATCATGCCACTGCACTCCAGCCTGGGTGACAGAGTGAGACCCTGTCTCAAAATGAAACAAAAAAAGAACTCTTATTAGCCCTCAGACCTCTGTCTGCTACTTCTCTAATCAATGGTTTCTTTTTTTAAAGATGTAAAATAGAATAATAGTATGTTGTTAAAGATTGCTGAAGAGATAGTAAGATCATACCTGTTAAGTTAGTGATTATAATTCTGTCATTATCTTGTACTTTCCCAGCCACACACATTTAGTTTTATTTTCTGTGAGTTTAATTTAAATAATTTTTTTCTAAAATATGATTTATTACTAATTCTTTTTTAAACTACACATGCTTTCTCCATCCCCCTCCCCGCCACCCTCCCTTCCCCCGGCCATTGAGAATCACATCTTTCCAAGAAATAGTCCAGCCCCTATGGAAGTCTGGTTTTTGTTCTTATTGGGTCTATAAACCTTGAGTTGTGAAGATACCTGTTGTTTCATACATAGTATGATGTTTTACATTTCTTTGTAATATCTGACAGGCTGGCTATAAGAAAAAATTATGGAAAAAGACACCTGCAAGGAAGAAGCGATTGAGGGAATTTGTATTCTGCAATAAAACCCAGAGTAAACTCTTAGATAAAATGACGACGTCCTTCTGGAAGAGGCGAAACTGGTACGTTGATGATCCTTATCAGAAGTATCATGATCGAACAAACCTGAAAGTATAGATCAGAAGTTTCACTTGTTTCTCAGTTATTGGATATGTATCTTTGTGTACATATCTTTGCAAAAATGGATAAGTACAAAACTTGATGTAAATTGTACCAATGAATACGTAAACATACAGTGACAACATTAAACTTAGAAAAGTTTTAAAACTTAATGGATCAGACTTTGCCAGATTTGGTTAGGGAAACAGAAATTTAGAATGGTGCATTATTTTTAACAAATGGTATTGGCTTAACTAGTTGTTTCAGTTATGCTCTTTTAGTTGCAAGGAATCTCAAGTGGGACAAACATAAAAAGACTCAAAAGCTACAAGTTAGCTCAAGCAATGTGACATTATTTCAAGGATATGTGCCAGGGAATTCAGGAACCACCTCACCAACCCCATCTCCCACTCAGAAATCACCTCCCAGCCTCAGGAAGAGTAGAAATTGGGTGGTGCTCCTCAGCAGGGGAAGGTGGATGTTTAGGCTTGGGCTCTGCATGCATGTGACTTGCTTCTTTTTGCATTGTTAACTCCATTCTCTCTATTCACCAACTTCTCTACACAGCTTTTGCATACTTACAGTTTCTGTTCCTTTGTAATAACTTTAACTTGCACCTTTGAGGTTCTTTTCTACATGATGACCTTCAGCTCCTGCTGCTAGTCTCCAATTGCCAAGGGAATTTAACTGGGCCAGACTACCTTTTTATACTAGGTCTGGTTGGGTCATTGTCTAGAGTAGGGATTGGCTGTCCTTAAGTCAGGAGCCCGCTTTGTATTAGCAGGTTTGCATGCAGCAAAAAAACAGTTATGTGAGCAGTTTCACTTGGAGGTTCACATGGGGTGGCAGCACACTTAACATCTAACACACCAGGTTCATTGTGTTCATAACACTTGTCATTTACTGTAACAACATTTTTTCATAGGAGAGTAAATAGCCCTTCAGCATGCTCATTCATGAAACAGAAGAGGCTGTACAAGTGAAGACAAGGGCTTTTTATGCAAGTTTTGAAAGATAGGTATTTATTTTTTCTAGAGACAGGAGTTTTGCTCTGTTGCCCAGGCTGGAGTGCAGTGGTGCAATCATAGCTCATTGAAGCCTCGCACTCCTGGGCTCAAGTGGTCCTCCTGCCTCAGCTTACTGAGTAAGGATATGTATTTCTTAAAAGTTAGTTTATCCACTTCAGATTTCATGTTTTCATTTGTAAGGATAAACTTTTCCCACAAATTTTCAACAATCATTGTAGAAACTAAGGGGGAGAAAGTAATCTCAGTTGTTTTAGAAACGAAAAAGTTAAGCATTGTTTACTTGAAGTGGGCAGGGAAGCAGCACTGAGTAAAGTTCAATTGAGTGGTTACAGTCTAGGGCAGTGGTTCCCAACTCTCCGATCAGAATCATCTGGGAAGCATTTTCAAACAGCAAAGTACTTTGAAAACCATTATTAAATAGAATTATGCATGAATTACTGTTTCAGATCCTTTAATGTGGTAGTTGGTAATAATAAGATGAAATTCCTCTGTTGTTAGTAAAATTATGAAATTGAAGTTCTGCAGCATGTCAGGCCAGGATTATTAGGGAGATTCCTCGAAACTAGTGTGTGTTTATTAAAAGGAGAAAGGATAACAATAGAATGTTCTAAAACCAGAAGTCCAAGTGCGTGTCTACTTATGGGACCAATAAATAAAGAACAGACATTTGATTTGAGGTGAGGTAAAAGCCTGAAACATGGAATGGCATTCTGTTTTGATGGATTTTCATTTCTTCGCACTTCTGAGACGGCAAAGCCAACCACTTAGAAGCCTTCCACATCTTTGTCACCTGCCTGGCTCCTGCTCTCTGATGTACCTCTGGGTAGTGAGATGGAAATGGTGCCTGCAGAAGTTGGGGAGAAGGATACTTTTGCACAGCCTCCATGATGTCTTTATTGCAAATATGGATGACAAGGGTCTCTGTTACAGGGGCCTCAGAGCACCTTCGTTTCTCCTCTAGACCAGGGACAGGTGTAGAGATAAGGACTGGCAACCAGAGCCTCAGCATCCAAAGATGGACTGAAGTGGGATGGCTGACAGGCACATAACTTACGGGAAAGGGAATTTCATACATACGATTTTTGTTTTGTGGGTAGGAGGGCTTATCATCAACACTGATTTTATAATCTGACAATAAATGTCTTTCATTAAAGAGTTTACCTAAATGATGTTCGATTATATGTATAATTTATAAAATATTTATGTATAGTTTGTTTATTCAGGTATATGTATAATTTATTGAACACCTACTATGTCCCAGCATATCTACAAAACTGGGTACATACATACTGTCTAACTGCTAATCCACATTTCCAGTCTTACAAAGGACATAATGATTAGTTAAGCCCTAATTTAGATTTGAGGAAACTGAAGCTGAGAGAGGGTTAAGTAAATTACCCAAAGTACAGCTAATAAGACCCAGAATCTCAGTCTCACTCCTTGGGATCCTGTGTATTTCCCTGAGTCTTCTAACATATGAAAATTCATATCTAAATCAACAAGTGACTGTAATCTGGTACTATAAATACTAAATAAACACTTCTTCATAACACTGTACCAATTCAGCTTTTAAATTTTATTACTTTGCTTTCCTGTCCTTTGCCAACTCTTAACCTAGTTAATCCTAGTTCTGTTGACATTGGACCAGGCTCAGTAAATAAACGAATGGATTTCCAGCCTTTTTTTCCCATCTGTTCCTGCTTTTAGTCCTCTGAATCTGCTTCTTTTCTTACTGCTGCTTTATTTTACAGTGATTTTGTCAAACATAGAATACAGGACTAAAAATGCAAAGAAATTGGGTCTGTGTTTAATTTTGATGTTTCAAATTTTGAGCTTCCAAGTCTTTGTGGCCACCCAATGAAGTTTGAGTCTGCCTGTTCAGATGTGAAAGGTAAGGGCTGCAGCAGGTTTAAGGGTGGCCCTTCACCACCCTGTTGTCACCTGCACAGGCACTCCCCCATTTGCAGATGAAGAAATGTTCAGAGAAGAAAAATGATGGACCAAACGTCTGTTTGCACAATTGAAACTCTACCAGTGGACTATTCTATTTTCACAGCTACCTAGTTTCTGCCGATGATTTTTTTAAATGTGAAATAAACAGTGATACTTTCAGGTTTGTAGTTGTGTGATGAACTGGTTTTCAAAACATTTATATCATCTGGTTTTCTTTCCCTCTCAACATCCTATGCAACAGGCACGGGGCCAAGTCACCAGGCCAGTCGGTGGCTGAACACTCAGCTTCTAATCCTTGCTACCTCCCATATTTGAAAAAAAGTATTTCCTGTTTCCTTTTAAGCCCAACATTACAAAGATGTTTTTTAAAAGAAAAATGTTAAGACTTTATTCAAGATGTGTATCAGGCATTATAACAAAACAGCAGAACTTCAACCTTTGGAATACTGTAATTTTACATCCCTTTGATGCACAGTCCAGTATACTATTTTATTACAGATCATTCTATAGGGACTACAGACATGAACTAGAGGAAATGTGCACAGTCAAAATCCAGAATATCAGCTCTGGGAGTGTACACTGTTAGAGGATGAAGCACATCCTTTGCCATTTCAAATACTGTGCCAGGTGGAGGACTAGGAAGGCTCAAAGATGGTCATGGTTGACAAGCACTCTTATCACAAACACATGGATAGCTTATCACGGAGAACACATTTCAAAGGCCAGCAAAGTGAGCAAGCTATTCACACAAAGCCAGGAGGGATTATGACTAAACTCTCCAGTTTATAAGCACAAGTCCACATCTCACCTCCTCAGAACAGGTGCTCAATGGCAATTAACTAAAAGTTATGACATGAACATTACAGACTTTCCAGCTAGCATTTTGTAAACAGCCTGTGTCTGTAAGTCAGCAAATTAAAAACATTCAGTTGTATCCTCTAGACAGAACACCACACCACTACATGTACACTTACAGGCTTTCACATTTTATGTCAGTTCATACACAAATGTACAACTTGTCAGATACGTAAACACATTTTGCCAGAAATATGACAGCTGCTTTCAGTTGTACAGTGAGTGTCTTTAAGAGAGAAACCGACTCCCTAGTCAACACTTGAAGGAAAAATAGTTACATTTACATTAAGACAGAGTTTGGATACCTTTATATTTTTCAATCTTGAATGAGAAGTAATAATACAGCATGTCTGAGAATAGAGCGCTTCAAACTTTTTTTGGCATAGTTAAGTGCAAACTTGATAACCTGTACTTGTCACAACTCTCCATTGTAAAATGGCGAAAATATAGGTTGTTCACGATAGGATTTTAAACTGCTGCTAAAGGCAATTTATTGTTTCGGCAAAAAAAAAAAAATTGCTAAGAAGCTGTGTAAGCTTTTTTTTTTTTTTTTTTTTTTTGCATTCGTTTCTGATAATTCTGGGTACTTCCAACTAACAGGTAAATACATTTTAAAGAGTATATTCTTCTTCTGTCTGGAACTACTCAATGAGCACAAAGAAAACATTTTCTGTCTTCCTTAACAGATTTAGGTATTGGTGGGTGTGGGGCACAGAACATGAGCAAACAGCTTCTGTTTATCCTCTCAGCCACAAATTCGCTTTTAGGTATATTTTCCTATACCCTTTTGCAAATTACAAAATCACCTTCAGAGGAACTATGGGTAGATGGGATTCCAATATGCATATCTGGCAACAATCAGCTTCAAATCAAACCCTTTCTGGGGTGGCTAAGATCCAGCTAATGTGTCATCAGCAAAGGCCTCTAATATGTGTTTGCGTAGTAATGGAACAGTTTTTAATTGGGCCTGTTTATAGTTGACTGACAGTAAGTTCTATATGGTATATAACACTAATTCTCTAGTCTTCTGGGCATATCTACGAACAAATACAATCCAAATATTATGAGTAACTGGGTTGTGACCACTGCATGCATTACACTGAAAGAAACACCAACTCGAAGCACAAATATATTATTCTTATATTTCGGCTCAGCTCTCAGTGGGGAGAGCAGCTACCTCGGACCACAATGCCATTTAAACCAGATTCTTTTCAAATAAAATTCTCAATCTAAGTGGAAAGCCCCCTCAGAGAATGCCTTATTCCCCTACTAAGCAATCCAGGCTTGTATAAAACGTCTGATAAGGCCTGTAGTGCCCATTGAGTATGAGTCTGCTGTTTACATTCTGCACAGGCCAGGAGGGGAACAGAAGGTGTGAGCCACAGGTGCTCCTGGGTCTGACCAGCAAGTCTAACCCATGAAGATCTCGAGCTCCAAAACCATTCTAGAGCCCACCATTTTGATTGTTACACATGTGTTTCAGATGTATGTTATGGCATATCTGAAACAGCAGAGTTCTCAGTTTTTTGTGTGTTTGTTTTTGCTAAGCTAAACAAGTTTTGCTAGAGTTCGCTAAAACAAGGTGCTCAGAGTGTAAGCTCCTCTGTCAGGAAATCGGCAGCACTGGTCACGATAAAGGAGAAATCGTCCTTTGTCAAGCACAGAATTACTCCTTCCAGCAGCTCTACATGTTCCCATCCTCAAGAAATTGCACCAAGAGTGAGCTACCTGCCTATCCCTGGAAAAGATTCAGAAGCTCCTAATCCAGAATCCAGGGAGGAGATGAGCTTCCTGTGACTCTTCTCTTTTACTGGGATGTTCCCCTGACCTCTCATCACACTTTACTGTGTTGTGAAATATTGTTTCTCTTAGTTTGTAACTTGTCTGGTCTTTTGACTAAACAACTATCTAAAGAATATAGACCACACTCCTGCAGGGAAAGGGATGTCTTACTGGAGTTGTATTTGGAAGCTTTATAAGCACATCTGAGACGTTCTCTAGAATCAAAATATTTGTCTATATTTGTTTTTGCAGTTTTCTTACATATCAGAACCTCTGGCAGCCCTTGCAAGTCCATTATATTAAAAGCCAAAAGCCATAAATATGTACATCATAGTTCAAAGTATAAGTACCAAGAACAAAGAAAGTTGTAAAAAATGCTGTGTTTGCATTTACAGGACTAAAAACTAAGTATGCAACAGATAAATTACAAATGTACATCTCAGCAGCATAGGGGTGATTCTCTTATCTTTCTAAAAAACACACTGCTGTCTATAATGACAATCCAATTGTGGAAAATTACCAACCTCAGAAGACTTAAAGGTCACCACCCCCGCCCCTACTACCTTTCCCTTTAGCCTCTCCCCAGCAAAATAAAGAAAAGGGGGAAAAAAATAAATCCTTAAAAGTGGAAGGGGAGAGAGAAAAGGCCATGTTTGTGAGGCTGCACACTCAAAGCACACCCAGCTTGCGGATTTCTATGTTATTAGTGAATAGCTCTTTAAGGCAGAGAAGAAACATTCTGTGGATCCGGTGCTGTTGGCTCATCTCACTCACGTGGTTTCGGTGGCCGAGGATGAGGTACTTTTCTTCCTGAAGCGAGATCGAAGGATTCTAGGCGGTGCCTGGTAGAGAAAACAGAAAGGTGTCCCTCAGTTTGGTGTAAATGTGGGATCTTTTGAGGTCAGCACCTGGAAGGCATTGTGTTGAGACTTCCAGCTCCTTTGGCCAAATGCAGCTGGCTAGGGCTGGGGTCTCCCTGAATCTCCGCAACAGGAAGCAATCATCAGAGTCCCATCCCACATATCGCATGAAGCTGAGCCCTTTGAGAGGCTGATGCCTCCCTCTTAAATTATGCTCCTCAATCTCCCAAGGGAACGGTTGTGCAGAATGACACATCTTTCTTGTTTCTGCCTGAGGAGCAAAATTATCTTAAATGATTCAGCAGAAAGAGACACCTCCGCATGCTTCCTTTGCTTTTGTTATTTCCTTTGGGAACCAGCCTAATGTGTTTTGGTACATGCCTCAAATTTCCATCATCAAATTTCCAGTCCCCTTTCTGGATGAGAAACCTCTTAATGTACAGCACACCACACCACAAAGGCAAACACCACCTTGAAGTACAGGTTGAATATCCCTTATCCGGAAATGCCTGGAGTCAGAAGTGTTTGGGATTTCAGATTTTTTTTTTTTTTTTTTCAGATTTTGGGATGTTTGCATATACATTCCAATTGAGCACCCCAATCTGAAAATCTGAGATTCAAAATGCTCCTATGAGCATGACCTTTGTGCGTCTTGTCCACACTCAAAGAATTTCAGATTTTTCGATTAGGGATGCTCAACTTATATGAAGGGCTCCACCTCATCTCTCCCACAAATGACTCTCAAGAGACCCCTCCTTCCATGGGATACACAGATCACAGGAGGAGTTCCTATTTCAATGAAAGTGAAGGGAACATTTTCTGGCACAGCACTTGAGGGGGTTCACACAACTGGCCCCAACCTACCCTTGGCCCCCGTGTCTGTCCACTTCTCTGTATACACAGAGAACTTCTTTCTCTACACTGTGCCCATTCATGCCTCTATTCCTTCTGACTGGAAGCCCTTCCCTCCCTCCTCTGTCTTGCATATTTCTAGGCCTCTTGAGGACCCAGCTCAAAAGTCACTTCTGCAAAGGTTTCCCGGAGCCCCTCCTGCCACTGCCCAGCCATGCACAACCAGGCATCGTCACCTCCTTTGTTCTCTCATGTTTTGTACATGTCCCCCAGCAGAGGACTTTGCACCCAGTGGGAAGGGAGTGTGTGGGGGCCCTGCTCACTCTCTCCCCACCAGACTGGGGACTTCCTGAGGGCAGGCCCATGTCGCATTCACCACCATTTCCTGGTAAGTGGCTCAGTGCTGGGCAGGCACATACAAGGCAGGAAGTGAATGAGCCAGAAAACAAGACTCAGGCCCTCTCATAGAGTCCTCATGCTACAGCCTTACCACTAGGAAATGCTTACCAGCCACCTCTGGACAGACACTGAAAACGGAAACAACGGAACCCACCTTTATAGTAATCTGCCTCTTGGCAGGCTGGTGAACTGTAAACAGTAAAGCAGTTTGTGCAGCTTTAATAAACAAAAGCAAAACAGCACAAACCCTTGGGCCTTAGAATTCTTTAGGCTGGGCTCCTCTCCCCATCAGGAGGCTGCCCAGGCCAGATTGCCCAGGCCAGACTCCTCCAGCAGTGTCCAAGCCCAGAACATCCTTTCCCAAACCCTCTAACTTTAAAAGGGATGCATGTGTGCCTCACCTTGCAAAGGAACCTGATGAACTGCACATGGAGGTGGTCATAATTACAGTCCTAACAAATAAGAATGCTAGGCTGCTCAGTGTCTGCAGAAGGGAACATTTCAAGGCATCTCCCCATATAAGTCTCACAAGGGTCTGTACGGAGACTTCCTATTTGCTTCAGATGGCCTCTCAGGCCGTGATACTCAGCAGATGGGGAATAGGAGAGGAGACCTTAGGAAGCAGAGAGAAAGACTGGGGTCCCTGCACCTGTGCTCATGACTGGTGACTCCCTACCCACATCACAGAGCAAGGCCCAGGAGGCTCCAGGCTCAGCCCTCCTGCTGCCAGAACTCCATCCACATCCTACAACTGAAAATAGCATATATGTCAAGGGTATTGGTTTTGGTAACCCTAAAGGGCTATACCCCTTCACTAACATTTCATGAATAGCTACTTTATACCAGGCACTATATGCTGTGTCTTGGAGATACAGCGATGAACAAGCCTTGTTCTTATTTATAAAAACTTTTCAAATAACACATTCTGAGTTTTCTTCCCCCAAAACAGTCAATTTGGGTTGTTTTTCACTTGTACGTCAACTTAGAGTGGTAGTTGTTAATACCTGGAAAAACCAAAACAAAACAATAAAGACCTAGATACTTTACCACTCTCCTATTTGTTTTTCTTTTCTTTTTTTTTTTTTTTTTGAGAAGGAGTCTCGCTGTGTCATCCCGGCTGGAGTGCAGCAGTGCAGTCTCACTGCAACCTCCTCCTCCTGGGTTCAAGCGAGTCTCCTGCCTCAGTTTCCCAAGCAGCTGGGACTACAGGTGCGCGCCACTACACCCGGCTAATTTTTGTATTTTCAGTAGATAAGGGGTTTTGCCATGTTGGCCAGGCTGGTCTCGAACTCCTGACCTCAGGTGATCCACCTGCCTCGGCCTCCCAAAGTGCTGGGATTACAGGCATAAGCCACTGCACCCGGCTCACGCTCCTATTTCTAAATGAAATTAATAGGATTTCCTCTCCTTGGCAAGTAGCTGGATGCTATCCAGTGACTGGTTCTGCTTGTTTGATGGAAGGAGATCTTTCCACCCCAGGTATTGAGGAGATGTTGGTGCCCCAAGAGATGCTGCTCCCAGGACCCCCAATCTCCAGGGCATAGCCTTTGGACAAACACACTCCAACCCACAGCCCCAGACACTGTGTACCTCCAGGGGCAATTCCATCCTTCGAGGTGCTTTATACTTGTACATGAAATCCAGCAGGTCTTCCTCCTCGTCGTCAGAAAACGCCAATGGGTTTTGGACCTGGTGGGGCTCCCATGCCTTCATACCACCCTCATTCACATCTCCCTCAACCACTTAATGTCCATTTACAATCTACACAGATGAGACAAGGTATAGCAAGGAAGCATCAGTGCAGGGAGCAGGGAAGGGCAAGGTTAGGCACACAGCACAGCAAACCAGGCCTGTGAGGACAGCTGAGGCCCCTCGGTCTGAGGAAGCACTGATGTTTTGGGGGCCTCCTTACAGGGGATCTGGGATTGTGAAAGTGCAGTTGTGTGAATCTCCAGGCACTGTGCACAGAAACAACCACAGACTCAGAATCTACTGAATTCTGAGTAATTCAGTAGATTTACTAAGGGGGCATCACTTCCCTGGGTGAAGAAAGAAGCGGCTTTAACTGAGACACATCAATCCCTGCAGCTCAGTCCTGTGATCCCACACCAGGTGAATGCTCAGGGAAAGAATCTCCTCTAGAGAGGATGGCAGCAGTGATGTGGGGTGGGGTGGGAGAGCAGTTTCTATGTTGTACATACAAGCCATGTTGACATTGTATATTATACTTGCATATTCAATTCCAAGCATCCTGTAAGAGACAGGATATAAAATGCCAGGAGGCCTTAAGTGATAACCTTAAACAAAGCTATATAGTTTTTTTGTTTGTTTTTTTTTTTGCGAAGGCCCAGTCCTAGAGAAGCAGAGAAACCTAAGGAAGGAGAATCTGACAGATGCCTCTGCCAAAAAAAATGATAGCAAGATTCCTGTTTCAGTCTGCCTTGAATACATCTGCGGGAAAAGCTTCAGAATTAATTCATCTCATTGAACGCACAGTATTTTTTAAATGTTAAATGCTAATACATATTCCATGTCATCTGCTAGGCGGTTCTTAGTTGAGATGTAAAATATCTTCTGCCCCTACCCAGCTTATCTGGTATCACACACACACATTTTTCTATGCTGCATCTATTGTTTTTACCTAGAATCACAGAATGCAAGACTAAGGGGTTCTCAAGTCATCTGGTCCAATCACCGTGAGGCCTCCAGATAGAAACCACAGCTCTTCTTGAGACACCCTGCTCCTAAGAACATATTCAGCCACCGAATGTGCTCTCTCTCCATCAACAGTGGACTTGCTAGACTATACCACCACCAGGCGTGGAGTAAAAAAACAGACAACTGAACCCTAATCTTGGGCAGCTTTACCAGTTACCACTGCTGTGCTCCCCAACAGCCAGCAGGAAGCAGCACAACATGCAAAGCTGAATTTTAGGCTGGGGTGTGATTGGTTCAGACTGGGCCTTAGTAAGTAAAGTCCTGAGATCACTGATGTTCCTTTGATTTTTAAATTACTATTATTATTTTATTTCTACTCTGCACTTCCCTCAGCTTATTTACTCTGGGCTTAGTTTGTCCTCTGCTCCCTTCCTCTGTCCTAATCAGCTGCATCCTGTTGAGCACAAAGACCAGTGACTCCAGGGAGCCCTCGCTGAATACTCTGACCCTCCCTGGCCTCCCCACTCTGAGACCCGACAGTGCTTGGAGGCTGTGCCACACAGCTTGTGTTGGGTGCCCTGGTCCTCATGTCAGTCTCATTGCCTCAGCCAACAGAAGGCATCCTGAGACTGGGGGGCCATGGCTGATCCTCCCTCAGTCTCTCTGAGCACCTGACCCAGGGCTGGGCACACAGTGGCCACTCATCAACTAAACTAAATAGAATCCTGAAGTCATCTCAGAGAGCTCAGCTCTAGTCCCAAGTCAGAGCTTGACACCCCCATTAACCAAACCAGGAAATTCCTTCTGGACACAGATACCTCCTGCCTGGCAGGAGGGAAAAAAGACCAAAAGCCCTCAGACCAAGGCAAAAACTGCAGAAGCAGCCTGGCCAGCTCCACCCCAGCAGCCAACTCCATGACATGGAAGTGGGGTGGGTACCGGTTCGAGACTGTGCCTCTGCATATGCTGTACCCTCCACATCCAGGTCCAGGGCTTTCCCTGTACTGATGGTTGTGGGTGTCAGAAGGTGGCCCAAAGTCACCGTGAGATCCTCAGGCATCTAACAACCCAGGCTAGTTATCCAGTCTGGATTCACTGAGGCTGAGCAATGAACTCACACTTACCAAAATCACCATCATCACTATAATCTCAGGACTGAAACCAAAATGGCTTTGTGCATGTTCTCCACTGCAAGGATTGCAGGGTAGAAAAGAAATGACCCTCCAGCCCAGTAGGAGTGATGGTTCAAGGACAACCCAGATATCCAAGCAGGAATAGAAACAAGTGCTCAGCTCAGCAGAGGCTGGGAGCAAAAGAGGCCAGTGTGGGCAGTGAGGGAGCCAGAATAGCCTCAGGAAGAAGCTACAGAGAGAACCTCCTAAGAAGATAAGACATCTCCTAGTCACTGTGTCCGCTGAGCATTTCTGCCAAGAGTGTTGTCTATAATATTTGCCTTACTCTCAGAACCAGTGAGAATAAACATTCTAAATAAGACAAGCTTCCACGCCTCTAGCTGGCTGTTGCACAGTGGACTGAATCTCTTAATAATTGTATTTCCCTCTTTGCAGTGGTTTCAAGGAAGCCAGGTGTCTCAACAGTCTACACCTTGATGGTATGCATTTAAAATGTCCTTCTCCCCACTGATTCCATCTTACTTGCCCACTCCCTTCTCCCCATGCTTCAATTTTCTTACTTTGATTTGCTACTTTAGATATATTTCCACAAGTAGACCTAACTCCTTTTTATATCAGGAAGGAGTATAAATGGAGAAATGAACCCCACAGAACATAGTCCCAAAAGAGGGGCACCAGGAGGAGCAGGAGAGTGAGTAGCTGGGTAGAAAATCCCATGCTCTGCCTCCTCCATGTTCTTGTCCCTGAAGATCTAAAGATTGGTGACCCAACAGGTCCTTACCCCTGGCAACAGGCCTGAAAGAGTATTGCTATCCACATCTTAGTACTCTAATTGGCTCCCAGAGACAATGTGTGTGGGAGGAGGGTCTCCCGCCCAAGGTCATGGCCATAACAACTTGCAAACCTCAGGTGATGGTGGCCACGGCCTTGAGCCTGCAGAGCTGCCACTATGATGCCCAAAGCTGGGTTGCTTCTAGGAAAGGGCAGGGTTTCTGCCGTCTTCCACAGCAGGGGAATGGGTGTGTGGCCTTGGCTGATGTTTCTGTATTAGCAAATGTGTCAGCAGGGCTACAGCAGCCAGGGCTGCAGGCTCCACCTCTTCTCTCTGTGGGGAAGGGAGGGAGGGAGAAACTGGCAGAGCCTCTCAGCCCTTTAAAGGCCTGTGTAGCCTGCAGTGGGCCCAGGGCTGCCGCACCCCTGCAGTGCAGCAGAACCTCCCCCAGGTTAGCAAAAACATCCCACACAGCACACATTAGCGGGAGCATTAATGGAAGGCAGCAAATGTCTGCAGAAGAGCACGCCTGTCTGGAACACTTACATCCACGTCCCCAACAGCACCGAGGAGAGAGAAAAGAACATTCCGTTAGAGAAGGGTCTTTGGCACTAAAACTCACACGTGTGCACCATGCACACATCCCCATCCACACACACTCACACACAGACACACTCACATACACACATGTAGACACACACATGCTCACTCACTTCCCATGCTCTAAACCTCAGGCAGCTCCTCCTGCTATAATCAGAAGGACACTGCCCAGAGGCCACACTCAAAATGCAATTCTCTCTCTCTCTCTCTCTCTCTCTCTGAGAGGACAAAAAGGATGACTGCTTTTAAAAATTATGTCCTACATGCTTGATTTTAAAAGGGGGGGAGGGACACCTCTATGACTAACCACACAGGCAGTAATCCAGAGTTCAGTTCTATATGACATAGAGGTAGGCAGAGAAAAAAAAAAAGAGAGAGAGAGATAATAATAGACACACAGAAAAAGAGAGACAAAGACATGCAGAAAACAATAGGGAATCAGTTGACAAATGGGGCAGGAACAGAGCAAAGATGGGAAAAGAATGTTCTGGCATCTGAGATGTGCAGCTTAGAATAGAGGCTGCTGCCCCTGGGGCCTCTAAGCTCTGTCACTGCCCTAAAAGGCACTTAGCAGCCTCCGAAATGCCTCCTTTCCCTACCCCCATCATGAATTAAGACCTGAATTTACAACTCCTAGAAAATGTTCCTGTCTGCTGAGGGATCCTGGGGCTCTGCATGGCCCCAGAGGTAATTTGAATCTTCCCAGGCTTTGGCCTGAGTGAGCACCCCTTGTGACAACATTTCAGGGGACCAGGAGGAAAGTGTCCCCGACAACTGTGAAATCCTCTTACTGCTTAAGAGTCAGCCTATAGCCCCAGGTGCAAGACAGACCTCCCCCAACACCATCTGCCACCACTGCACAATCCAGTAGAGACTGTCAGAGCTGGGAGGACCAAGGGACACCTCATGGAGGGGGAGACTGAGGCCTGCAGAGTGCAGGGGCTTTCCCAAGGCCTCAGAGGGAATGGTGTAGGCCAATCATCAAAGGGTTCCTTGCATGCAGACCTGAGAGCCAGGGCACAGGTATTAAGAGGCCCTTGGAGAGGCGGAGGTCCAAGAAAGGAAGGGCTAGGACAACGGCTTCCAGGTCTTGAGGCCACCACCAGGCCTCACCTGCTTCCCGCTGTCCAGCAACCCCCATCCCAGCAGCAACCAACCTGCTCGGGGATAAGGAACCAGAACTTGGACACTGAATCCTGGACACACTCTTATGCACATGCAGCCTTCCAGAACTATTCAGTTCCTACAATCAACCACAGCTCTATTGAAATGCACTGGAAACACTGTGTCTGATCATGAAACCACCAGATGTCATGGCAGGGAAGGGCTTCTGAGAGCAGCACAGAGCAGTGTCAGGGGAAGAATGGAGGACAGGGCAGCCACTCTCCCCGACCCCCAAGTGCCAATCTCCCAGAATTAGAGGCTTTTGGAATGGCTCACAGAATTTGCAGACTCAAAACTACAGTGTGAATAGACAGAAATCCCTGCAATTGCCTGGAGCCACTGGCACCACAGGGTCATTTCCCATGAACTAGTGTGTCCACCAGGCCAGCGTCTAGTGCCCGGTGCTGGAAACAGCTGAACGCAGCCCCTTCATTTCCAACTTGGACCAGGAGGCCCCACAGGGACACAGGGTTAGTCAGAGCTGGGCTGGGACGCTTCTCTCCATCTGCAGCCCTGCTCAGACTCCTCTGTCAGTTCAGTTTGGCCTTATGGCCTCCAGAATCCCCAGCTTTTTTGTTTTTTTAGATGGAGTTTCACTCTTGTTGCCCAGGCTGGAGTGCAATGGCATGATATCGGCTCACCGCAACCTCTGCCTCCCGGATTCAAGCGATTGTCCTGCCTCAGCCTCTCGAGTAGCTGGGATTACAGGCATGTGCCACCTCACCCGGCTAATTTTATATTTTTAGTAGAGATGGGGTTTCTCCATGTTCGTCAGGCTGGTCTCGAACTCCCGACCTCAAGTGATCTGCCTGCCTCGGTCTCCCAAAGTGCTGGGATTACAGGTGTGAGCCACTGCGCCTGTCCTAATCCCCAGCTCTTCTATAAAGGACTTAAAAAGCTGAGCACTGAGAGCCTTAAAAATAAAGCAATGCAGGGAAAACAGGACACGTCACATAATGCAGTTTCCTGTCTTGCTCACTGCCGATGTGGGAGGGGCATGTCATGCCTCCGCGGCACCAGGGCTGGAGCAAAAGCTATATTAGGCACCTTGCGTGCCTTCCTTCCTCCCCTGACACCAGCCAGCAGGCTGCAGGCCAGGCACGGCCCCTCTTGCCTTCCAAGCCTAAGGCAGCTTCTCTATGGGGAGCCAGGCAGTGTGAAAGGGGCACTGGATTAGTCCAGGACCCTCACTAGTCCCTAATGTGTCTACTTAAGGTTAGGCAACTGGAGAAGCAGGTCATGGCAACCACCAGGTGGCTGTGGCTCCAACAAGCCATCACTCACACGCTGGGAGGGCAGCAACAGGAGTCTCTGTCCAGAACCGGGAGACCTCCACTCTCCCTGGGGTCTCCTGGATGCTCCAGGCTATCACCACCACCACCACCACCACCACCACCACCACCACCACCATCATCACCACCACCACCACCACCATCATCATCATCATCATCCTCATCATCCTTCCCAGGATTATTATGGCCCTTTCACAGCCACTTTCACAACAGCACAGTGAGGCCGGGAAGCAGGGATCTCATCTCCGTTTTAAGAGGAGGAACTGAAGCTCACAGCGGTTAGGTGATTCACGCAAAGTTGCACAGCAAGTAAGTGGCAAAGCAGGAACAGGGCTCCCTTGGCTGCCCCAGGACCAGAAACCCCTGGAACTTCAGGACTTCATCATTTCAGAGGACCTTAGTCCTCTGAAGTTCCTGTGTCCTTACCTGGAGCACAAGGAAGTATGACCCTGTTGTGGCTTTTTCTTTTCTTTTTTTTTTTTTTTTTTTGAGACAGGGTCTTGCTCTGTCACCCAGCTTGAGTGCAATGGCACGATCATGGCTCACTGCAACCTTGATTTCCCAGGCTCAAGCAATTCTCCTGCCTCAGCCTCTCAAGTAGTTGGGACTACAGGTGCACACCAGCACACCTGGCTTTTTTTTTTTTTTAATTGTAGAGATTAATTCTTGCTATATTGCCCAGGTTGGTCTCGAACTCCTGGGCTCAAGAAATCCTCCCACTTCTGCCTCCCAAAGTTCTGGGATTACAGGCATGAGCCACCCCGCCCAGTGACCCTGTGGTGGTTTTAAGATATCTCCACACATTCTTTGATACTCCTCCCTTCAAGAGGTGGAGATTAATTCTCCTCCCCTTGAATGTGGGCTGTGCTTAATGACTTGCTTCCAACAAATAGAATAAGGCAGAAGTGATGAGTGTGACTTCAAAACCTAGGACAGAAAAGGTACCCTGGCTTCCTGCCTGCCCTCTATCTCTTGAATGGCTCACTCTAGGCCAGGCCACCTGCCACGTTGTAAGGACTCTTAAGCAGCCTTGGAGAGGCCCAGCCAACAGCCATAAGAGTGCCATCTTGAAAGTGGACCCTCCAGTTTCGTCAAGCCCTCCGATAACTCAGCCCAGGCTGACATCTTGACTGCAGCCTCTTGAGAGACCCTGAGCTAGAACCACCCAGTTAAGCTGCTCCCAGATTTCTAGCCCACAGGAACTGTAAGCTACTGTGTTTGCTGTTATAAAGGGTTAACCTCCTGACCCCTCCCTATGACCATGCAGCTGAAAGGGAGCCCCAGGGTCAGGTGCCCACTCCTGGTTAGAAGCTCTTTCCGAGTGAGAGTCCAGCACGCTGCGGAGAGGCTGGCTGCTTACTCACCTTTCCAGGTCCTGCAGGTGGAGCAGCAGGTACACACTGTGGGAATGGGGTAGGGGCACCATCAGTGACATCCCCCACTGGACAGGAACCAGCCCCGGGCAAACAGGGAGGCCCTGGAGAGGTGTGGGGATCCCAGTGTGTACAATATAGGGATCCCAGGAAGGTGGGTCTCTGTAGAGACACCAAAGTGGGGAAAGAGTCATCTCAGATTCAGTTTCTGCTCAGGTGCAGAAGATACCCTCACCTGGCACACAAAGTCAGTCCTTGCACCCTGCAGCCCTAGGGAAGGCCGGAGACAGAGTCAAAGTTCCCTCTGGAAAATAACTCCAAGCACCCCTGCCCAAAGCCTCCTCCTCTCTTTGCTTTCCAGTTCAGAATGTCCTCCAGGAAACCTCCCCAGACTTACCTCTGAACCCCAAAGTGCTTCGCATCTGGGCATTTGCAAAGGCCTAACTGGCTGCTGCCTTGTACACGCCATTGGTCTTGGTGCACATCTGGGCCTTGGCAATAGAGTAGGTGCTCACTAAATACATGCTCACTGAGTGACTCCAAGTCCATGGAAGGCCAGGATCATTCTTTCAACATTTCTTGTACACTTCCTGGTGTCCAGTGCTAGGCATTCAGCATATGGTATCTGACTACACACCTTCCAGCTCATTCTGCAGGGAGGGCCATGTCAGTCCCTGCCTGCCCTGACCCTTTAAGCAAAGAGGAAAACTCCAGGCAAGAGAGAGGGTCAGGCCAAGTACACTGCCCAGCCCCATCCTGGGTGCTGAAAGCAACAGGAAAGAACTCTCCTTCCCCTTCTCCAACGCCTAGACCCTGTGTCCTCACTGCACATACAGAGGTCTCTGTGTGCCAGGCATGTGGTGAGTATGTTGGGTAGGCATTTACAGAGGGAAGCACAGAACCCTTGTCTGCCTGCCAGGAGCTTGCAGCGCTGAGTGACCGTGCAGGGACAGTCTTTGTGCCCCTTCCTCCCTTCCTCGTTTGTGTGCATCTTCCTCCCTTTTCTCAAGATGCAGGAGGTCACATGGATGTCCCTTCTTGGCTCACAGCAAATGGTCCACACTGGTTCATGGGATCCCCTTCACTTTTTTTTTTTTTTTTAATGAGACAGAGTTTCACTCTTGTTGCCCAGGCT
Source organism: Homo sapiens (assembly GCF_000001405.40). NCBI lineage: Eukaryota > Metazoa > Chordata > Mammalia > Primates > Hominidae > Homo > Homo sapiens. The sequence goes on from NC_000002.12 coordinate 86,228,507, forward strand.
GGAGTGCAATGGCATGATCTCAGCTCACCGCAACCTCTGCCTCCCGGGTTCAAGCAATTCTCCAGCCTCAGCCTCCCGAGTAGCTGGGATTACAGGCACCCGCCTTCACGCCCAGCTAATTTTGTATTTTTAGTAGAGACAGGGTTTCTCTGTGTTGGTCAGGCTGGTCTCAAACTCTCTACCTCAGGTGATCCACCCGCCTTGGCCTCCCAAAGTGCTGGGATTACAGGCGTGAGTCACCGCGCCTGGCAACCCTTTTTATGTGCCTTTACATGACTTTTATTCCCACACCCCACTCACATTCTCCTTCCTCCTCAAGGAGTGTCACTTTTAATATTTTAATGTGCAACTTTTTGTTTGAACATGTTCTTCATATAAACTCCGTATTGTTACTTTGCATGATAGGCATATATTTTTTACATAAATTGTTAGATAAAATCTCATTCTGTTTTGCACTTTTCTTCACCTGGCATCATGCTTTCAAGTTCCACTGTGTGCACCCTTAATCTGTTGCTTCCAGCAGCTGCAGAGAATTCCACGAGGTGCAGCTCCCACCTCTCTCCAGGTTGTCTTCAACCCCTGCCACCTGTCCAGGGTTTGCAAATTCTCTGGTTTGCTCTCCTCACAACCCTAAGACATAGGCTGAATAGGGACTATTCGGTCTTTTTTACAAAGAAGAAAGCCTGAGGGAATCAGGTCTGTCCTCTGTGCCAAGGCCAAATCTATGGTAGCGACTGCCTGGGTTGTTCTGAGAGAAGTTCTGAGGCTGAATTGAGGCTCAGGAGGAAGGAGCATGCCTTGCTGTGCTGCATTTGCTGTGTCTGCACAGGCCCGGCATCACCCAGCCAGGATGAAGTCTAGCCTCTTCCCCTTTTCTGGGGCCCTTTCTGCTACCTGATCTGGCCTGGCATCTGAGGCCCACACTGGGGGCTGAGCTGGGGAGAGTACACCAGCCCGGTATAAATTGGCTTCCTCTGCCAGACTTCCTCCTAGGCATGTTGACCTTACTTCAGGGTATGATAGCCCAAGAGCCTCTGACCCAGGAAATTCTGCCCCATATCCACGCCCCAGGCCATCTTTCACCTGTCTTCCTTTTTTTTTTTTTTTTTTTTTTTTTTTAAAGATGGAGTTTCACTCTTGTTGCCCAGACTGGAGTGCAATGGTGCAATCTCATCTCACTGCAACCTCCGCCTCCCCGATTCAAGCGATTCTCCTGCCTCAGCTACTCCATGAGTAGCTGGGATTACAGGCATGCACCACCACGCCTGGCTAATTTTGTGTTTTTAGTAGAGACGGGGTTTCTCCATGTTGGTCAGGCTGGTCTTGAACTCCCGACCTCTGGTGATCCACCCTCCTCAGCCTCCCAAAGTGCTGGGATTACAGGCGTGAACCACTACACCCAGCTCCTGTCTTCCTTTTTGAGATGGCTTTTATTTTAGGCTCCAGAACAGCTGGAAAGAGCACTACACTGTCCTTGGCCTCCCTGCTGGGTTGCACCTTTCCTCTTTGCCCCCTGTGGTCATAGGTGCGGAGGCCAAGGGGGCCAGCAGTGAGGAGGGCTGGGGCATAATGCAGCACAGCTGGTCCTCTCAGCCTGGGACAGCCAGAACACTCCCCACTGCCTCCCTGGGGCATGGCAGGGGACGTCATCACCTCTGCTCATGGAGAGTGGCAGAGCCAGTGCCAAAGCAAATCATCCCAAATGCTTTTCTACCTGATGCTGGGCTGGGAAGATACTCCAGGCCCAGAAGACACTGCCATCTCCCTGCAGACCCTGCCAGCTTCTTGCATTCCCAGTTCTGAGGCTGCCCTGAATAATTCACCAGGGGAGGTCTAGGCAGGAGGCCTGGATTCTGGGCCTGGGGGCCTCAGCCCAGTGCACAACCTCTCTGAGCCTGCTTCCTCCACTGGGCTCACCTCTAAAATGGCAACACAGACTCTTAGAGGCAAAGGGACGCCAGGGCCACCTAAGCCCGCTTCCTAGCCAAAGCAGGAATCCCTCCCTCGAACCTGACCATCCAGCTTTGGCTTGTGTCCTTCCAATGTCAGGGACCTCACTACCTCCCAAGATGGCCCATTTTGCTCCTGGACACTTGCAGCATGACAATGCGCCTTCTCAGGAGAGACAAATTACAAAAAGAACAATGATAACAGCTACTATGCACTGGCGCCAGGCATGGCCATAAGCACTTTCACATGGCTGGTTTCATTTGAAGCCTCACAACAACTCTACAAAGGGGTGTCATTCCTTGTGTAGATAAGAAATCTAGGGTGCAGAGATGGTAAATAGCTCGCCCGGGTCATGCGGCGAGCAAGTGGCTACCCCCTTCGAACTTCACCCCACTGGTTCTTGCTCTCTGCCCTCTGGGTTTTACTGAATTGAGGCCCCTTTTCCATCTAAGGGGCAGCTTTCATCTGAGGCTTGGTAGATGATGAGCTGATGCAGTGTGGAGATGAGACTTAACTCTGTTTTGTATCCCTATTTCTGGGGCAGTGTCCGGCAGATCAGAAGCTGTAGATGCTTGACAAAGCCTGGATGGTTGATGAGTGAGTGACCATGGGCACTGGCCCCGGAGTCAGAAGGCCACGCTCTACTGCAGCCCAGCATGGGTGACCCTGCACAGTCCCCTTCTCTGGACCTCTGTCTCTTCACCAGTAAAATCACTGGGTTTGACTGAAAGATCCCTGAGGTCATTTCCTGTCTGGCCTTTTGGGATTCCATTCCTGGGGGGGGGTCCCTCGGGGGGTAACCCCTCCCTGAGGTGGCCATCACCCCCACAGCCGAGCCTCCACCTCCCCAACCCTGCCCTGCTTCCAGCAGTGACAGGGTTAAAACATCTCCCAACAGAAAAGCCACAGTCTTAAGACCTGCGAAGGGCCAAGGGGACACTGCTGAGAGGGAGGAAATGGACGGAGCCCTGAGCTGCACTTGGCTCTGAGCATGAGTTGCCATTCCCAGGCAGCCGCAGGCCTCATGCCTTCCTGTTGATGGCTAAGACCCCCGGGCATCAGATGGGGTCTGTCAGGACATGGGGCTTATGGCCAAGGTGTCCCCTGCAGGCTGCATAGTCACAGGTGGCCAGACATCTCTGTTTATAGATTTAAGGGCCACGCAGTCACCAGACAGACATTGTGGACATAGATTCCCACCCTTCTCACCACAGCGAGGCAGAAGTGGTGATCCAGAACCGTCCCCCACCCCCCCACCATCAGTCCTGGGCAGCTGCTGTGCTCAGCCCCTGAGACCCAAGGCCCCTGGCATCCTCCCAAGGAGCAGCCTGGGAAACTGTGTGCCCCCACCCTCCATGAGCCTGAAACCCGTGCTGGTGGATCCGATGTCGGGGGGTCCCAAACACGGCTGCATCTCAATGAAAATCACACTTCTGGGTCTCACCCCAGACCTACTGAAGCCTCTGCGGATGGGCCCAGGACTTTGCATGTTTAACGAGGTCCCCAGGTCAGTCCCAATACCAGCAATCCCACGATGGGCGTGTGACACCAGAGTCAGACATTGGAGGCAGAGGTGTGGTTACTGTAAGGTCCTGGTCACCACAGGAACAAGAACTCAGAGCTAGCATGGCCCTTGGTATGCAGAGGCTGGGGGTGGTGTGAGGTACATGAGAGGTCAGAGATGAGAAGGAGACAGCAGAGTGAGAGAGAGGACAGGCAATATTCAGGCAGGGAAGAGGGCCCGTGAGAGCAGTAAGCCCCGGGTGAGAAGACAACACTTAGGTATCAACAGGTATGCCTCCCCGGAGTCTGAGAAGACAACACAGAAGGCTCCCGGGGCCCAGGTCCAGTTGTGCCTGCTGCCTCCAGGCTTTGCCTAGACACTAGCCCCCAACTACCCCCAATTCCCCAGACAATCATATGGAGGAAAGGGGACCCTTTGGTGCAGGTGACCTAGCCCTGTCCCTGATCAGTCACCAGGCTGGTTTCCTGGCCGGGCCTGAGGGGTGCTCCGCCCCTTGGCTGACCTGGCATGATCTGATGGACACCCCGTTGGTGGCAGGTCCGTGGGGCCAGGGCCAGGCTGCATGCCACACTGCGGACTGGGCCTCTCTCAATGAAAGCGAGGCCCAAGGAGTGGGAAAGAGGGGAAGTAAAGTGACACCTACCTGAGCTGCTAGCGCTCTCAGAAGCACTCCTGGACATCTTAGGCTGGCCGTGTTTGCCGCTGGCCCGCCCAGACCCCGGTGGTGGGGGGCCCGAGGGAGCAGGGGCGCCGTCTCCCCTGATGGTGGTGAGGTCCTGCATGCTGAAGCTCCGCAGTCTCTCCGATAAGGCACCCTGTCCCTGGATACAACACAGGAGGGGCACACGTCAGAGGTCCTGCTCCACAGGTCACACTCGACAAAGGCCAAGAGGGAGCTCTGATGGTCAGCCAGGTGGAAATCAAGACCTGGATCAACTCTGAGGCGCAGGTGCCCAGACATAGCTGCTGGAAACACAGAGAGGGTCAAATCCCGGAATTTTCCAGGGCCTCCTCTGGGGCTCAGTAATTGCTCCTTTGGCTCCAGGATCCCTCCCTACCCTCAGACACCACTATGATGATACGATGATACGATGATGATCCGGAGCCTCAGACAGACCCAGGGCCAAGGGCGTGACTACTGCCTGCAGCTCCTACTCCTTCCAGGCCACCTGCTGCTTCTCTTGCTTTGCATAAATAAAAATCCACATGTATCTCCATTTTTCTCAGTACATGAGAATCTGGTCAGGCAATCAAAACCTAATATTCTATGTGCTTGGTTCTTATTATTTTCAAAGGACACAAAATACAGACAATATTTTTCTAAATGTTTGACAACAGAAATTTCTTTTATTTGTATAGCATATTACTGTCTACGAGGCACATTTACTTCTGCTGGTGCATTTCAGCTTCATAAAATACCCAAAAGGTAATGAATCAGAAAGGAAAAAAATGATTTAAAAAAACCCTGCTGATTGTAACCATTTCATATTCTGAGGGAGACAGAGAATTAATCTCGGGGGGAATTGTTCTTTTATTTAGAAAGCAAGATCAATCCATTTTACTTACGAAAGAGCAGCTCCTCACTGTCTGGATGAGAGAATGTGTCAGAGTGAAAATGATCACAGTGAAGGCTCAGGGATGGTGGCATTGCTTTAAGTGTGCCTCAGGGGCTGCAGAGAGAGGTTATGGAAACCTGAGAGTGGGAGGAGACTGGGGAAATTGAGAATCGGCTAGGATTTGGAGCAAGAAGTGACAGGCAAGTAACTACCAGGCAAATGAATGAACTCAGACATCTTCAGAAAGAAGAAAGCCTGGAGGGTGTGCAGGGTTCCCTCGGGTGCATGGCACTGCAGTGGCATGGGAGAGGTTTTCTATGCCACTTGGATAATGAAGGAAAGAGTGGTCCCAGAGATCTGGGGGACAGGGGGACAATACTGCACAACAGACATAACAGAACCAACAAATCAGCACAAAATCAATTCAAGCCGCTGACAAGAGGGCTGCTGGTGGGATTGATGAAATAAGCAAGGGCCAAAACAGTTGAGTAAGAGGTTTTCAGGGGTGAGAGAAGGGTTTGGAAGATTTTTTTCATTTTACTTAATATAAAAAATAATGAAAATGAACCAACAAAGCACAGCAATTCGCTGAAGTGAAAAATCCAGATAGGATCAAGGAGCAGACGCAAAATGAGTTCATTAGAGGGGAGGGGGAAAAAAAGGGGCTTGCAGTCAGGTTTAGAAGAAACGCCAGAAGAGGGCAGGCGTGGTGGCTCATGCCTGTAATCCCAGTACTTTGGGAGGCTGAGGCAGGAGGATTGCTTGAGTCCAGGAGTTCGAGACCAGCCTGGGCAACAAGCGAGACCCTGTATCTACAAAAAATTTTAAAAACTAGCTGGGCATGGTGGTATATGTCTGTAGTTCCGGCTACTCGGGACACTGAGGTGGGAGGACCGCCTGAGCCCAAGAGGTAGAGCCTGCAGTGAGCCGGGATCATACCACTGCACTCTAGTCTGGGCAACAGAGTGAGGCCCTGTCTCAAAAAAATAAAAAGAAAGAAAGAAGTGCCAGACTAAAAGCAAGATGCACTAAAATATGAACTAGATCTGTTCCCAACCTACCAAAGATATAAAAACCATGTCACCAGGAAACCAACAACAATAACACAAAGAAAACTATTTAAAAAGAATTGTAAGTCCAGGCCAAGAAGTATTTGGAGGATATTATATGAAAAAAGACAGAAATCACCCTGGTTGCCTCAGACACTGCTCTAGAGTGATGGTTGGGCAAGGGTCCAAGGTCTCACGTCCTTGGCAGGAACAGCTGGGTGGTCTCTGCCAGCAAAATGGAGGCTGGACCAGCCAGACACCCATTATATAACCCCTTCAAATATAGCAGCCAATGATCCATGATTATTTTACGCAGAAACATTCTAGGCAGCATCTAGAATTTAGAAGAAATTTGATGACTAAGGAACAAAACTTGATTCTGAAATGAGTGAGAAAATATTCTGCTAATTATAAGTGAGTAACTCAATGTTAGGTTAGTGTTCAAGCAAACTGTTCACTGACTCACTCTTTCATTCATCCTCTCATTTCTTCGTTTACTTTACTTGTTCAACAATTACCAAGTACTTTTTATGGGCAAGAACATGGTGCTAGGTGCTAACATGAAACACCAAAAATACAGTTTGATTTCTGAGAAAGCGGAGAACGACAAATGTACAGATACAACACAGAAGTATCCTAGCAGAAGCTACAGAAAGTGAAGATTGAGAACAGCAGTTCTTGAGTCAGGCCTTGATTCAAATTCCAGCCCTGTCATTCAACAGCTGAGTGATCTTAACCTCTCTCCACCTCAAGACCTTCATTTGCAGAAGAGGATCCAAATGGCCGGCTGCTCGTGCGGATTCAATGAGATTACATCCTTAAGATACCCATCACATAGCCCATTGCATATTTAGTCTTCAAAAATGTCAACTATGATGATAATGATGTTGATGCTGTGGCTACTGCCTAAGATACAAAGGTTGCTATTGAAAGCTATTGAAAGCTGCCTAAGACACAAAGGTTGCTATTGAAAGCAGAGGTGGAAAAGGTCACTTCCTAAGCTTCATGACCCCAAGCCCAAATAAACGGCCAGGGACGAATTCCCTCAACACAGTTTGCCAGTTCTTGCTCATTGTCGCTCAGCAACATATGTGAGAGAAAGCAACAGCAGGCATCGTACACGTTCATTTTAGCAAAGTGCTCCATTCAACTCCCAGAAGCCAGCCAGTCTAGCTCCAATATCACACTGGCAGTGGCAGAGGTTAGGAAAGAGAGGGAGATAATAATAGCTCAGTATCAACCTAGGCCTGTGTCAGAGGAAATTATAGTGGCATAGATACAAGACTCCTGAAAACAAATTAGCCCTTGCCCATCAAAACACTCTGAGATGGTTAAAATCAGTATGCCTGACCGGGCGCGGTGGTTCACGCCTGTAATCCCAGCACTTTGGGAGGCCGAGGCAGGTGGATCACTTGAGGTCAGGAGTTTGAGACCAGGCTGACCAACATGGTGAAACCCCATCTCTACTAAAAATATAAAATTAGCCAGGCGTGGTGGTGCACGCCTGTAATCTCAGCTACTTGGGAGGCTGAGGCAGGAGAATCTTTTGAACCCGGGAGGTGGAGGTTGCAGTGAGCCAAGATCATGCCATTGCACTCCAGCCTGGGCAACAAGAGCAAAAACTTCATCTCAAAAAAAAAAAAAATCAACATGCCTCTCTCTTTTGTAAACCTTTCAGCCCTTCTCAGTCTCTACACAAAATCTCATTCCTATTCACTTTCCACAAACCCCATTCCACACTGTCTGTTCAGCTCCGCTCTGCAGAATCTTTGTTATTCTAGACCATTGTCTTCTGGGAAGAACCACGAGTTGTTCATTGGTATTCTGCAAAATTGGTTTCCCTACTTTGGGGAAATAAATTTGGATTCTCTAAATTTGGAAAGCATTAATACCATATTCCCCATAATTCCATGAGCCACATTATCATACTAAAAGCTCTGAGAAGGCCCATCTGGTGGTGCATGCCTGCAATCCCAGCACTTTGGAGGATGAGGGGGGAGGATTTCTGGAGCCCAGGAGTTCAAGACCAGCCCGGGCAACATAGGTAGATCCCGTTTCTATTTTTAAAATTTAAAAAGACATCGCTAAGTCACCAGAATAATAATGACAACACCCACCTACTCCTAGACTTCTTGAAAATGATTTTCATCAATTTTTTTTTTTTTTTCGAGATGGAGTCTCACTCTGTCGCCCAGGCTGGAGTGCAGTGGTGCAATCTCGGCTCACTGCAACTCCGCCTCCCGCGTTCACGCATTCTCTTGCCTCAACCTCCAGAGTAGCTGGGACAACAGGTGCCCGCCACCACGCCTGGCTAATTTTTTGTATTTTTAGTAGAGACGGGGTTTCACCGTGTTAGCCAGGATGGTCTCGATCTCCTGACCTCGTAATCCGCCCGCCTTGGCCTCCCAAAGTGCTGGGATTACAGGCGTGAGCCACCGCGCCCAGCAGATTTTCATCAATTTTAAGACGTATTTTTCATCTCTGAAATTGGGGTGGGTCTTACAATTGCTGCCGCCCTGACATCATTGTCAACGCCTACACATAGATATACTTGGTTGTTATTCTCCCTGGCATAACTGGACAACTGAAGCCCCTGAGTGTTTAATTAACAAACCATTTAAGAACTGTTTGAGAAAGGAATATGAATCTCAGTTGTCTAACACATATCTCACTGACACTTTCTGGTATGATCAAGAAAGTGGCAGCATCAAAACTGGCATGAATGAAAATCCCAGAAACAACAGCTCGACATCACCCAACACACTAGAAGGAACAGAGAATGATATGGCATGGTCATAAGTGGATACTGACACGCCGAGCTGAAAAGTGATTCGGGAGACTCTGAAAGTGAAAAAGTGAGGTTAGAGAGATCTTAACCACTTATTGTGCTAATGCGTTCCTTTTTATTTTCTTTCTCTCTTTTTGTTTTTTCTGTTGTTGTTGTTGTTTGTTTGAGATGGAGTTTCACTCTTGTCAGCCAGGCTGGAGTGCAATGGCACAATCTTGGCTCACTGCAACCTCTGCCTCCCAGGTTCAAAAGATTCTTCTGTCTCAGACTCCTGAGTAGCTGGGATCACAGGTGGCCACCACCACGCCCGGCTAATTTTTGTATTTTTAGTAGAGACGGGGTTTCACCTTATTGGTCAGGCTGGTCTCGAACTCCTGACCTCAGGTGATCCACCCACCTTGGTCTCCCAAAGTGCTGGAACAGGTGTGAGCCACCGTGCCCAGCTGTGTTCCTTTTAATGTATTTATAAAAGTGACAAAAAAAAGATGTCTAAGAGTCTTTTTGATAAGAAGAAATAAACATTCTGGCTGGGCGCAGTGGCTCATGCCTGTAATCCCAGCACTTTGGAAGGCCAAGGTGAGTGGATCACCTGAGGTCGGGAGTTTGAGACCAGCCTGTCCAACATGGAGAAACTCCATCTCTACTAAAAATACAAAATTAGCCAGGCATGGTGGTGCATGCCTATAATCCCAGCTACTCTGGAGGCTGAGGCAGGAGAATCGCTTGAACCCGGGAGGCAGAGGTTGAGGTGAGCCGAGATCGTGCCATTGCACTCCAGCCTGGACAACAAGAGCAAAACTCTGTCTCAAAAATAGTAATAATAAATAAATAAATAAACATTCTAAGTGAAAAAACATTGTGTCCTAATTTAATTGGCAATATTATCTTTCTTAGTGGAACATAAGATAATGATGTGTCTCAGAAACCACAGCTTTTTAGATTCAATGAAATATGGTTGCACTTCTCAGAGCAGCTTTCTCTACTCATCCCAGTTCCCTGTAAATGCTGTCACTACAGCCTTTGAGCTGTACTTCTCTCTTGTACTCCACACAATGATATTTAAATATTGCTATTGTCTGTTTTATTCACTATTGCAGCCTTGGCATCTGCCACTCTACTTGATACATATTTGGGGTTAAGGAGTTGCATGAATGAACGTATGACCATTTATGGAGCTGCCGCCTGGGTGAAGCGTGACAGTGGGAAATCCCCACCTCAGCCTGATGCATCAGCCAGGGTCCCAGACCTGAAAGAGGATCCTGCTGAACAAGCCTTGAGATGTGTCTGCAAGGAGCGTATAAGAAGTGTCAGAGGGCTGTGGGTGCACAGGGCAGAAGGCACACATCAGAGAGGCAAGGCATCCCAGAGGAGACTGCGCTTGAACTTGGGTGGGTGGAGGACTTGGGTAGGTGAAGATAGAAACCAGGTAGAAAAAGAAGGAATGTGTGTTAGTATTTGTCACCACTGAGAGCGGCCACTTCAATCCACCCCAAGTGAGGTCTTTGTAGTTTTGTGTGCTAAGGGGATGGGGGTCCACTTATACCTTGTTCATGGCCAGGGATGTATCTGAATAGCGGAAATGCCTGCAGAAAGGCTACGTGGTTTCTTCGTAAACAACCATGCCAGTAGAAGGCAGGGGTAAGAGTAAGACTTACTCTTCACTGGACACTCTCTTTTGTCCTTTTATAATTCTGCACCAAGAACATGCATTACCTTTAAAAAATCAGTACAATTTAATTTTCAGTAACACCCACAGCACTCACTCAAGGTCACCCTGAGGACCTCATTTTGTGAATATACAGTGTGCATGATGCTGACCAATGCCATCTAGACCAAAAAAAAAAAAAAAAAAAAAAAAAGACATAGGAGTAATTAAAACAGCAATAACAGCAACACAGAACTAAGAAGGAGCACATGGTATCTCCAGAAACCGAATGAGTGTTGAGCCCTTAATGAGGTCCTCTTTTCCAGAGGGACACACCAAGTCACAGGGGAAGGCTCCAGCAAAGCACGAAGTTTAGCCCATCTCACTTGACACAATATCTAATGCCTGCTACTGAGGACAACAACAATAAAGACAAAGGGTTTTAGTGAGTCAGGAAATTGATAACAAAGCCACCAGCACAACCGCATTTCCCACCAGTAATTCAGAAGGAGTTAGTACTTCCTTCCAAACCCCATGGGGTGCCCGCCTCACTGGTGGAGTGAGCCTCCACAGCCATACATGCGCCACATCCAAGCCAAGCAGGCTCCCAATGACATGCTGCATGAGGACCAGGCCCTTGTCTGTGACACAAAATGGGATTAACAAACCAAACAGAGAAGGAGAATTTCTACTGCAATAGCATCCATCATCAAATTCAATCCATTCTCCAGGCATTAAACAAAGAAAAGAAAAAACCCAAGTAAGTTAATCACATGTTAGATGCTACCAAATTCACACCATAAGAGTCTCTGGAAAGACGATGAAGTGGGGCCTGGCTCCGTGTGCCCCACATGGATTAACACACATGCACACGCAGGTGCCGAGGCAGGGGGGACACCTGCCTCTGATCCAGACCACGTGCTGGTGAGCAGAGCCGGTGGCCTGGCCTCGCTGCCCAACTGGATCAGTTTGGAGTTAGTCACACCTCTCAACAGGGTTACCTGCCCTTCTCTCAGGTCCAAAGAGAAGATAAAATGAAAGAGTCGAGCCACCTGATAAAGGGGAAAAGGAGAAAAAAGCCATGGGCACCAAGGCAATAAAATGGAGTTGAAGGGAGCCATGTCCTCACCTCTTTCCTCCCATCACTCCCTCGCTCGCTCACCCATTTATTCACTCACTTGCAACAGATGCTGCTGGAGTGTTCACGAAGCTCTGCGTGAAGCACCGCAGAGGAACAAAGACGAGGATGGTACGGTCCCTGCTCCCATGGAGCTCACAGTCTAGTTGGGGCATCAAGACACAAAAGTGCATGCCAGGCCACAAGTGACAAAGATGACCAACATCATGCCAGAGTACAGGGCAGGGGATGGCACCGTCACCGTGGCTGAGCACGTGCAGAGGCCTCATCCTCTCACACAAGGGGTCGAACCCGAGTGAGGAGTGAGGTGAGGGCTGCATCCTCTGAAGCGGGCGGGGGAAGGCACGTGCTGGCGGGGAAGTGCTTTGGGCCAGGGCGTGAGAGTGGACGAAAACCCAAGGTGCACCTGGGAAACGGTGAGTGAACCCACCTGGGGAGAAGAGGCTTTGGTGCCAGTGAGTAAAAGGAGACCAGCCTGGGAGAACTGGGCTTCAGCTGCCTAAACTTGGTTTTTGACAATAAACTGAGCACTCCACTGAAGGTTTTTGAGAGGTGAGCAGTGTGAAGGAGGCAGGATGTTGAATGATGAGAACATCCTAGATATGCCACGTGGCACATACCAAGAACTTGCACCCAGTATCTGTTCTCCCCATTTCTCTCACTTTGCAGCAGGCACGTGGTTATCTGGAATACAGACGGTATTTTCTAGTCTCCTTTCTGGGAAGTGCCCTTAAGGAGAGACAGCAGGCAAGAACAAGCATTAACTGGTGAGGGAGGTGGGCTTGGTGCTTCTGGTTCAGAGCAGGCTGGATGGGAGGTGAGGAGTGGAAGCCTGGGAGGTTAGACAGGCCTGTGCTGACCAATGACAGTGCTCAGGTGAGTTGGGTCTCTGTAGCCAGACCAAGCCCGGCCATCTGAGCCAGGCCCTTGCCCGGTGATGGGGAGTCAGGGCCACCAGGAGGGACCCTCCACATACAGCAGCTGCCCCTGGCCTTGCCTGTGGAAGTCTCAGCTGGAAGCTTTGCCTCATCTATACTTCCTCCTTCAGAGGCAAAGGCCCTGCTGGAAAGGGACAATGAGAAGGCAGGAAGGACTAAGGGTGGGAAGGGGGACCCACAGGACAAATCTGCCCAGCCGCTGGTGCAAAGTGAGCTCTAATTATACTGGTGTGCAAACATGCCCACGCTATCGCACGTGATCGAGCTTTACAGAAACTGTGACTTACGGTGACAGGTACTTGTGATCCTCATTCTTTCACCCTGCATTAAGTGTTTCCCAGCCTCACCACAAGGCCAAGAGAGAGCTGATCGATCATCAGAAGAGCAGTACCCTGGGGTGTGAGAGACTCTAAAATCCTCAGTGAGGGACAGTCCAGGTACTCAGCCACCAGGGCCTGGTAGTGTAATCCAAGCACAAAACAGCCAGGAAGTGTCAGTTTAGGGTGTATGTGTTGGGGTGGGGAGTGCTTGGAGTGATGCAAGGACACTGGAGGAACTAGAGACCCTGGTGCCGATCACAGCTCAACAACTAACAGCTGCATGACCTTGGGCAAGTCACTCAAACCCCTGCTTGGTTTCCTCCCTGAAGTGAGGGTTCCAGCTGCTCCAGCAGCCCACGTTTGACCTTCCTCCTGTCTTGGCAGGTGGCAGGTGCTCATGTGTCATAAGCTACACCTCAGGGTGGAAGAGGAAGAAGAAGCACCCCTATGAAAAGTCAGGCCCAGAACAGTGGGGAACCCTGAGCCCAGGGGAGCGTGGCTTGCGCAGGAAGACACAGCACATGCGAGGTGGGCCAGGACAAGGCAGGCAAGTCAGCCTCCTGTGCAGAAGAGCCTGCCTTGTAAATAACGTCCCAATGCCAGGGCCTGACTTTTTTTTTTTTATTCTGTTCAACAGTGAGGAAAGAGAAGATCATAATCAGCCTGAGATCAAACTGACATATGAGCAAATAACAGGCAACCTTTATTAAACATTTATTATAAACTCTGCATTCTGTGAAGTCTTTACACTGCCTCATAACTCCTGTGGCAGGTACTATGATCATCCCTGTTTGCAGGTGAAGAAGCGAGGTTCACAGAGGTGCAGCAGTAAGCAGGGAGCTGGGACTTTTAAACCTGGTCTGCTTATCTCCAAAGCCCAACTTTGGATATCCTTGATTCTAAGTATTGCTCTGTTGGTCATGGCAGCTAAAAATATGCACAACAGTCTTTCATTCCTTTAACATTTACTGAGCACCTATGGAGATGCAGGTAAGACACATATACATGATGACATTAGTGCAGAGGACCCAGGAGTGAGAGGCCAGTTCTACCTGGGATCAGAGGAGGCTTCATGGAGGAGACGGCATTAACCTGGAGGAGATGGCATTAACCTGGAAGAGTGGGGAGGATTTCAAAGAGGTAGAAACAGAGGCAGATGAAGCACCAACATGAGCAAAGGCAGAGGCAAGAAAGAGAAAATTCTGGAAACAGCGCTCAGAGTTGCTATTTCCAGAACAGTACAGAAGGCAGTTCTGTGAATGCAGTTATCACAAGAGCCAGAGAGGTAAGGAGAGACAAGACTGAAAGGCTAGGATCAGGGTCGGACTGTACAGGACTTAAACAGGAAGGGAGAGAGCAGTCGACCATTTGGGTAGCTACTGCAAGAGTCCAAGCTAGAAGGAAGGGTGTGGAGGAAGGCCCAAATGCAGAGAAGGGATGTCAAATGGTTAGGGCTTGAAGAGTAAGTGGGAGGAAGGTGGGGCATCAAAGGTGACAGAGATTTGGAGCTTGGGTGCCTGACAAGATGGTAATTTCATTATCATCAGAATGGTGGGACACACGGAAGGGCAGATTTGGAGTTACAGGACTGTCAACTAAAGTATGAAGGAAACAAGGGAGATATTCAGCAGAGAACCAGGAACACTTGGATTGAGCCCTGGGCAGAGAAGCCCATCTGGGAACCAGGTCATCAGGTGACAGCGGAAGGTGAGGGACAGGATGAGATGGTGCTAGGAGAGAGAGGAGAGAAAGGTGGGGCCCAGAGAAATTCATCTAACACTGAGGCGTGAGGAAAGGAGGGAGGAGGCAAACATGAGAGGGGAATCAGAGAGAAGAGGAGAACGAGGAGGTGCCATGTCACCACAGCCAAGAGACAGCCCTTCCCACTCACGCATGATCCTCAAATATTTCCTCAGACCTCTAGGTTCCACCAGGCCCTGTGAGGTCAGGCAGGCAGGCTTCCCTCTTTCCTCTTGGACCCTTGAGGCATCAGGCTGCACAATCTCCACAGGTAGCCACAGAACAGAGCAGGTAAGTAATGTCGGACCGCCAACTCCGTGTGAATTCCTGGCCCTTCCTCTTCAGCTGAGTGTGATGTGGGTGTTTCATTCATTTGAATCCACTTCACTATGCATGGAGCAGTGTGAGGTGAGGTAACACTCCAGGTAGAAACACTGGGAGAGCCGGAATCCAGCACACTGGTAAAAAGTCTTGCTTGGTTCTGCTTCGACACATTTTGAGAGTGAAACTTGGGTACGAGTTGACTAATATTTGGGAGACTGGAGGGTAGGGAATACTTCCAAACTTTTTCAGCAGTTTGTCCATACAGTTTAGATAATCTTGGTGTTTAAAAATGGTTGCCGTGGTGAATTCTAAATATTAACTTCATGTCACATAGTCCTTGGCTAAAAAATGAAGAAAGAAGGCTAACTTGATGTGAGCTAGCACAGTGGCCAGGAAATGCTCCTCTGAGGGATGAAGAGACAAACATAGGGCTTTCTGGAATCCTTACCCTCTTTGATTCAATAGATGGTAGAGACTAAAGCCAGAGAGGTGAAACATACAGATCTGGTTAGGGGACAGCAGTCATCTCTTCTCCGTCCTTGGAAATATCTCCTAAGTATGAGCTGACACAGGGAGGTTTTATAAAAAGAAAATCAATGCCTGCCCTCTGACTAATTGTTAACAGGTAGTTTTTTTTGCTAGAAAGCAAAACAAAGGCAAGGCAACTGACTCCAGTCAGGTCAGAAACCCCAAATCACTGGGCTTATGAACTTCCTCAAATGAGCTTTTGATTCCAAAAATAGTTTCATGGTGATTTAAAAGCAGTATTTTATTCAAGCCAGACATTTAGATAGAGCACTGATGGATAAAAGATAAGGATATGTGGGAGAGGGCTTTTTTTTTTCTATTGTGCTGACTGTTTTGTAGATCTTCTTTTTCTTTTTAAGGAAAGAGTGGGAAAATTTTTTTTAAGTAGAAAAACAAAATAATATAACTCTCAGTGGATTGTGCCTGGCTGTTCAGATGCTAAGGGCTATAACCAACGCTTGGCTATCGCCTGTTGGCCGCTGACTATAATTGCAGGCCAAGTGCCTGAGTTTTAGAGAGCAAGTCAGGAAAGCAGAGGTCATGGTGTGAAAGCGGGCCAGACCAGTAAAGAGGAAGAAGAAATAAGAGCTACAGCATGGGTGCTGCTATAGGCTGAGTTTCCAGCTCCTGGTGAACCTTATATACAGAGGCCCCAAGGAGCTGAGTAGGTAAGGAGGGGTGGGTGTCCTTTTGAAGCCAGAGCAACTGTGGGCAAAGGGGTGAAAAACAGGCAAAGGAGAACCCTGGAGGGTTAACAAAGGGCTTGGGGCAGTGCTGTCCAAAAGAACTTTCTTCAATAATGGAAATGTGCTATCAGCCATACTGGCAAATGAGGACTTGAAATGGGGCTAGTACAGCCAGGTGCGGTGGCTCATGCCTGTTATCCCAGCACTTTGGGAGGCTGAGGCCTGCAGATCACCTGAGGTCAGGAGTTCAAGACCAGCCTGGCCAACATGGCGAAACCCTGTCTCTACTAAACAATACAAAAACTAGCCAGGCGTGGGGGCAGGCACCTGTAATCCCAGCTACTCGGGAGGCTGAGGCAGGGAGAATTGCTTGAACCTGGGAGGCAGAGGTTGCAGTGAGCTGAGATTGTGCCACTGCACTCCAGCCTGGGCAAGAGTGAGACACCGTCTCAAAAACAAAGGGGGTGGGGGGCTAGTACAACTGAGGAATTCAATTTTAGGTATACTGTTGGGAAAAGGGCTTGTGGGGTGCCTGTATAAACTGGCCACAAAAATATGGGACAATAAGTTGTGGAAAGCCACAAGAGGCCTCTAAGGAGGAAAGCCTCCTAACTGCCATCATGTTCCCATGCTCAGAGCGAGACCTGCTCTCTTATCTGTAAACACTGTGTTCAAGGAGAAGGACACTCCTTTGAAACACTGGAATGTGGACAGACGTGCAGGCTCCTGGTTAAGCCCGCTCCCACTAGCTACTCTCCGATAAGTTAAAGATATGCTGTTTGAGCACAAAGGAGATTCATTTAAACCACTACTGCTATAGATTGCACCTATGACGCACTGCCTCCTTTTCACTGTTTTGCCCTGAACATCTGCTTCTTAGATCTAAGTGATTGTACTCAATAAATAGTGTGGAGACCAGAACTCTGGGCCTTTTGCAGCCTCCATTTTGCAACTGGCCCCCTGGCTCCCACCTTTAGGAACTCTTAACCTGTCTCTTCTCATTCCTTTGTCGCCACCGGACTTCAGCTACCCTATGGGTGGTGTTGAGGCTGGTCCCCAACATATACTCAATTTTTTTTTTTTTTTTTTGAGACAGAGTCTCACTCCGTCTCCCAGGCTGGAGTGCAGTGGTGCTATCTTGGCTCACTGCAAGCTCCGCCTCCCTGGTTCACGCCATTCTCCTGCCTCAGCCTCCCGAGTAGCTGGGACTACAGGCGCCCGCCACCACGCCCGGCTAATTTTTTGTATTTTTAGTAGAGACGGGGTTTCACCATGTTAGCCAGGATGGTCTCGATCTCCTGACCTCGTGATCCGCCCGCCTTGGCCTCCCAAAGTGCTGGGATTACAGGCATGAGCCATTGTGCCCAGCCGGTATACTCAATTTTAATTAATTTAAATTTAAACAGCTACATGTGGCAAGTGGATACCATATTAGACAGGGCAGGGTTAGAGGAATCAAAAAGGTATATACTTCAAATCAATCAACAAGGTTTAATGAATAGCTATGAGTGCAAAGCACTAAATAACAAAGCATTGTTCTGTTTTTGTTTATTTTCTAAGCAAGAAACAAAGGAAAAGAAGCCAGAGCCCCTCATCTCAAGAAGCTTACAATACCAGATTTGGGGATGGGGGAGGATGGAGCCATATACACACAAACACAACTCTGAAAACAAACTGCAAGAGAAGAATCCCTAATTCACAGAATGCTGGTTTTACTTAGAGCAGCTTTCTTCAATAGGTGGACTATAGTAATAGTATTGGTACTACTGGAAATGTTCTGGAGACAAGATCTCCGGGGGAACTAAAACATTATTTTTCGAGTTATGAGACAAGTGAAAAATGAATGTTGGTTTACCAGGTCTGAGAATTCAGCAGGCAGAAGAAACCTAGTATGTGGTTCAAACTGCAAGGGAAGTAAGGTAGCCTGGAGACCCCATGGTTTTAAAATTTTTGTTCAGTGGTTCGTCTCACTATGGTTTCTTTTTCTTTCTCTCTTTCTTTTTTTTTCTTTTTTCTTTTTTTTTTTTGACAGAGTTTCACTCTTGTTGCCCAGGCTGAAGTGCAATGGTGTGATCTCGGCTTACCGCGACCTCCACCTCCTGAGTTCAAGAGATTCTCCTGTCTCAGCCTTCCGAGTAGCTAGGATTACAGGCATGCACCACCACGCCCGGCTAATTTTGTATTTTCAGTGGAGACAGGGTTTCTCCATGTTGGTCAGGCTGGTTTCAAACACCCAACCTCAGGTGATCTGCCCGTCTTGGCCTCCCAAAGTGCTGGGATTACAGGCGTGAGCCACCACGGCCAGCCTATGGTTTATTTTTCATGTGAGAATATGTTTTGCTTAACAAATAAATTTCTAGAGCATTATTTTTTTTTTTAAGAGAGAGACTTTTCATTTCTAGTCTTAAAAAGATCTGGGGTTCAGTTTTCCCTCTGGATGGAATTACCAGTTAGGAGACAGGTACCATGTAGGAGCAGAGCCAGCAGAGACTAGGAATGCTGAGACAGAGGGTTCTTGAGAAGTGTTTCCTCAGGAAGGACGCACAGCAGTTTTCACTCAAAGAAAGATGCATCAACACTTCCCGGGGATAGGGGTTAGCCTTGTAGGAAATTGAGGGTGGGATAGGGGTTAAATTCCCTGGAAGAAATTTCTCATGCCTGATGTTTTTTGTTTGTTTTAGCTCTTCCAGTTCTAAGACAAAACAGTAATATTAACATTAATAAGCTGGGCATGGTGGTGCACACCTATAATCCCAGCTACTTGGAATGCTGAGGTAGGAGGATCACTTGAACCAAGGAATACAAGGTCAGCCTAAGCAACATAGAAAGACCTTATATAAACAAAAATTAATAAGAACTTCCTTTTGTTGTTGTTGTTGTTGTTGTTTTTTGTTTGTTTGTTTAGACAGAGTCTCACTCACTCTGCCGCCCAGGCTGGAGTGCAGTGGCTCACTGCAACCTCCACCTCCCGGGTTCAAGTGATTCTCCTGCCTCAGCCTTCCGAGTAGCTGGGATTACAGGTGCATGCCACCACACCAGGCTAATTTTTGTATTTTTAGGAGAGACGGGGTTTCATCATGTTGCCCAGGCTAGTCTCGAACTCCTGGCTTCAAGTGATCTGCCTGCCTCGACCTCTCAAAGTGTTGGGATTATAGGAATGAGCCACCATGCCTGGCCAGGACTTCTATTTATATAATAATGTGGTTTACAAATTTTTTCCACAATTCATGATGATACAAAAAACACTCCTGCAAACATTAATTTTATTAGAGAAAGGACACAGGGCTCAACATTATTTTTGAAAGGATTAACTAAAAGTGTAGTCAAAAGATTTTTCATTCTTCAGTTTAAGCTCCATAGTTTCCTCCTAGAAAGTCACTGAAGTATGGAAAAAAGAAGACAGAAGGAGGAATTACTCTTTCATCCCATCGTTTTATCCCAGCCTCCATTTAATCTGTCAGAACTAATCTGTATCCTGGCCTGTAATTCCAGCCCAGTGTGCTGAGTCTCTTCCAGGAATGATCCTAAGGAAGAGTATTCTCACCATGCAACACTCTCTCTTGCATCCCTTTCACTAAATGCAGTAGATACTGAGAGTGAGAACTGATTTGTAAGTTGAGGGTGTTTTGTGGGAGGAGAAGACAGGCAGGTCCAAGAAATTTAAAATGAAGCCAGGAGTCACCTGATCATAAATCCTGGTTTCCTTGGGACAGGCCTAGTTTATTTTATTTATTTATTTATTTATTTTATTTTACTTATTTATTTATTTATTGAGACAAGGTCTTGCTCTGTCACCTAGGCTAGAGTGCAGTGGCGTGATCATGGTTCACTGCAGTTTCTACCTCCCGGGCTCAAGCGATGATCCTCCTGCCTCTGCCTCCCAGGTAGCTGGGACTATAGGCACATGCCACCATGCCTGGCTAATTTTTAATTTTTTGTAGAGACAGGGTCTCACTATGTTACCCAAGCTGGTCTCTAACTCCTGAGCTCAAGCAGTTCTCCCACCTCGGCCTCCCAAAGTGCTGGGATTATAGGTGTGAGCCACCATGACTGGCCAAACAGGCCTAGTTTAGACCTGTTGTTTCAGAGTAATTATTATAAGCATGCTTTACATTCTCAAATGTGTCCTGGTTTGAACAATAAATTATATAGTCACCCCAGCTATGGGTGACTTTGCAGCGTGTCTTTTTTTCAGACAGTTGCTCTAATTATTCCCCTTGGGTAATCAACAAGATTGATAAGGGCTCAGCCAGGTGCGAGGCACTGTGCTAGGCTCTTGGGAGCACTACAAAAGAGGTGGGATGCCTGTAATCCCAGCACTTTGGGAGGCTGAGGCGGGCGGATCACCTGAGGTCAGGAGTTCAAGACTAGCCTGGCCAACATGGCAAAACCCAGTCTCTACTAAAAATATAAAAATTAGACAGGCATGGTGGCAGGCGCCTATAATCCCAGCTACTCAGGAGGCTGAGGCAGGGAGAATTGCTTGAACCCGGGAGGCAGAGGTTGCAGTGAGCTGAGATTGTACCACTATACTCCAGCCTAGGCGACAGAGCAAGACTACATCTCAAAAAAAAAAAAAGTGGGAGAATTTGTAGTCCCATCATAGTATTTCTCAACTGGCAGTAAATTTTGGAGAAATAAACACCGGCCTCCCCCTCCCCGCTGCCCGGTTCCCACACACACGCCACTGCTTTCCTCATTCTCAAGGTTAAGGCTTCCAAGGAGGTGAATCTGCATTCCAGGAATGTTACTGAAATTAACTGCTTTAACCCTCATCACCTGTGCCCCCTATGGTTCTGTATGGGGTCTCAGGCAGTGACTTGTACAGAGCTGGCTGTTTAAAAATCATCTGGGGAACTTGTTAAAAATAGAGATTCATGGGCCCACTGCCTGAGATTCTGATTCAGCACATCTGAGAATCTATTAAAAAAAAAATAAAAAGCAAAGCTCTCCAGGTGGCTTGGGCATGCAAGCCAGATTTGGACCCACTGGTGAGTCATCATCCTTTGACCAAGGCCTGAAGTGATCCACTGTTGCTATGGAAACCACTGATGTACACCTCAGCTAGATTGGATTTTTGGATTTTACTTCTTCTTTTATTTTTTTTTTAAGTACACATCTGTTTCAAAAATAGAGGGCATTATTTTTAGAAGAGAATATGTGTTTTCTCTCTCCAGATATTTATATTTAGAGAGAAAAAGCAAAGCCCCACAAGGCAGAAAATTTTCTCATCTGAAACCAAATTCAACAGAAAGCAGATGTCCCTCACTACGTTAGTCCAGCTGGAAAGAACTAATGAGCAGTTATTTCCTGAGGCAACTTTCAGACTGTCTGGCGCTTCTTTTAGGTTTCAGCTGCTATAAGGTGCCTGGATGGAGAAGACGGGCTCACGGGCTTCCCGGGTGGTTAGGGGACAGGCAGTGACTGGCCAGGATGATAGGAAGACTCTGGAGGCTCCATCTTGAGGCAGACCCAGAAAAGGATGGCCTGCAGAAGTTATTGTCAGAATGAAATCTACATGCACGCAGCTGTGCCACCAGGTGACGCACACTGAACCACCCTGACAGATATAGCACGTTTATACTCCAGGAATGAATGGAGGAAAGAGCAGCAGCCTGTTTTCCTCAGGCTTCAGAGGCAGAACAGATGGGGTAGAGAGAGGCTGAGACAGGGTTTCCGTAGCTTTACGTTGCCAGGTTGGCCTGATGAATTCAGAATTTAGCAATTCTGAGTTCTCTTTTGTTTCAGCTTAAAGATTAAAGCATAAAATGGTTGCATCTCAAATAGAAGGTTCTTGGAATTTATTGCTGTTCATAAATCCTGATTGATCTTGGGAAACCAAAGCAGAATTTCCCTTCCAAAGATACTCACTGGGATCCCTCATTTTGCCAGCAGCTATTATAGTAAAGGGGCAGAGACCCCCTGGACCCCCAACCCCGAGATCTGCCACATGGAGTGGCGGGATACCTAGCTACAATTCTGTGTTATAGATGGAGCTGGTCTTGTCTGAAAGAGGAATCATTCATTTTTGGTTCCCCTTCCCTCTTGTCCAGGCTTTGTCTGCAGAATTCCTTGGCTTCCTGAAAGGTACTTTTCAAGCAACTACCCGGCCCAGTGTGCTGAGTCTCTTCCAGAAATGATCCTAATGTGCTTCTCTTTGGTTCAGGGCAAGGAAAACCCAGCTCAGTCTCTTGAAACTGGCTCTCAGCACCCTCCATCCTGCCATCCGCACAATGTTCATAGAGCACCAAGATCTGTACTAATCATCTTCTTGCAAACCTTTTAAGCCCCATCGCCTCCTTCCCCAAAACCCTCACATCACCACAAGGGACAAACTTCCTTATGCTAATACAACTCACCTCCCAACCACTGTGTCTTTCCAATCATCAGCATAACTGCCTTCCCTCCACCACCAGCCGAATGTAGGTCCCTACTCCACACATGGTTGTTGGGGAAGGGCTTGTCCCTGGGGAACACTAGGATGATCTGCTGATTTCACATGAGAGGAAATATCTGACCAATTTAACTTTTCAGATCTACGTAAATAATGACAAATTGACGACAACAAGAGGGTGATATGAGAAGATGCTAGGAAGAAACACAGTTTTGAAAAGGGCTGGAGAGAATAGAGAAAGAAGTAATGCTCACACCACAACATCCCACAGACTGGTGTTTATTTCAAACCTCCTCCACTTCAGTTGTTATGGCTTGGCACATTACTGACCTCCATGTCTGGACCACTCAACTTATTCTAGGACCTGGGTTCCTTCCCCTGGATCTGCTGGGCCACATGATCGTGAGTGAGTCCACCCGCTTGCTCAGGTAGTCTCTCCACCTGTCCACTGCATTTAGGCGACTCTCCCAGTGCACCCTAGGAAACTGCAGAGAAGCACTCTCTCCCTCTCTCCCCTGCCCTCTTCTGTTTCTCCCAGGCCTAAGTGCCAAGTAAGTTAGAAATTCTATTATTTTCTTGTTTCCAGTGGGGTTGGATAAGTTAGAAATTCTTAACCTGGGACGCACAGATGAGCTTCAGGGGCTCTGGGAACCTCTTGATATTGCAAGTATGTGGGCATGTGTGTTGGGGGGTGAGAATTTTCTGGGGCAAGATTCAGCATTTTTTTCCATCAGATTTTCAAAAGGACCCCTAAAAGATGAAAAACCACTGATTGGTCCTTAGCCTGTTCTGTGTGGTCGCACAGGTGATGAGCAGGGCACACTAGAGGGACTGAGACTCATGTAGTTGTGGTACTTCCAGCACAGTACCTTGGAAGCAGCCATCACAGCCGCTGTGGCGGCCACGTTCAAGCCCCGCTTCCCGAAGTGCACAAGGGCATCGTAACTTCGGTCTTTTGCTTGGACCAGACAATCATCGATTTCCTGTCAAAGGAAAAACAGAGGCACACTGAGCTGGAAGGTTCAAACACATCTCTGTTTTCTTTCCTTTCCTCTGAGCATTGGGCTTGGCAGCTTGCCCAATCCTTGTTCTTGCTGGGCCTGAAAAGCTGTAGGCACTTTGAAGGTGTGCGTGCAGAGGGGAGAGCAGAGATACAGGAGAGTAGAAAAGGGAACTCTGAAAACACTGCAACTTACGGATCCAGCGATGCCCTGAGATTGTTTCTAAAGCCCTCTGACCTTCCAGGAGGCTCCAGGAGGTTCTGGATATGGACAGCCTTGCCTGCCATTCTACACACAGCCACTCACCAGACACTGAAAGCACCCAGGGTGGAGAGAGTGCCCAGAACCGAGCTTCTAGCCTCAGACCTGCCACCAACTGACTGCCAGACCTTGGCAAGCCTCTCTACACACAGTTTTAGTCTTCTGAAAAACGAGGATAATGATAATACCCAACTTGCGGAGCATGGTGAGGATTAAATGAGGTAATTCCAGTAAAACATCTAACACAGTGGCTAGTTTCAATAAATGATAACCATGTCATCTTCCTTATCTTGACAGGGTTGAGCCCTTGCAGTTCTAAAATTCTGTTATTCTATAGTTATTTAATTCTAAAATCAAATATCACCCCATTTGTATATCGATGGGAGGGATTACAAAGCTGAAAGAAATGAGTATTACTGGATAAGGGAGATTGTTTTACACATATTCAAATAAAATCAGAAATTAGAAGTCATCCAGTGTCATGCAACAAGGTAAAGGTGAGATGGAAAACAGGATTGAGGTCTTCTTCAGGGACCAAAGCCAAGTACAATATTGGTTTAGTTCAAATTTGGATTAACTTTGGTGTATTATTTTTGTTTGTTTGGGAGTGTTTTGTTGTTGTCATTGTTTTAAGAAAATGGCTGTTTGTCGGCCGGGTGCAGTGGCTCACGCCTGTAATCCCAGCACTTTGGGAGGCCAAGGTGGGCGTATCACCTGAGGTCAAGAGTTCGAGACCAGCCTGGCCAACATGGTAAAACCCCATCTCCTCTAAAAATACAAAATGAGTCAGGCATGGTGGCACGTGCCTATAGTCCCAGCTACCTGGGAGGCTGAGGCAGGAGAATTGCTGGAGCCCAGGAGGCAGAGGTTGCAGTGAGCCGAGATCGTGCCACTGCACTCCAGCCTGGGCAACAGAGCAAGATTCCGCGCCCCCCACCCCCCAAAAAAAGGCTGTTTTTCATGACAGCTGCTCATTTCAGAGTTCGGTAAGACAATGACATTTGGCCTTAGTCAAGTTCTGTGCATTAGTGTATTTCCATTGCTTTGAGGTGTGCAAGTGGGTCAGCAACCTCCTGCTGGATTCCCTGTGGAAGGCTTCCCCAGGAAGTCATAGCAGCAGGCCCTCTAACTGTGACCTGCCTGTCCCCCACCACCACCCCTTTGGAAGTGATTCTTGGCAACTCTTAAGAGTCAGTCACCTTCACTTCAATGGAAGTTACATTGGCAGCTTCAGGGGAAGCCCAGCATTTGGGGAAAGGGAAGTAAGACGAGTAGGGATTTGATAACCAGGTCAAGACAGGGATCCGTTCCTCAAAATCCACCCTTCTGAGACAGGAAGTGCTGCGGTCCGAGTTCCTAAAGAGATTTTCCGAAACTTGTACAGTAGCCTGCTCATCCAACGGATATGTTTCCCAAAGCCTTCCCCTTTCTAGTCCAAGGAATTCAACTTTCAGAAACAATAGACATTAATCTGTCAAGCCACCTATAATGCTCCTATTTTAGTTAAGAAACCCCACTACACAATCAGCTTAGTAAGTAATACAGTTAACGAATGATACAATGTTGGAATCGTTTGACTTAATAATCCTGCTCTTGGGAATTAATTCTAAGACAATTAAAGGAAGCAACTAAACTCCAGGAATGGTAGTGCTCACTGCAGAACTATCTATATCAGGAAAAGGTAGAGATAATCTAAATATCTAGCAGTAAGGGAACATCATCATGGGTATTACGAAGACCAAGTAGAAATGGATTTGTGTGCAAACACATTTAAAATCTCAGGATACAAACATTTTATTTAAGTTTTTAAATCATTTTTTTAAAAAAATTCTACATAAAATTTTAATCTTTCTTTCTTTTTTTAAGAGATGGGGACTCTCTAGGTTGCCCAGGCTGGCTTTGAACTTCTGGGCTCAAGTGATTCTCCCACCTTATACCCCTGAGTAGCTGGAATTACAGGCATGCACCACCACACCTGGCTTCCAGGTAAGATTTAAAATAGTCTATGTAAAAATCATGTCTATAAAAGGACAGGGGCTAAGCATGACAAAAGGAAGGAAATTCACTTTGCGTGGTTAAATTGAGTGAATTTTTTCTTTCTTTTGTTTCAATTTATGGAAATGTTTTCCAGTAAATAATGACAAATAACATCTTTTAGAGAACTTCACCACTATTTCTAAACACGTCTCAGAAATACACTTAAAAAAAACGATTAGGAGGAATGACTTGCTGGAGGCAAATGAGAGCCAAATGAGAAGTCTCCTGCAATAAGATCATCCCTTTTTATTTATTACTTATTTTCTCACTTGCTAGAAAGAATGAAAGACATGGCAGCATATATTACCTTTTCTTTTGAAGATAGCGTGGGATGTACAAACTTCCTGTACAGGAGGCTGGAGCCTTTTGTGTAGGGAGACAGCAGCCAGGCTACAAATGCTATTTTTAGTTCATAATAGAATGGAAACCTGGAGAGAGAGATGAAAACACAAGTTCTGTTAGGTTCTCAGCAACACTGCCCTTTTGAAGGATGAGACCCGGTGGGTGGCAAGGACGCCTCTCCTGCTTGCATGTGGCTGCAAGTTTCCCAGATTCCTCTGTCCTCCACCTATGAAGGTGAGGGCACACACTTGCACACACACAGTACAACCCCAACGCCTCTCTTTGAAAACCAGTTCGTGTTTTCTTTTGTTGCCAAAGCAAACCAGGAACACAGGTTCTCTCCAGCAATCACCCCCGTGGCCCTGCCTGGCACAGGCTGGAGCTTCCTGCTGGGCTGTGCTCATTTAGATTGGAGCTAGGGTTCTGGCCACAGCCTACAGGCTCAGAGGATCTCTTCTACGCTGTACACCCAGTCACTCACTCTTCACTCACATCCAAGAAGGGACAAACACCAGGGGGAATTACAGCAGGGAAGAGTTGACAAAAAAATCTCTAGACTGAGAATGAAAGCCTCTCTTTCTTGGCTGCCTTCTTGGCCCAAACAGAGGCAGGGACAAGAGCCCAGCTCTTGGCAGGAAGGAGAATGCTACTCACCCTACTCAAGTCAATGGCAGGCAAACAGATTTTGATCTTCTTAGTGCCAAGAAACAGAAGAGTCCACGGTGCAGATAGCACATAATTCTGGAGTTTGCAGTCCTGCATACCCTCAAGCCTGTTCATTTATTTGTCCCCCCACAGGCAGGCACCCAGTCCCTGTACGTGCCAGCTTGTACTGAGCACCAGGTATAAGGAGGTACAGGGAGGCAACGGTGAGCAAAGAAGACCTGATTCCTGCCCTCATGGAGCTTCTGGTCCACTGGGAACACAGACAAGATTCTGGCATCCTTGGAACTAAGGGTCCAGTCAGGGAAACAGAGATTTATAAAATAATCACAAATAATATAGAACAGAAACCTGAGACAAGTGCCATAGTGCTAGCCCACGTGGTGCCTTTGAATGTATTAGAAGAAAACTGGCCTCTTCAACTGGAAGCAGTTCTGTGGCCACATACCACAGAGCTTGGTCTGAATTTCAGCCCCATTCACCTGCTTGGCCAGATATCTTGTGCTGTGAACAACCCGAGCAACCATATTTGGCAGTCCAGAGGTGTAGTAACCATGTGTTTATGGTTTATTTTTGATTTTCTGTATTCTGATGTACTTTGGGGCCTTGCTTACTCTGGAGGAACTGCCCCTCCCACAAGGTGAGCCAATTGCTAGAGATAGTAAAGAACTCACTGGCCGGGCGCGGTGGCTCATGCCTGTAATCCCAGCACTTTGGGAGGAAGAGGTGGGTGGATCACAAGGTCAGGGGTTCGAGACCAGCCTGACCAATATGGTGAAACTCCGTCTCTACTAAAAAATACAAAAATTAGCTGGGCATGGTGGCGGGCACCTGTAATCCCAGCTACTCAGGGGGCTGAGGCAGGAGAATTGCTCGAACCCAGGAGTTGGAGGTTGCAGTGAGCCGAGATCGCGCCACTGCACTCTAGCCTGGGCGACAGAGCAAGATTCCATCTCAAAAAAAAAAAAAAAAAAAGAACTTCACCTGCAACACACCTTTCATATGCAAACCAACCAATCCATGGGCCCAGGCTCCAGCCACTGCCTCTGATGGACTCTCACATTCCAGGCCACCATCCACCTGCCCCAATCATCCCAGGGCCAGGGCTAGACAACCAGAGATAGCCCCATATACCCCAGAGCCTACTGAGATTATTCAAACCAGCCAAGCCCAAGCCTGCCCACCCTGCTTTGCCCTTTCCTTCCTTTAATGTGGAACATGTTAAAGGCCCTCACCCCAGTTTCTCCCTCTTCTCCTGACGGACCCTGAGTGGCCCCCAACATGGCTCTGCATGGTGTGCTGTGCCTCTGTTTCTAGGAATCTGTGAGCAAAGAAACTTCTCCCTTCGTGACAATTATTTCCATGTCTATGTCTTACCCACACTCGCTTAAAACAAATCCCAGGTATCCTTAAAACCTGATGCTATGAGATGAGACAGTCACCTGTCCTAGTCTTAGAGATCAGAAAGTCCTTTCCAGGCATCCTCCCCAGATAAACGATCAGAAAATCAAAAACAGCAAGTCACTGGAGGGCCCTTAACTCTCACACAGACACCCCTATCCCCCAGTCAGTAGCCTTACCCACGCCTCCTTTCCTCACCAAGGTCTCCTGGCCCCCTGCCTTCTGCCTCTGGTGGGTGCTTCCTGAATATTTCCTCAGCAATTAGTGGGCACTTTCATGGCAAGATTGTTTAATGTTTCACAGCCAGAAAAGAGAGAGGCTGAAGAACAGAGGTGTGATTCTCCCATATTTGAATACTCTGGTGATTAATAACGGAGGAACTTCTGTTTTGAAAACAAGTATTCACCAGCCCCAAGGGGAAAGGAAATGAATCCAGCAAGCTCAGACACCAACACAAGACACATAAATAATCTGTCGCACTGCAGCTCTTTTATTTATTACATAAAAGATGTCTTTTAAAAAAAATAGGTCATGCATGCATATAGTTAAAAAAAATTCTAAAAGTCCAAAGGAGTATACAACGAAGAGTCTCCTTCCCCCGCCTAACCCCTAGTCCCTTTTCTAAAAGCAAAAACATTATCAGTTACTTGCATATCCTTCCAGAGGTAGACTAGGGCGAGGGATACATCATGCAGGTATATATGACTCCCTGAGTTGCCCCCAACACACAGAAGCATTCTATACACCCGTTACTACATCTTGCTTCTCCCAGCACATACATACAATCAACAGTATGCCTTGGGGACTATCTCATACCACCACAGGGATAGCTACCTCACTCATCTTTTTTTTTTTTTTTTTTGAGACAGAGTTTCACTCTGCTGCGCAGGCTGCAAATGCAGTGGCACGGTCTCAGCTCACTGCAACCTCCACCTTCTGGGTTCAAGCAATTCTCCTGCCTTGGCCTCCCAAGTAGCTGGGATTACAGGCGTGCACCACAATGCCCAGCTAATTTTTGTATTTTTAGTAGAGACGGGGGTTTCACCATGTTGGCCAGGCTGGTCTTGAACTCCTGACCTCAGGTGATCCGCCCGCCTGGGATTACAAGCATGAGCCACCGCGCCCGGCCTATCTCACTCATCTTAATGGCTGCATACGAGTGTATGAGCACCGGCTCAGGCCCCCATGAATGGATATTTACGATGGTTATGATCTTTACCTACTTCAGCCGAGCTACAAGGGAACCTCTTTGTGAACGGTGCTGAGGGGAGTAACTATCAGCGCTTCAGTGCTAGGGTTCCTGAGGCACTCTGGCTCCTCCCTTTCCAGAGTCTTAGTGTTTCAGCTTTTCCTTTTATTCTGTGAATTACTTCAGCATCTACCAACAGAGCGTCATTGTTTTCTTTTCCTTGAGTCTGTCAGAGGGGTCTCTGTTGCTTGCTAGAATGGATCCAGGGGTCCCAATAACCCTGGCCCATGGGCCAAATCCAGCTTGTCATCTGTTTTTATAAATAAAGTTTTATTAGAACACTGTTATGCACAATGATTTATTAATTGTCTATGGTTCCTTTCATGCTAATGGCAGAGTTGAGTAGTTGCAATAAAGATCATATGGCCTGAAAGCTCAAAACATTTACTATCTGGCCCTTTACAAAAAAAAGTATGCTGACTCCGGATTTAAAGCCAGGCCCTCCCCACATAAAGCCTTAAAATCTCTGTCACTGAAGTGTAGGGGCGTGGGATGGAGGGGAACAGTCCTGCTGCCTCTGGAATCATCACATACAAAACCAGGTCCTTGCCAGGCATCACAAGATAATCCAGGCTGATCCACTCAGACCCTGTGTCTCCTAGAGGCCTTGGGGTCCCTTGGCTCTACCAACACAATCCCCGCCAAGTCTTCTTCCAGCCTACCTCGAGAGACAGAGAAAGGCCCTACTCATTTTGTAATGAGAACTCCTTGAAGAGCCCTGACCTCTGAGATGTATTTGAAAAGGCCAGAGGCACCCACCACATTTCCTCCATCTTTTCCAAGGCATATGTACAGCACTGGAGCACAGGGCAGTTGTCCTCTCCCCACTCTCCCCATATAACACCCAGACACTCTAGAGGGACAGATGTGTTCTAAGAGGGTTAGACATGGGATGAAACTGTCCAAAATACATGCAATAAATGTGTATAGAGCATTTCTGGAAGAAAAGAAAACACAAGTAACTTTTAACAGTGTTACTAGCCAGGCCAGGCACGGTGGCTCATGCCTGTAATCCCAGCACTTTGGGAGGCCGAGGTGGGCGGATCACAAGTTCAGGAGATCGAGACCATCCTGGCTAACATGGTGAAAATACAAAAAATTAGCCAGGCATGGTGGCACGTGCCTGTAGTCCCAGCTACTCAGGAGGCTGAGGCAGGAGAAGCACTTGAACCTCGGAGGCAGAGATTGCAGTGAGCCAAGATCGCACCACTGCACTCTGTCTAAAAAAAAAAACAGTGGTACTTCTAGGGAGGGAGACTGTGGGTCTGGGAGAAGAGAGACACTTACTCTTCAGTGTATTGTTTCTATTTCATTTTTCCTTATGTATGTATTATTTTATTTTTATTTTTATTTTTATTTTTTTGAGACAGAGTTTCACTCTGTCGCCAGGCTGGAGTGCAGTGGTGCGATCTTAGCTCACTGCAACCTCCGCCTCCCGGGTTCAAGTGATTCTCCTGCCTCAGCCTCCTGAATAGCTGGGACAACAGGTGCTGCACCACCACACCCAGCTAATTTTTGTATTTTTTAGTAGAAACGGGGTTTCACCATGTTTGCCAGGTTGGTCTCGAACTCCTGGCCTCAAGTGATCTGCTCGCCTCGGCCTCCCAAAGTGCTGGGATTACAGGCATGAGCCACCACGCCCAGCCTGTATTATTTTATAACTAAAAAAAAAAACTAAATGAAATCACCTCTACAACCTGTGAAACAAGCCACCATCTTATCTATTCTGGGACCATAAATAATTGTTGTTTTCATCAAGATGGAAAGTTTTACAAAGTTAACCATGAAAAGGGATCCGCCCTAGGGGAGAAGTGGGAAGAGGGGAATGGGGGTGAGCGAAGAGTGAGGAAAAGAAGGTCCATACAAGTGGCTCCAATTCTGGAAGAGAACAAAAGTTAAAGGTGCTTCTAGGAAGACAAAAGACATATTTTAGGACAGAAACTCTCCCCCTAACCTTTTTGAATAGTAAAGAATGCTCAGAGCTGCGGAGATGGTGCCCATGTGCTTGGAAGTGAAGCAAAATTCCTACATTCCCTGATGGGCCCATCCTGTGCCTGTTCTCAGGGTGAGAGGAAGGAAGGAGAGAGAGGACCCTCCCAGAAGAAGACTAGGATCTATGACACCTGGAGGTTGGGAGAAAAAGAGAAAGCAGGGTGAGGACATGATCAGGCTGTGGGATAAAGCAGGCAGAAAGGTTCCTAAGGAGCCTCTTCCCTGCAGAAGCAGAACTCAGGCCACCAGGAGAAGAGCAAAGGACCCTCACTTCCCACCCACAAACTGCCTGGACACCCCCAGCTAAGAGACCAAATAAGGGAGCAGAAGAGGCCTCCACATGGGTCAGGAAGAGAGGGGGATTCTACCCATACCTGCATACATGCTCCAAACACACCAGGCATCAAACATCCCCCTGTGGTAGGCAGAGTTTTGGCCAAGATGTAATGAAGGTTACTGATCAGACGACTTTAAGACAGGGAGATTATATGGGATTATTGGGGTAGGCCTAATCTAATCACAAGAGCCCTTAAAACAAAAGCAGAGATCCTCCCTAACTGGTGGCAGAAGCAGACACAGAGTCAAAGCATGGGCAGGACTCGACAGGCCATCATTGGCTTGAAGATGAAGGTGGTGGCATGTGTCAAGAAAACGGAGACCTCAGTCCTACAATCATAAGGAACTGAATTCTGCCAACAACCTGAATGGGCCTGGAAGGGGAATCTTCTCCAGAGCCTTCAGATAAAAGACCAGGCTGGCCCACACCTTGATTCTGGTCTTGTGAGATTCTAAGCAGAGGATGATTCCACCTGTACTTCCGACTTACAGAAGCTGTGGAATCACACATTTGTACTGTTTTAAGCTGTTAAATTTGTGGTAATTTGTTATGGCAGCAATAGAAAACTAATATGCCTCCCAAAATCAAAATGAAATCAATTCCAGAAATAGTTGTTGAGCACTTACTAGATATGAAACTCTAAAATTCCAGGGCCACAGGTAAGGGCATATTCCAGCTACCCAGGAGGAACACAGCCATCATTAGATAGGATTTCCACCCAGCAAAAAGCAGTGAGGCTGAAATGCTGATATCCCCAGGAATGGGCTCATGAGACTAACACGGGAGGACAGAAGAGGCCCCTAGCACCACACAGAAGGCCTGGTTAAGGAGGAAAGGCTGGATGGCAGGAGGTGCTATTTAATTGACTACACAGTCTTGACTGGGCCGGCCTCTACTCTCATCTTTGTGAATCAGACAGGAGTTTCCTTGTGGGGAAAAGCAAGAGAGATCAGATTGTTACTGTGTCTGTGTAGAAAGAAGTAGACATAGGAGACTCCATTTTGTTCTGTACTAAGAGAAATTCTTCTGCCTTGAGATTCTGTTAATCTATAACCTTACCCCCAACCCCGTGCTCTCTGAAACATGTGCTGTGTCAAACTCAGGGTTAAATGGATTAAGGGCTGTGCAAGATCTGCTTTGTTAAACAGATGCTTGAAGGCAGCACGCTCTTTAAGAGTCATCACCACTCCCTAATCTCAAGTACCCAGGGACACAAAAACTGTGGAAGCCCGCAGGGACCTCTGCCTAGGAAAGCCAGGTATTGTCCAAGGTTTCTCCCCAT
The DNA here is from genome assembly GCF_000001405.40 of Homo sapiens. NCBI lineage: Eukaryota > Metazoa > Chordata > Mammalia > Primates > Hominidae > Homo > Homo sapiens. The sequence continues at coordinate 86,261,653 of NC_000002.12, forward strand.
GTGATAGTCTGAAATATGGCCTCATGGGAAGGGAAAGACCTGACCGTCCCCCAGCCCGACACCTGTAAAGGGTCTGTGCTGAGGAGGATTAGTATAAGAGGAAGGCATGCCTTTTGCAGTTGAGACAAGAGGAAGGCATCTGTCTCCCGCCCATCCCTGGGCAATGGAATGTCTCGGTATAAAACCCGATTGTACGTTCCATCTACTGAGATAGGGAAAAACCGCCTTAGGGCTGGAGGTGGGACATGCGGGCAGCAATACTGCTTTGTAAAGCATTGAGATGTTTATGTGTATGCATATCTAAAAGCACAGCACTTGATTCTCTACCTTGTCTATGATGCAAAGACCTTTGTTCACGTGTTTGTCTGCTGACCCTCTCCCCACTATTGTCTTGCGACCCTGACACATCCCCCTCTCGGAGAAACACCCACGAATGATCAATAAATACTAAGGGAACTCAGAAGCTGGCGGGATCCTCCATATGCCGAACGCTGGTTCCCTGGGTCCCCCTATTTTTTTCTCTATACTTTGTCTCTGTGTCTTTTTCTTTTCCAAGTCTCTCGTTCCACCTAACGAGAAACACCCACAGGTGTGGAGAGGCAACCCACCCCTTCATTTCCTGATGCAGCTCTGTACAAAATGGCCTGACTTCCAGGGCCAGCCTCAAGGTCTCGGGGAGACAAGGGATGGCTCAGCAGAGAGCTCTGTCCCACTTAAGGAGACTCAGCTTCATCCAGAGTCTGCTGCACTACCTGTGCACAGTGCAGGGTGCGAAGGCACAAGCATATTGAATTAGGAAATCCATACTCCTTCACTACAGCTTGAGGCTACAATGGCTGGGACATCTACTTCTCTCAGTGGAGGTGAAAGCTATGTTGTGGGGAAAAGTACATGCTAAGATAATTAAGGCCATTGACTCAAAACAGGATTCAGAGAGTGCTATTCAGGTCTATTCCTTGGCCTAGGACGTCCCAGAGGGTAATTTCATACTGATCCTTTTTGGGTAAGAACCTGTTTTCTCCAAAGTGGAAATATCTTGATTACTTTCTCTGATCACACTTCACCATGGTTAAAACATTCGTACAACACAGCAAATGCAAAACCAACCCCATGATCCCAAGTCGTAGAAATAACCCTCGTTAACTATATTTTCCACACTACTTTTAATACACATTCACATGTGCACACACTCAACTCTTTAAATACAAACAGAAATCGATATATTATTTACAGCTTCTTTCGCCTAAGAAGGCACAATACAGCAATACAAAGATCTAGCTTGTTTTTTAATTGCTTCATTGCTGGAAATAGCTGCATTGCTGATAAGAGAAAAATATGGGTATCAACTTAAATGCCCATCAAAAGGGGATGACAAATAAATTATGCTCCATCTATGCCATGAAATATTATGTAGCCATTAAAAATTAGGTAGATGTATTTATGCTCATATAAAAGTATTTCCAAAATAAATTTAATAAGCAAAGTGAGAACTCTCATGTATACTATAATACTGCTTTTAAAAAAAAGAAGTGTGTGTAAAATGTGTGTATACACACACACATATATTAGTTTTTGTTTGTTTGTTTGTTTGTTTTGAGACACAGTCTTGCTCTGTCACCCAGGCTGGAGTGCAATGATGCGATCTTGGCTTACTGCAACCTCCACCTCCTGGGTTCAAGTGATTCTCCTGCCTCAGCCTCCCAAGTAGCTGGGACTACAGGTGTGCACCACCATGCCCGGCTAATTATTTTTTTGTATTTTTTTTTAGCAGAGATGGGGTTTCGCCATGTTAGCCAGGCTGGTCTCAAAATCCTGACCTCAGGTGATCCACCCACCTCGGCCTCCCAAAGTGCTGGGATTACAGGCATGAGCCACCACACCTAGGCCATATATTAGTTTTTTAAGAGGATACACAACTGTGAGTAGTGATTATGTTGACCATGAATTGAGTGAGAAGGAAACTCAGTTTTTCCTGTGCATTTTTGTGCATTGTTTCTTTTGTTCCTTTACTTTTTTAACGTACGAATGCTTCTTTACCAACTCCATTAATTGAGGATGTGTATCTGTCCTGTCCATGACTATATCCCCAGGGCTTAGAATAATAACTGCTCTTTATAAGGTCATTCAATAAATATTTACTTGAAGAACAACTTTGTGGACTAATCTATTAAAAATGCTCCAGTTAACATCCCTGCTCTTGCGTCTCTGGCCTGAGGTGAGGTTTGAGGCTGGGTTCAGCCCTTTCCCACCTCCCCCTGAGTGACACTAAGCAAAATTGTCCTTAGAAACATCCCAACTCCTGGAGTACTTACCAACAAAGGAAGATGTCTGTGAATGTCTCTGCTGTGGTGAAAAGTGCAAATATAATCCAGTACATCATCCATTTGACCTGTTGAAACAGAAAGCAACACAGCTGGTAGAAAAGGTCCAGGAAAAACACTGCCCAACACCAGGAAGAACAGGCCCCGGCGGCAGATACGGAGGCACGTCCAGGTGGTGCAGCCTGCATTTGTAGCCTTCTCCCTATCCTTCCCCAGCTTATGTCCAGTTCTGCTCCAGATCTTGAAGCTGGAAGCAAATGGGCTGTTCCACAACTGACTCAGGCTGAAGGTCATATGGCCCTAAAGTGAGCCGGGGAGACCTGCGGACCAAGAGTGACCCAGGATTCAATCAGGTCATTTTTCAGAACATCAGGGGAGAAAATGCTCTAGGCCTCTACACAAACACACCCTGGAATGAAGTGTAACTGGGCCACACTCTCTGGGATGGCATGGTAGTAATCTAGGAATTCTGATCTTCCTTTTATCTCTCCCATGTGACCATCCTTTTCAATTTCTACTGCCTTTCTCCCCTAAGGCCTTTGTCCCCTCTCTCTTGAACTACTCCTACTTCCCTTGTTTCCTGACTTTCCCCTCAGCAACCCATCCTAATACCAAGCCACCCCTGTACTATTCTCCCAAAAGTATAAACTCATCAGACTATCACCCCATTTAAAATATCCCAGCCTGCAGAATCAAGTCCAGATTCCTTAGTCTACTCCTTCTGGCTTCTGGCAAAAGTGAGGTAGCTTATATTGAACTAAGGCTCCTACTAATAATGATAATAAACACCAAACAAAATATTTCAAAACAACTGTTTGAAGGCCCTGGAGAGCAATATAAAAAGCAGACAGAGACTGGAAGGGGTTCAAGCTTTGGAGCACGGGAACCACACTGGGTTAGTACAAGTCAGTGCGGCTGAGGACAGTCCTCACTCTGCACATCATGGGGCAGAGAGAACTCAATCTCAAATCCAGAGTCTTATTTGTCCAAAGAAAAGGAGAATGCAGTTTGAGACTGCCAGAGATGCTGGAAGTGGACAGAGAAAAATCTCAGAATTAGGGAAGCCATAAAGGGGCACCCCAAAAATCTACATATAAATTCTCTTCAAAAACTTGGCAGGTCCCTGAAATGCACAGAAGCAGGTAAGACTCCAAGCGAAGAAGTCTGTATAATAATATAGATATAAATACATATAGATATAAATGTAGATATAAACAGCTGGAAAGCTGAAAAGCTCAGAGTTGAGCAGAGATTTAGCTTCTGCCCACTGTTGGGGAAACAAAGTTTGGAATTCAAGTCATGCAAAGTTAGAGGGGTTTGGTAAGCATTTGGAATTTCCAGTGAAACACCTGGAAGACCACATCTTAGCAATAAAAATTACATCCTAACACTAAGAGATTAACTCTATGACTAAGAGCAAAATTTAAATATACCTGCCCAAACAAAACGTATCTAGCTGCCACAGGGTCAAGGTGATCTGCCTGAATTTAACTGCCTGCTAGAACAACACTCAACATTCTTCACAAGAAGGCAAAAAAAAATCTACAACCTAAGTCTATCAATGGATGACTGAATAAAGAAAATGGGGTGTATATACATACATATATATATATGCACAATGGAATACTACCCAACCATAATAAAAAATCATGTCTTTTGCAGCAATATAGATGGAACTGGAGTCCATTATCATAAGTAGAATAACTCAGAAACAGAAAGCCAAATACTGCATGTTCTCACTTATAAATAGGAGCTAAATAATGTGTACACATGGACATAGAGAGTGGAATAATAGACTTTGGAGACTTGAAAAGGTGGGAAGGTAGGAGGGGATGAGGGATGAGAAACTACCGAATGGGTACAATTTAGACTACTTGGGTGATGGTTACACTAAAAGCCCAGACTTCATCACTATGTAATATATCCACGTAACAAACCTGCACTTGTACCCCCTAAAGCTATAAACACAAAAAAATAAGAAAAATGTATAAAATATCTGTGGTTTCCACAATGAATCACACACAAGGTTCTGTATACAATAAAATACTACACGTGAGGGAATAGGAAAATATAATCCATGGTTAGGAGAAAAATTGGTCAATAGAAACAGATCCACAGATGACTTCGATATTAGAATTAGCAGACAAGGGCTTTAAAAGGTATCAATACGTTTTGAGTTAACTAGATATCCACATGTAAAATAATAAAGTTGAACAACTTCATACCATATACAAAAATTAACTTCAAATGGATCAGAGTCCTAAATGTAAGAGTTAAAACTATAAAACACTTACAAGAAAAACATATAATTAAATATTTCTGACCTTGGATCAGGCAATGCTTTCTTAGATGTACTACCAAAAGGGCCGGGCGCGGTGGCTCACGCCTGTAATCCCAGCACTTTGGGAGGCCGAGGCGGGTGGATCATGAGGTCAGGAGATCGAGACCATCCTGGCTAACAAGGTGAAACCCCGTCTCTACTAAAAATACAAAAAATTAGCCGGGCGCGGTGGCCGGCGCCTGTAGTCCCAGCTACTCGGGAGGCTGAGGCAGGAGAATGGCGTGAACCCGGGAAGCGGAGCTTGCAGTGAGCCGAGATTGCGCCACTGCAGTCCGCAGTCCGGCCTGGGCGACAGAGCGAGACTCCATCTCAAAAAATAAAAATAAAAATAAAAATAAAAAAAATAAAATAAATAAATAAATAAATAAAGATATACTACCAAAAGCACACACACAAAAAAACAAACTAAAAGGCCAGGCGTGGTGGCTCACGCCTGTAATCCCAGCACTTTGGGAGGCCGAGGTGGGTGGATCACGAGGTCAGGAGATCGAGACCATCCTGGCTAACACGATGAAACCCCGTCTCCACTAAAAATGCAAAAAATTAGCCGGGCATGGTGGTGGGCACCTGTAGTCCCAGCTACTCAGGAGGCTGAGGTAGGAGAATGGCATGAACCCAGGGGGAAGAGGTTGCAGTGAGCTGAGATTGGGCTACTGCACTCCAGCCTGGGTGACAGAGCAAGACTCTGTCTCAGGGGAAAAAAAAAACAAAAAAAAACAACCAAACTAAAAAATTTACTGGGAGGCCAAGATGAGAGAATTGCTTGAGGCCAGGAATTTGAGATCAGCCAGGGCAACATAGTGAGAGCCCATGATATGGTTTGGATGTGTGGTTGTGTCCCCACTTAAATCTCTTCTCAAATTGTAATCCAATTTTAATCCCCACATGTCAGAGGAGGGACTTGGTGGGAGGTGATTGGTTCATGGGGGCGGTTTCCCCCATGTGGTTCTCATGATGGTGAGTGAGTTCTCACAAGATCTGATGGTTTTATAACAGGTAGTTTCCTTTGCTGTCTCTCTCTGTCCTGCCACCTTGTGAAGAAGGTGCCTGCTTCCCCTTCACGTTCCACCATGATTGTAAGTTCCCTGAGGCCTCCCTAGCCATGCAGAACTGTGAGTCAATTAAACCTCATTTATAAATTACCCAGTCTCAGGGAAGTTCTTTATAGCAGTGTGAAAACAGACTAATACACACTGTCTCCACTAAAAAACTCAAAAAGTAGCCAGGCATGGTGTCACACACCTGTAGTCCTAGCTAGCTATTTGGGAGGCTGAGGCAGGAGGATGGCTTGAGCCCAGGAGTTCAAGGCTGCAGTAAGCTATGATCATGTCACTGCCCTTCAGCCAGGGCAACAGAGCAAGATCCTACCTCAAAAAGAAGACAAATTAGACTTCATCAAAATTAAAAACTGTTTTGCTTCAAAGGACACCATCGAGAAAGTAAAAACACAACCCACAAAATGGTAGAAAATATTTGCACATCATTCATCTGATAAGGTACTTATATCTAAATATATAAAAAACTCTTATAACTCAACAATAAAAGGGTACATAACCCAGTTAAAAACGTGCAAAGGGCCCATAGTCTATTTAAGAAACTGAATCAGTAATGAAAAAAATCCAACACTCATTTGTGACTTAAAAAAAAAAAACCTTAGCAAAGTAGAAATAGAAGGGAAGCTCCTCAACTTGATAAAGAACATATTTTTTTTAAAACCCTACAGCTAACATTAGACTTACTGGTGAGAAAATAGATGATTTCCTCCTAAGATCAGAAAAAGGGCAAAGTTATTCTCTTCCATCACTCCTATATCATAATGGAAGTCCTAGATAATGCAATAAGACAAGAAACAGAAAACATATACAGACTGGGAAGAAAGAGATAAAACCATTTTTCCTCATAGATGGTGTAACTGTCTACGTAGAAAATCCCAAGGAACTCACCAAAAAAATCCTCCTGGGATTAATAAATGATTAGAGCAAGGTTGCAGGATACAAGGTTAATGTATAAAAGTCCATTGCTTTCCTACATAATAACTGGAACTTGAAATTAAAACACAAATGCTACTTATGTTAGTACCATCTAAAAATGAATAACTTAGAAATGTATCAAACAGGATATGTAAAAAGTCTATATAAAGGAAACTATACAAATGATAGAAATCAAAGATCTAAATAAATGGAGAAATATTTCATGTTCATATATAGGAGAACTCAATATTGTCAAGATGTCAGCTCTTCCCAACTTGATCTATAGATTCAATGCAACCCCAATCACAATCCCAGCAAGTTTCTTATGGATATCAACAAACCGATTATAAAGTTTATATGGAAAGGTAAAAGACCAGAACAATTAATATAATACAAAAGAAGAACAACATTGAAAGACTAAAGCTATCAGATTTCAAAACTTAATGTAAAGCTAAAATAATCAAGACCATGTGCAACTGGTAAAAAAATAAACAAATAGATAAATGGAACAGAACACAGATCCCAGAAATAGACCCACGCAAGTATAGTGATTTGATCCTTGACAAAGGAGCAAAAGCAATTCAGTAGAGAAAAGATGGTCTTTTTAACAAATGATGCTGGGAAAACTGGACATTCACATGCAATAACAACAATGAAAAATGGATCTAGGCACTGACCTTACATCTTTCACAAAGATTAACTCAAAATGGATCATAGGTCTAAATGCAAAGCACAAGACTAAAAAACTTCTAGAAGACAACATATAAGAAAATCTAAAGACCTCGGGCTTTGGCACTGAGTTTTTGGATACAACATCAATGGTATGATCTATGAAAGAAAAAAATCGTTAAGTTGGACTTCATTAAAATTCAAAACCTTTTTTCTTCATCCCTTCTGTCTATAAAGCCAATCCCTTCAGCTCAGCTTGTTAGAACACTTGTTCTATTTTATAGAATGAAGTGTTGCCCAATTCTAGGCTCATAATAAAGTCAACTGAGGTATTTAAACTAAATTTGTTGTAATTTTGCCTTTGACCCTGAACTCCACTGTGGAAAATATCCTACTAGTCCCCCAAATTGTCTAAGTTATATTTGTTGTTGCCATTTCATCTGCAAAATTAGCTAACTCCTAGATTATAACACTTTATGGCATTCAGTGACAAATGTCCTAAATATTTTACTTCGGTTTGACAAATTACAATTTGTCCAGTGAGGTCTGAAGTCCCTGTGGGTGAGGAATTCTAACTAAGCCAAAGTATCAATTTTGCATTGCTCTTTTGATTCTTAGGCTACCAGCAAACCATCTACATACTGGATTATAAGCCAAAAATAAAATTCTAAGCTCCCAACCAACTGAATGGCCCCTTCCTCCCAGCAAAGGACATTTAAAAATAAACCTGAAACACTAGTGCAGGACATGATGGTAATAGGTGGTCAGGAAAAAATAATAATAAAATTAAAAACTTCCGCTCTGCACAGGTAACATTTAGAGAACAAGGAGACTGGGAGAAAATATTTATAAAACACATATCTGATAAAGCACTTATATTTAAAATATAAAAAAAAAACTCTTAAAACTCAACAATAAGAAAACAAACAACTCAATTTTCTCCCACAGATTGGGAGAAAATATTTTGCAAGATATATATCTGATACAGGACTTGTATTCAACATATACAAAGAACTCTTAAAACTCAACAATAAGAAAACAAACAACCCAATTAAAAAATGGGCAAAAGATCTGAACAGACACTCCACAAAGAAGATATACAGATATACAGCAACTTATTAACAAAACTTTTATTATGAAAACTAAACTTTTGTTTTGTCACCACATAACAAGATACTTATCCTAGGAGGAAAAGGATGCGTTCAGTATCATTTTTCTTTTGTTTGTTTGTTTGTTTGTTTGTTTGTTTGTTTGTTTGTTGAGATGGAGTTTTGCTCTTGTTGCCCAGGCTGGAGTGCAATGGCACGATCTCAGTTCTCCGTAACCTCCTCCTCCCAGGCTCAAGTGATTCTCCTGCCTCAGCCTCCCGAGTAGCTGGGACTACAGGCATGCGCCACCACGCCTGGCTAATTTTGTATTTTTAGTAGAGACAGGGTTTCTCCATGTTGGTCAGGCTGGTCTCAAACTGCTGACCTCAGGTGATCCACCCACTTGGCCTTCCAAAGTGCTGGGATTACAGGTGTGAGCCACCGTGCCCAGCCATATTTTTCTTTAAAAAGTATAAATATGTTAAAGAATCTAAAAGAAAATGTGAATACAATGAGTGGAGAGATGGGGGATTTCAAGAGAAAGAAGGAAACTCTTAAAAAAGAAACAAATGATATCCTAGAATTCAAAAGCACAATATCTGAAATGAAACAGTATGACAGAATTAACAGCATATTGGATACAACAAAAGAAAAGATCTGTGTATTTGAAGACAAATCCAGACTAAAGCCATGCAGACTAAAGCCTAGATTGGAAAACAACACTGAGAGGCTCAATATGTGTTGGACTGCATCAGGCAGTCTAACATACATGTAATAGGAATTCCAGAAGGAAAGAAACATGAGAATGGAGAACAAAAAAAAACACTTGAAGAATACTGGCTACAAAGTTCTAAAATTTGATTAAAAAAAAAATAACAAACCCTGATCAGGTGTGATGGGAACACTTTGGGAGGCTGAGGCAGGTGGATCGCTTGAGGCCAGGAGTTCTAGACCAGCCTGGGCAACTTGGCAATACCCTGTCTCTACTAAAAATATAATAATTAGCTGGGCATGGTGGTGAGTGCCTGTAGTCCCAGTTACTTGGGAGGCTGAGGCACAAGAATTGCTTGAACCCGGGAGGCAAAGGTTACAGTGAGCTGAGATCATGCCACTGCACTCCAGCCTGGGCAACAGAGCAAGATTCTGTCTCAAACAAAAAAATAAACAAATAAACAAACCAACAAACCCAAAGAACCAGGAAGCTCAGTGAATCCCAAGCAAGATAAATACAAAGAAAAAGAAAACCATACCTAGGCAAGTCATAGTAAAACTGCTTAAAAAAAAAAAAAGAAAGAAAAGAAGAGAAAAAAAGAAAAATCATTACCATACAGAAAATCTTAAAAGCAGAGAGGATGCAAAGATACATTACACACAAGAGAATGAGAATAAGAATGATAGCTGACTTTTCATTGGAAAAAATGACTATCAGAGAAAATGGAATAACATCTTTAAAGTGCTAAAAGGAAAAAAAATGTCAACCTAGAATTCTATACCCAGCAAAAATATCTTTCAAAAAATGAAAGCTGTTCTGGTGAATCCATGTTGTCTTTGTGACTCTAAAACATGTTTCTCAATGGATTACTTACAGATCTTCTCTATCAGAAAAACAAGGTAGGTTTAGTCCATCAAATAACTACTGTCTGAGACACTGCACACTGCCAGGTTGTCTGTAGCAGCACTGACTCCTTAGCAGGGGGCAAATGAGGTTTTGTCCAGTGGTAAAGTCTATAGCCTGCTGGGGCTCAGGATCTGGGAATTCTCAACATCAGTATCCAGACACATTGTCAGGAGCCTGAATTCCTTCTTTATAGGTTTTTTCTTTTTAGTAGTCAATTCATGTTTTGGGTCTTCAATTAGAGCAAAAGGACAATGATAACAATTTTAAAAATCCCTCTCCTTGGCCAGGCGTGGTGGGTCACGCCTGTAACGCCAGCACTTTGGGAGGCTGGGGCGGGCAGATCACCTGAGGTCAGGAGTTTGAGACTAGCCTGACCAACATGGTGAAACCCCGTCTCTGCTAAAAATACAAAAAATAGCCAGGTGTGGTGTACGCACTTGTAATCCTAGCTACTCAGGAGGCTGAGGCAGGAGAATTGCTTGAATCCGGGAAGTGGAGGTTACAGTGAGCCAAGAGCACGCCACTGCACTCCAGCCTGGGCAACAAGAGTGAAACTCCATCTCAGAAAATTTTTTAAAAATCCCTTTCCTTGATGCAACCCTTAGCTACAAACTTCTCCAGTGAGTCATCTATACTTGCAAGATCTACTTTCTCATTCCTCACTTGCTCACTGCAGTGCATCCATTACATCAAAATTGCTCTCACTGGGGCCTCCACTTTGTAACATACTTCAAGGAAGTGTAAGAAACCTCTTTTCAGTTTTTACTTGGCTTGCTTGACTTTTTGGCTAGTAGTGAAACAATCACATACTGAAAAGCTCTCCCAACACTACAATTGTCCTGGTTTCCCAATTGCTTTTCTTGCCACTTCTTCTCAGTGTCTTCATTTCCTCCCTAGAGCTCTGTTCTAGACATCTGCTTCTAACTCTAGACTAGACACTGTCCCTAGGGAAAACTGTACATTCCTCACCTAACACAGGTAACCAATCCCCAAGTTCTGTCACTTCCACCCTCTTGTATTTTTCTTGAACCTGTCTTATTTTCTCCATTCTCCTCTGCCATTTCCTTACTTCAGAACACCACCATCTCCTGTTTAGAATAGTTACAACTTTATGCTGGTCTTTACACCTCTGTCCCCTTCACAATCCATCCTCCAAATTCCAGCCAAAATGATTTTCTTAAGGCCAGTCATGGTGGCTCATGCCAGTAATCCCCGCACTTTGGGAGGCTGAGGCAGGTGGATCACTTGAGCCCAGGAGTTTGAGACCAGCCTGGGAAATGCGGTGAAACCCCGTCTCTATAAAAAAACACAAAAATTAGCTGGGCATGGTGATGCACACCTGTAGTCACAGCTACCAGGGTGGCTAAGGCAGAAGGATCACCTGAACCTGGGGAGGTCAAGGCTGCAGTGCTGTGTATAATCACAGCTCTGTGATTATACCACTGTACTCCAGCCTTGGCAACAGAACAAGACCCTGTCTCAAAAAAAAAAAAAAATTCTTAAACCTAAAGCGGGTGACTTTCTTTCCTAGTTTATAGCCTTCAATAGTTCCTTACTGTTGTTAAGATAAAGCCCAAATTCCTTACATTGGCTTATGAGGCCTAGCATGAACTGGCCCCTACCTTTTTTTTTTTTTTTTTGAGGGGGACAGGGTCTCGCTTGTCATCCAAGCTGAAGTGCTGTGGTGCAAACACAGCTCACTGCAGTCTCGACCTGCTGGGCTCAAGTGATTCTCCCACTCAGCGTCTTGAGTAGCTGGGACTATAGGTGCATGCCACCAAGGCTGGCCAGTTTTTTTGTATTTTTTGTAGAGACAGGGTCTCACCATGTTGCCCAGGCTGGCCTTGAACTCTTGAGCTCAAGCAATCCACCTGCCTCAGTCTCCCAAAGTGCTGGGATTACAGGCTTGATCCACCACACCCGCAAACTGGCCCCTAATTATTTTCATCAAAAGCTCATCCACACCCCTACCCTCTCACATTTTCCACTCCAACCATATGAGTCTTTCAGTTCTCAACAAAGCATCTTTTTTTGCGTCTGATTTCAGCCCTCAGATCTCAGCAAAAACGTGACCTCCTCTAGGACATACCCGAAGTTTGGGTAAATACCCTCTCCTTGTCTTTCTTTACAGTACCACACACATTCCCTGTCATAACATTTATCACACTGCTTTGAAAGTACCTGTTTATTCCCCTGCTTTTCCTAATACATTGTAAGCTCCCTGAGGGTGGAGACCAGTTCTCCTTATACATCTTTATATCTCTAGTACCCAAAACAATTCCTGACATATAATAGGTACTGAATGAGTATGTTTCAAATGACCGGATTAGAATGCTGGCACTGTGAATGGGACAGAAAGAATGGTTTCAAAAGGTTAAGAAAGAGTATACTTTGAGAAATACTGTCTAGATGGCTTTTTGAGAAGAAAAGACAGAATTAGACAACTTGTGAGGCAACAGATGCTCCCTATGAGTGCCTACTGAGTTGATGACTGCATAAACATAGGAAGAAAGGCACCTGTTGAAGTCAGGACATCAGAGACTGATAATTATGGGGCCACTTGCACCAACAAGAAAGTAAAGAAAGAGCCAATTTAGGCAGAAGAGTTTGAGCTTTATGTGGCTCAGGGCAGCCAAGAAGATTGCCCAACGGATTCCTAGAAAAGCAAGACCAAAGCTCAGGAAGGAGGTTGAGGCTATGGACAGAGATGCTGCAGCCATGGCAGAGAGGGGACTTAATGCATTCTCCTGAAGAAGTTCCCATGATGCACTCCTTTGAAATACTTTCATGCAGAAAGAAGGATCTGAGAATGACTCATTGAGGCTAACAAGGTCAACGGAACACTGGTGACTCAGAGATGGAAACCATAGCCATCTAAAATTACTAGGAAATGGTCTTCCCCATCATTCCTCGTGGAAATCAAATGACAGTTATTTTCCCCAAGGTTTGAAATATAATTTTCCATGTTTGAAAGATTCTATCCAAACCTCCCTGCAAGATAGGGATGAGGAGCCTGGGTGGGCCTTCAGTCAGAATAGAGAGAGGGAGCTATGGCCAATTTGAGAGGTAATATTCAGGAGTAACTCTCCTGGACAAATGGAACGTTGACAGTATGACTGGGGAGTCTCTCTAAACTGGTCAGGAGCAGGATCTAGGAGTGAAGAGATGGGAAAGATGCTGTGACCCTCAGCCACAGCAAGAAGCTCCAGAGCTCAGGGTAGGAAGCGGCCTGGAGACTTTCCATGAGCCACAGCAGCTGGCTGAAATTCCCTGGTCCATTCTACCCCACTGCCAGAGCTTCTGGCAGCCTGCCAAAGGCCTCCCTATGGGCTGCAGAGGAGCAGGCTTAGCTACTTCTTTAGCCTCACCTCACCTTTGGACTCTGCTCTAACCAGGCACATTCAATTTCTCAAGCCTTTCACACCCTCTTGCATCTGGGCCCTGCGCTTCAGCCTCACAGGGAATTCCCTGTGCCATATGACAGAAAGAAAAAATTCAAGCCTGCTTTACAGATGACTCTGCACCATCTGCTCACCGTGGATGGCTATATAGTCAGGGGTGACCCTAGGAGAGCGGGAAAGTGAAATTCCCCTGCAGGCAGGACTTTGAGCAGGGCACTTAGCCTGGAGGGAGAAATGCCCTAAGTTAATGTTCACGCACTGTCACCGGGTATATGAACTCCATTTTCTTATTTTCTATATTCTTGATGCTCTGGCATCTGGGGCCTCAATGATTACAGAGGGACTGCCCTTCCAGGGCTAGCCTTGCCCCAGCACACCTTTCATATGCAAACTAACCAATCCAGAGTCTATACTCTAAATTACTTCCTTTATGGAGCTCCCACAGGTTGGGCAATATTCCCCAACCATAACCACCCCAGAGCCAGGTCCCAGACAACTAGAGGCAGCGCCCACACCTTGGAGCCTGCTGAAATGATTCCACCTAGCCAATCTGAAATCTGTTTACCCTGTCTTGCCTTACCTTTCTCACAGAAACCACAATGAAGGCCACTGCCCACGTTTCCCACTCTCCGTCAGCCTCCTGACTGGCCTGGTGCTTCCCCATGTGGCCCTACAAAGCATGTGACTCTCCTACTTCTAGACTTCTTCCTTCATGACAGTCATTTCCACGTCTTTGTGACTTTCCATCCCTGAGTAAAACAAATCCCGGGCACATTTTCAAACACCAGCTAAAGCTCTGTCTAGAGGATGAGGTTCTTGGAAGAAGTGAGGCTGAGAGACTCCTGTTGAGGTGGTCTGGGAATGAGGTGAATGGGCCCAGAGAATGAATACATTGTTGGCCCAACGCTTATGCTCACCAACAGGTCCCACAGCAGAGGAGGCTCCTAGTGACCAAGTGCATGAGATGGCCAGGTCTGTGGATGTCGGCCAGCCTCCTTCCTCAGGCTTGATAGTGCATGTTCAATGGGCTCATGTACCAAACAGCCAAGTGGAAGTGACAGAGGTAGCATACAGGCTCAGCAATGTGGAATCCCTCTCACCAAGGCTGACCTGGCCACAACCACTGCTCAGAGACCATGTTGCCAGCAGCAATGACCAAGCATCTCCAGGCTGATACCATATCACAAGGCACCAGCCAGCCTTCTGGAAGCAGGTTCATTCCACCAGGCCCCTTCCCTCATGGAGTGGGCGGCATAGGGTCTTTTCTGGAATATTCATTTTTTCTGCATGTGGACTTGCTTTTCCTACTGCTCTGCTTCTGGCAGCCACACAGCAAGCTGTGGACTCAGGGATTACCCTTTTCCTTTTGATGCATCCCACACAATACTGCTTCTCATCAAGGACCCTCCTTTATAGCAAAAGAAATAAGGCAATAGGCTGATGCTTTGGGGAGTCATTGATCTTATGCACCCAATGCCCTGCGGTGGCTGGCCTTATACAGTGCTACCTGGCATTGGAGGGTTCCGAAAGCAACCAAGGTGGGAGTCAGCATTTTATGAGATTGGTGTGCAGTCCTGGAGGGTGCAGTTTCTCCTCTGAACCAGTGACCAACATATGGTGGTGCTTCTTAGCCAGAATCTAAAGGTGCAGGAACCAAGGAAATGAGGGTTCCTTAATCTATGATTAAGCCTGATGCCAGCTCCTTGCAATCAAAGTGAGGTCCGTGGACCAGCACTGTTGGCATCATCTGGGAGCCTGTTAGAAATGCAGAATCTCAGACCCC